>NC_000021.9:42184392-42484392 GCF_000001405.40 Homo sapiens
TAACATACCTGGGACCCACTGGACAATTGAGCCTCATGTTTTTTTAAAACCTTAATGGTTAGAAGACTGGGAAATAGTTTTTTTTTAAACCATAAGCAATTTCTGTGCCCAGAAGTGAGGAATTCCTTGGGTGGAATATTTCGTTGCTCTGGTAAGCCTCACAGTGTCATTGGTGTGCGTTTGGCCGTGGGGGAAGAAAAGGAGGAAGAGGTGATGGCTCCAGTGAAACTGCAGGGACTTGGCGCCAGTGGAGCTGGCAGTGGCCTCCACTGGCCAGTAGGGACCAATCGTTAAACCCACTCTTGGTCCAAAATTGAATTATTTTAAAACCAAGAGTACTAAATCCTCAATCCTCAAACCTTATCAATTCCTAGTTATGTTATCCCATTTTATTCTGTCAGTTCCGGAGGTTGTTGATGGTGGAAATACTCCACGACAGGGTGCAGCTGCACCTCTCTTCCTGATGTGTCCAGGGAAGTCATATTGGGCACTTTTAATTGGTCAGTGGTAGGAGCATTGACACCATGGAATTTGGCAAACTCTACAAGCCAGGGAGTTATTTTGAACCCCCAAATCTGATTGTTCAGTGTGGATCAGTATACCACTGCTTAAAGCCGTGGCTTTTTGGCTTTCCAGGTTGATGAGGCCTCACTCTCCCCTTATATCGGTCAGAATAGTTCCTTAGCAATACGGGAAGCTACTCTCCTGTTAAGATCTGTTAAGATGTGAGTATGGCCGGGTGTGGTGGCTCACGCCTATAATCCCAGCACTTTGGGAGGCCGAGACGGGCAGATCACGAGGTCAGGAGATCGAGACCATCCTGGCTAACACGGTGAAACCCCGTCTCTACTAAAAATGCAAAAAAATTAGCCAGGCATGGTGGTGGGTGCCTGTAGCCCCAGCTACTCAGGAGGCTGAGGCAGGAGAATGGCGTGAACCCGGGAGGTGGAGCTTGCAGTGAGCTGAGATCGCGCCACTGCACTACAGCCTGGGAGACAGAGCAAGACTCTGTCTAAAAAAAAAAAAAAAAAAAAAAAAAAAAAAGATGCAAGTATCTCAGTATCTTAGGACAGCCAGGGATAAAAAACATGGTCATTCAAAAACAAATAAGCCCAAGTTGTTTCAAATATAAGAGGAAAAAATAAGGTAAAACTGTCAATTTCTTAAAAACAAACTACTAGTTAAGGAAAAACCATGACTAATAGAGAAGAATATATTATTGACCATTTCTAGAACATGCACACAAAAGACAAAGCTAGAGTTGCCAGTATTAGTATTAGCAGGAAAATTATGCCAGTAACAGTATTAGCAGAAAAAAAAGGAAGCAAATTTCATGTTCCTACATCAGAGAATAGCTGAATAAATTATGGCACTTACAATTCAAGGAAAGATGATGTGGCTAATAAAATAATGGGTACGATCTGCATATATGGCCATGGAATGCTTTCAAGATATGGAAAAGGTAACATGATTAGTACAATTCCATAGTGATTTAAAAGGAAAACTACCTCACATAAATAATGCACACACACAGACACACACACACTCACAATTACTTATGTGTTATGATCAGAGGAAGTTATGGAAGGATGTTGTTTTGGTCTGCTTGGGGTATGATAGGGTTTGGCTGTGTCCCCACCCACATCTCATCTTGAATTCCCACGTGTTGTGGGAGGGACCCAATCGGAGGTAGTTGAATCATGGGGGTAGGTCTTTCCCATGTTGTTCTCATGATAGTGAATAAGTTTCACGATATCTGATGGTTTTAAAAAGGAGAGTTTCCCTGCACAAGCTCTCTTCTCTTGTCTGCCGCCATGTGAGACGTGCCTTTCGCCTTCCACCATGATTGTGAGGCCTTCCCAGCCATATGTAAGTTCATTAAACCTCTTTCTTTTGTAAATTGCCCAGTCTCACGTATGTCTTTATCAGCAGCATGAAAACGGATTAATACAGGATGCTATAACACAACAGCATACAGTGGGTGGCTTAAACAACAGAAATTTATTTCTTACAGTTCTGGAGGCCACAGCCTTAGTGTTCTCTTCTGAACATGGCTTCTCATTTTTTACAACATAGATAGGCTGAGATTTTTCCAAATCTTTAAGTTCTAGTTCTGTTTTGCTTAGCAATTCTTTCTTCAATCCATTATCTTTTCTCACATTTCACTATAAGCAGTCAGGAGGAACCAAGCCACTCCTTCACGACTTTGCTTGGAAATATTCCCAGCTAAAGATCCCATTTCATCTTTTACAAGTTTCACCTTCCACAAAACACTAGAACAGGAACACATGTCAGCCCAGTTTTTTGCTACTTTATAACAAAGATCACCTTTCCTCTGCTGTCCCACGCCATGTTTCTCATTTCCCCCTGAGACCTCACCCACATGGCCTTTGGTATTCCTACCAGCATTCTGCTCATGGTTGTCTGTGTGTCCTCTGAGATGATGAATGCTTTCCCTCCAGCTCTCCTCTCCCCTTTCTGAGCCCTCAGCAAATTGACTTTAGTGCTTCCTTCACAGCTATCTCAGCTTTTTCTAGCATGGACCCCCAAACTCTTCCAGCCTCCACTCATCACCAAGCTCCAAAGCTGCATCCATATTTGTGGTTCTTGGTTACAGCAGCATCCCACTCCTCAGGGCCACTTTCTGTCTCAGTCAGCTTAGGCCGCCATGGGGACTGGGTGGCTCAAAAGCAACAGGCTCCCAGTTCCAGAGCCTGGGAAGTGTGAGATCAGGGTGGTGGCAGGGTCAGGGTCTGGTGGGGGCCCTCTTCGTGACTGGCCAACAGAAGACTTCTTGCTGTGTCTCCCATGGTTAGGGTTGAGAGAGCATGAACATGCTGGTGTCTCTCTCTTTGTATAGGGCACCAATCCAAACATGAGAGCCCCACCCTCGTGACCTTATCTCCTCCCCAATGCAGCACCTCCAAATACCACCACATTGGAAATCAGGGGTTCAGCACGTGGATTTTGGGAGTCCATAGCAGAAATACACCCAATTTTTAAGTATCTGATACGTGCATTGGGAGTGAAAAAGGCTAGAAGCATTGTTTCATATATCTTTATTTTGTTATAATTTATCCTATTTTTTCGAAAGAGATCTTCCGCTTCTTTTTGTTTTCTGAATAATTTGGTCCTAAAGTCATGAGGTGGGCTGAGCAGGATAGGGTTCTATTCTGGCATGGACAGGGCAGTACCCTGAGTCAGAGGAGGTGCAGGAGTTTGAGCAGGGTGAGGGTCGTGCTCATGGAGGGGAGGCCTGGTGTAGAGGTGAGAGCTGGGGGAGATTGGGAGGCATCCTTTGGTGGGGGCAGCTGACTCAGATTGTATGTACCCCAGCAGGGGCAGGTGGGTACCCCACAGGGGGGCTGAACGCTGCAGCTCATGTCTATTCCTTATGTCTTTCAGGGTTCACCCAGGGCCCGAAAGCTTGTGTCTGGACCATTGAGAAAGACAACTGGACCGTTCTATGTGGATACGAACATGCAGGAGGAAGTCCATGCTTCCTAGCACAGGCCCTAGAATCAGAGTAAACGAGGTCAGAAGTCAGCTGCCCCACTGGCTGTGTGCCCTAGACAAGCCAGGGGCTCCTCTGTGCCTCAGTTACCTCACCTGGAAAATGGGAATCACTTTGGAGGGACCAACTTGTCCTGGTTTTAGCACTGAAATTCCCACTTTCCAGGAACTCCTCTCCCCTCCTTCCCAGTCCTGGCAAAGCCACCCTAAATAATCCCCACAGTGCTAGGCTGCGCTGAGAGTAAAGTGCTGAGCGCGGGGCAGTCACTTGGTAACAGGTAGTTACTGCTTTCATAATAATGGAAGCAGTTTACAGACATCTGCTTGGGAGAAAGTATGAAACTGTCCACCACCCACAGTCTGGAACTGCTAGGCTTTTAGTTTGTGGAGGCCTCGCCGACTGTCTCCTTCTCTTCTGCAGTTAGAGAAGGGCTGCAGGAGTGTTAGCAACAACTCAGCCAGAAAGAGAAACCAGTGTATTTCCTGTGATCAAGTCACACAGCCTAGGCTGCAACAGCGAGACAGCCAGTAGTTAAGAAGTTGGCTCTAAGACTGAGCAACCAGGAAGAGCTTTGGCTGTGGGCTAAGATGGAAACCACGAGCGGAAGTCAGACATAGCCCAGGGAGAAGGGGGCTGGGCAAGGCATTTACTCATTTAGAAATCTATCATCTCTCTCTCTCTGCCTACCTATCTATGTATCTATCATCTATCTATCTCTTTATCTATCTGTTCATCATTGATTCATTCCTTCCTTCATTCAAAAAGATGTCCTACATATGGTTGCTTCATATTGGTTGAGCTCAGTTATGTTGCTAAAAAGATTTTTTTTTCAATTTAAGAGGCATGGACATTTTGCAGTGGATTTCAGTGGAAAGTTGATGTTTGTGGGTTCAGAAGTCAGTCCTTCCCACACGAGCTCCAGGCCCAACACTTGCATCTGCTGGGAAGCAGGTTGCAAGCCCTGTGAATGCTTCCGGGACAACAGTTCCCTGTCTCAGCCTCTGATATGAGCTGTGCCATGGTGCACACTCTTGCAATGGGGTGGCACGAATATCGCAGTCAGCCAAGATCCTCTGCTATCCTAGAATTCCCAGGAAACTCCCCTTGAGAGCTTTAATCATTTGTTTGCCCTTCAATAACTGCTTATGGAGAAGTTCCCAGACTCACTGACACCTATCATTTTAGGGGACAGTTATGAATGAAAAACACTTTAAATTGACAATGATTGGGCTGGGCGCAGTGGCTCACGCCTGTAATCCCAGTACTTTGGGAGGCTGAGGCGGGCGGATCACCTGAGGTTAGAAGTTCGAGACCAGCCTAGCCAATATGGCGGAACCCCATCTCTGCTAAAAATACAAAAAATCAGCCAGGCGTGGCAGCGCACACCTGCAGTTCCAGCCACTTGGGAGTCTGAGGCAGGAGAATTGCTTGAACCCAGTAGGTGGAGGTTGCAGTGAGCTGAGATTGTGCCACTGCACTCCAGTCTGGGTGACAGGAGTGAAACTCCATCTCAAAAAAAAAAAGAAAAGAATGATTGAATTGTTACATTTCAGTTATAATACATCTTTTAAATTATGTTGTAAATCAGTTGACAATATATTATTTAATGTCCCAAAATATATTAGTGTCTATACAACTTTGAAGAGTTATGAAGTATGGCAACATAAAATTGCAGAAGCAACTCAAGTGCAATATACAGTGGCTGTAAATATACTTTGTAGCTAAGTTTTTCTGGACACGGAAGTGGGAAACATTCAACTTTTTAAAACTAGTGATTTCAGCTCTCTAGACTAGACTTAATTTTGTGTACAGAAAACAAAACCTTTTCCCCAGAACATGACTGCCTGCTTTTTCCCTGACATTGCATAGATGCCATTTGGCATAGAACATTTTTAGATTTATGTGCCCAATTGTAGAATCCTTGACAAATAATGCTTCTGGTATGGACTTCTGAAAATGACCCCAGTGTCAGCTTGCATTTAAGAGCACATTTTTCCATGGGGAATTCTAAAAGTATGGCAGGTACTGACTTTCCCAGTGAAGATGTGGCCAGGGTTGGCAAATTCCCAGCACAGTGTCCCTGCCCCGTTCCGTGGCAGACATCACTAAACAATCAGAGCCTCAGGCCCCGCTGAGTGTGGGCTTGGCTCCACAGGAATTAAGGCAGTGACAGCCGTACTGGCAGATCGGACTGGGCATGTAAGATGAACCCGAATGGCCTCCTCCTCAGGTGAGATACTTTGTGCTGACGGGAGCTCTATTGGTGTTCGCTTCATCAGCCCTTGCTACACAGTTTAGAAGCCATCGGAGCTCTCAAGTCTCAACCCTCAGAAATGACTGTGTTAACCAATATCCTGTCATCTCCATCTCACCTCCTCGGCCCTGGGGTTGTCCCCCTGGCCAAGAACCACCCTGTAGGTGATGCTGGGCCATACTTGCCCCTGCACAAAACCCCGCCTGGATCCCAGTGGATTCCTCAGCACCTGTGTGGCTGTGGCATGTGGGCTTCCAGAGATCTTGTGTGAAGGGAAGACCAAGCCTATAGCCCTGGAGGCCAGGGGCCAAATTTGGAATATTTTTCCAACACCCACAGTGTTGCAGAGCTCTCTATACTGAGTCCTACAGTTTGGTACCATGAGGAATTACAGTGAGGCAATCTATTTACAAATGAAACAAAAACAGGCTTTTATGGACTGGCCTGGGAACCTCACCCTTGCACAGATGGGAAAATGCATTCTCACTGCTGAACAATAAGCCCACGAAAGCACTGGCTCGCCTGGGACTGCCAACACGGGATGGTGTGCGCTGCCTACAGACCAGAGAAGTGGACAGTGGCGCCTGCCGCAAGCTGCTGGGGCACCCGCTGCAGAGCTGCGGCTGAGGGGGAGGTGGGCTTTTAGCCCCAGCAACTTTAAAGATCCTGTCTCCAGTGCTCCATCAGGTTTTATAAAGAGATCTGAATATTCGAAATTTTTAAGTTAAGATTTCGATGGTTTCTAAAGACAAAACCTTTGCTATCAGGGCACATTTGTACACAGGGCCCCCAGTCTGACTTTTAAAGAGCGCAGCCAGGAGCCAGGAAGGCTGAAACGGAATCACACTGTTAGTCCCTGGCCGCCTCTGGCTCTGCTCTGCTGGAAGGGCCCTGCCCACTGTCCTGAGGAGCTCAGGATCTCATGGGTTCCAGGTAGCAGGTGAGCTTTCTGTGGCCCCATACACCAGGTGTTCCATGCCACCTTGTGCAACCCACTCCACTCAGCTCCGCTTTCCATCCCCAGACCCCCTGCCATCAGCTGGAGACCTGAAGGTAGGGAACAGCTGTCCACATCCAGCGGTGACTGTGGGAGGTTCACAGCACACTGAGGAGGAGCATTCATCTAGACCCCGAGCTGTCCAACTTACTGCCTTTGAAACCCTCTGAACCCTGGGGAGGCACTGACTAGCTTTGCTTTTCTGTCCTCTCGGCTCCCATGAGGCACAAATGGCCTTTCGGTTTTCCTGCAGCCACTGGGACTGTCCCAGCTATGTGGGCAGCACCTGGACTGTCTTGGTGAGCAGATTTGAGATTTGGTCAACAACAGTCTGTGATTTCTATCAAATGGCAGCCTACTACACACATATGCCTTTCAACTCCAGCTACATGAGATATTTTTATGTGGTTTTTCCATTTTCCACATCCTGCAATTATTTAATAGGTGTTGTGGCTGTAAGATTCTGCCGCTGACAGTTGGGAACCTCTTAGGAGCCCTCTTCCCGTGTTGGGGAGCAAAATGCTCTGCCCCAACGTGACTTTCTATGTTAGTTTTGACGGCGCTATTTCATTTTCTGTCCCAGCTCATGCTTACCTGGCCTGCTGTGGACAGGCCTCATCCTAGCAGCTGCTTCTCTGTAGAAAACACACAATAAACATCCCACTGCCAACAGCAGCGTACATCCCAGAACTCATCGGCCACCGGAGCCTGAGACATTTGTTAACATGACAAGGCCAACGGCAGTGCAGAAAGTGAAAATCTTTGAGGAAGCAGGTGCGGCCAGTCTGCATTCGTCTCAAGCCCTCCCAAGTTTACAAATGAAATCATGAAGGAGCCCAGTTCTCTCCAAGTATAAGCTCCCAGGAGAGGGGTTCCCACTAGGGGCTATATCTAAAATGGGTCATTGTTCTTGCAGACAAATTCGCCTGCACTGTCCAGTAAAACAGAGGGGCATACATTCCAGGCGTGCCTTCACACATCACTGTGGCTCGTAGCCACGTGTCAATGTGGTTCATAGCCACTCCCGCTCACTAAATCACACTGCCTGGGCAGGTTCTCCAAAGATCAGAATATGGAAGGGCAGCACAGCCGGCCTCAGGGCAAAGCAGTGAAGCACTGGGCCCTGTGTTCGCTGTCTTTGGACCTGGCTGTCCCCTTCTTCCCTCACGCACCTTCTCCCCACACCTATTGTACAGAAACCACCATGTGTGACAATTTGTGACCTGTTTTCCCTGTTCCCACACCACCCCCTCTGCCTGCCTACGGTCAAATCCAATTCCCCTGGCTTCCTTCTTCGTGTTCCTATTCCCAAACCCTTCTCCCTTTTTTTTTTTTTAACACCTTTCCAGTTTCTCTTTTTGGAAGTGGGCCAGAGTCAGCGATCAGGGCAGCTCTTTCTGTGAATTGAAAAGGACAGGTGCGTCAAGCCGGTGTAGATTTGCTAGACTCCCCACAGGGTCCTTCTTCAAACCCCTCCTTATTTTTATTAAGAAGAAAAATCCCCCACATCTCAAGCTCTCCCTTTCCCAGCTTCAGCCTGCCCTGCCCACCGAAGGCATTTGCAGTTACCCTGCTCTCTCCTGGGCTTTCTCCCTGGCTCCTGCCCAGAATATTCTAGAATATAGACTCCAGGAGGACTAGAAAAAGCAACTCAGTGGTTTAAAAAAGACTGCTTTGGAGAATGACATCTTTAATGCTAAAAACGCTAATTGTCATTAACTTCATTATCTTCGTTATTCTTTATTCATCAAGTTCTTTACATGGAAAGGACCATGTTTCCTCCAGGACTCGTAGCTGACACCACCCCACCCCCCATTAGACAGCTTCCTCCACTGCTGCCAGAATGGCTTTAAATGGCAGAACACAGTTCCACAGCACACAGCACAGCTTGAATACAAACGCCCCTGAGAGGAGCGAGGGCCAAACAGCTGGTCTCAGATGCCAAGAGCAGGTTCTGAAAGGTAAGGAGAGGATGACTGAGCTCAAGGACACCAAAGATGCAGAGGGGTGGTGACCAGAGGAGGTCCCCGCAGGAGGCTCCAGGGGGGCCCTCAGAGACACAGCTCCTGCCCTTCCCAGCATGGCCCAGGGTGCTCCAGCAGGGTGAAGCCCCCGCGGGTAAGCCACTCCCTTGCCTGTCATCATCCCAGCCAGCCACCACGCCACAGTCTCCACGCCACAGTCTCCACACCACAGTCTCCTTGCTGTTTTGTGGTTCTCAGACCTGTTGAGCTTTCAGCAGAGCAAGAAAATAGTCTGCGGCGTATTTTTCAGAGTGAATCATTTCTTATCCTGTGGTTCATCAGGAAAAAACAAAGCAAAACCCTCATCCTCATGTCCTCGTGGCCTGAGCTCATACACAAATCCTGCCTGCAATGACCTCAGACTGCACCAGCAGGTGAGGCCGGCAGTGAGGGCAGCCTGATGGGCTTAGACCAGCAGACCAGGTTAGGAAAGCAGATGGCCCCTTGCAGCAGGGGTGCAAAGCCCCTGAGGTATGTGTGCAAGGGGACTGGCAAAGCGTTGTGAAAGAGACGGAGGACACTGACCATCAGCGTTGCCACCTCCAGTGGCTCAGGACTGACCCGAGGCATGGCTCTCAACTCTGGTCACCCACTGGAGTCCCCTCTTCCTGGATCCCACACCCCAAGCTCCTGCCTTATGGGTCAGGGGTGACAGTCACTCCCCAGGTGATTCTACAGGGCAGCCTGGCTTCAGAACTGTGATGGCATCACACTCAGTCACTGTGCAAGAGGCAGGGAGGCCTGGCCAGTCTGGGTGGGGCTGGAGGGTTAGGTGTTCATGACAGATGGGGAGGGAGTTGGCACGCTCTGCCAGGGCTGACGTTACGATGATACCATTTTCAAGAAGGAATACAGAAGTGATGTGGGCACTTAGACCCAAGGAGCTGGTTCAAAATGTGCAGCCTCGGCCGGGGGCAGTGGCTCATGCCTGTAATCCCAGCACTTTGGGAGGCTGAGGCAGGTGGATCATGAGGTCAGGAGATCGAGACCATCCTGGTTAACATGGTGAAATCCTGTCTGTACTAAAAATACAAAAAATTAGCTGGGCGTGGTGGCAGGCATCTGTAGTCCCAGCTACTGGGGAGGCTGAGGCAGAAGAATTGCTTGAACCCAGGAGACGGAGGTTGCAGTGAGCTGAGATCACACCACTGCACTCCAGCCTGGGCGACAGAGCGGCCCTCCATCTCAAAAAATAAATAAATAAATAAAAAACAAAATGTGCAGTTTCAGACCTATTGAGTCAGAATGTGGCCAGTGTGTTGGGCAAACTCTGGATGATTCTTGCACACATTCAGTTTCAGGTGTTCTCTGTCTGGGAGGCAGACTTGAATCGCCTGGGAAGATGCCCAGTCTCACCCCATCAGAATCTCTGAGGGATCCCAGGCTGTGGGCCTTGCCATAGGCAGGAGGTGGGGCATGGAGTTAGATCATCGGGAAAGGGCTGCGGGGAGGGATTCCGGGAGCTGGAGACCCCCTGGGCCAGGTCCCTGCAGGGGAACAGGAGGTGGATTTGAGAAGAAGGACACTGCATACCTGGGGCTGGAGAGGCACGTGCCATCATCCCAATGCCTGAGGCAATGGAGCAAAGGGAAGGAAGGGACATCCCTCCGCTCCCCACGTCTGTGATGCTGTGGCTGGGCTCACAGGTGCTGGGAATGCCCCATCATCACACTCAGCTGCCACACAGGAAAGGACAGTGGCTTGAATAGAGAACAGAGACCCTCAGTGTTTGGCCCTCCACCTCTCAGGAGTGAATCAAGCACACCTAAAACGAGTTAATGTGGCTGGAGGCACTGATCACCCCCAGGCAGCCCCACACTCAGGCCTTTCCCACCCGAGGCACTCGTTAGAGGCGCTGGCAGCCTCAGCTGCCCCGGCTGGAGAAGCCACAGGAGCCAGCCAAGGGCAGGCGCTGCAGGAGCATGGGCGGATGACACCGATGATGGGCTTCATGGAGATGCCTGCAGACAATGCCAGCAGCTAAGGGAGCCGCACTGATCTCAGGCTGCAGGAAAGGTGCTGTCTCAGAAGTGGGTTCTGCTCTCCTCTGAGGGGCTCAGGCCCCTCAGGAGAGCTGGGGGTGGGGGAGTCACAACTTCTTATGGGGGGAGCTGAGAAATCCAAGTGCACCCAGAGGTAGGTGGCCAGAGAGCAGTGGCTGAAGGGCGTGTCCTGCTGGATGTGGATGGGCTGATTCAAGAAAATGATGAAAACAATTTTTATGTGTAGACCTGATTTGCCCAAGACAGGTTCCCAAGTCGTTTGTGGAAAAGGAAAGGCACCCCCTGACTGTCAGTCACAGGCCGGTGACCTCACCACTGTTTGGGTGATTGCATTGCTGTTATTATAGACGGGTTGCAACATTCAGCTCCTGGCCTGGTTCCTGGAAATGGCATGCTGGGGACCCTAAGAAATGATGCACACGTGGGAAGACAAAGCTGACCCCAGCAGCAGGCTGTGGGTGAGAGGCAGCGCAGCTGTGGGAGGCCAGCCTCACCTCCTCCCCTCTGGAAACAGCTGTGTGTTCAGGGGCCATGCTCCAGAGAAGGAAGTGAGCAGCCAAAGACTGGGAAGTAATGCTTGTAAATATGCTAAAAACAGAAGAAAAGATGGACATGAGGGGTGCAAAGAGAGAGCATCCCAGTGGAGAACTGGAATCTGCAAAAGTCACCAATTAACATTCCAGAAGCACAAATAACTATTTGACATGAGGGTATTGCAGATGGCTTTAAGAGCAGGCTGCATCTAGCCGAACATAAGATTAATATGCTTCAAGATGGATCAATAGAAAACATCCAAAGCAAATCATGGAGAGAAAAAAATGGTAGAAACAGAACATTATGTTGATATAGTCAATGCCAACACAGGTGTGACTGGAGTCCTGGAGAAAGGGGGAGAGTGGGGAGGGAGAGGGAGGGAGAGAGACAGGGAGATGCAAGATTTGAAGAAATAATAGATAAATATTTTCTAAATCTTATGAAAGACAGCAACCCACAGAGTCAAGAAATTAGATCCAAGCCAGATGAATAAGTTCTTAAAGGATTATACTCAGGCACAACATAGTCAAACTATCTCTAAACAAATCTATCAACTGTTATCATTAATAAATAATCTTAGAAAATTCACTAAAATGTGAAAATTAAACAGTATTCTCTTAAATAAACGATAGTTCAAAGAAGAAATCACAAAGGAAATTGGAAAATACTTTAAAATGAATGAAAATAAATAGAAACACCACATACCAAAAGGTCCAGGATGCAGCAAAAGCAGCACTGAGAGGCAAATCTATGGCTGCCAATGCCTGTATTTAAAAAAAAATCTCAGATAAATAACCTAAACTTCCTCCTGAGAACCTAGAAAAAGGAGAGCAAGCTAAACCCAAAGCAAGCAGAAAGAAGGAAATAAAGATTAGTACAGAAACAAGTGATCTTAGCAAGGTTGCGGGCTATAAAGTCAATATACAAAGGTCAATACTATTTTTTATAGACTAACACCAAACATTTAGACAGCAAGACTAAAATATATCATTTACAATGAGATAAAAAATATTAAATACTTAAGAATAAATACAACTCAAGATGAACAAGAACTCAACCCTGAAAACTTTAAAAATCTGCAGAGAGCTGGGCCTGGTGGCTCACGCCTGTAATCCCAGCACTTTGGGAGGCCAAAGCAGGCAGATCACTTGAGCTCAGGAGTTTGAGACCAGCCTGGGCAACATGGCAAAACCTGGTCTCTACTGAAAGTACAAAAAATTAGCCGGGTGTGGTGCACGTCTGTAGTCCCAGCTACTTGGGAGGCTGAGGTGGGAGGATCACCTGGGCCCAGGAGGTTGAGGCTGCAGTGAGCCGTGATTGCTGTACTCCAGCCTGGGTGACAGGAGTGTGACCCTGTCCCAACAAAACAAAACAAAACACTGCAGAGATAAATTTTAAAAGACAAATAAATGGAGAGCTATTCTACATTTATGGATCAGGACATTTAATGTGTTAAGATATCATTTCTCCTCAAATTAATCTATGAATGTGGCGTAGTCAAAACCCCAGTATGCTTGTTTTCTTCTTTCTCTCCTGCTCCCTTTTTTGAAGACAATTGACAAGGTGATTCTAAAATTTATACAGAAATAACATCCAGAACAGCCAACACAACCTTGAAGAAAATTGGAGAACTTACACTATCATATTTCAAAACTTAGTTAAAAACTACCGTAATTAAGATGGCGTGGTGTTGGTACAAGTACAGATAAACAGAGCAGTGGAGAAGAACAGATGGTTCAGAGATTTACCTTCCTCCCATATACGGCCATTGGTTACATCAAAGAGCCAGTGCAATGAAGACAGGAGGGCGTTTTCAATCCCTAGTGCTGGAGACACTAAGAAAGCATTTGGAAAAAATGCACCTTTCAGCCTACATAGAAATTAATTCAAGATGCATCATAAACTTAAATCTGAAAATGAAAACAGTGCTGCTTCTAGAAGAAAGCAAATAAATGTATTTTCATATTCTTCATTTCTTCAGAGATTTCTTAAAGAAAACACACACATACTAACTATAAAAGTGATTAGATTTCATTAAAACTAAGAACTTCTGTCATCAAAAAACAAAGACGAAAACTGACATCATTACAAAATTAAATGGTCAGCCGGGCGCAGGGGCTCACGCCTATAATCCCAACACTTTGGCAGGCCGAGGCAGGTGGATCACCTGAGGTCAGGAGTTCAAGACCAGCCTGGCCAATATGGCAAAACCCCATCTCTACTAAAAATACAAAAATTAGCTGGGCATGGTGGAGGGCACCTGTAATTCCAGCTACTTGGGAGGCTGAGGCAGTAGAATTGCTTGAACCTGGGAGGCAGAGGTTGCAGTGAGCTGAGATCATGCCACTGCACTCCAGCCTGGGTGACGGAGTGAGACTCCGTATCAAAAAAACAAAAACAAAAAGCAAAACAAAACCTAAATGGCAAACTACAGACTGAGAAAACATATTCAAAATCCATCTATGTGACAGAGGGCACCTATTTAGAAATATTAAGCAATTCTACAAACCAATACTAAAATCAAAACAATACAACTTAAAAAAAATGAAGTGGCACATCATTAATCAGTACAGAACAGCAAATTAAAGCCTTGATGATATGATCATCACATTCCAATCAGAGTGGCTACATTTTACAGAAACTGACAGTGCAAAGTGAGGGCAAGCACGTGGAGCCACTGGAACTCTCACATTGCAGGCAAGAGTATAAGTCGGTAAAAATTTGGAAAACTGGTTGATAGCATCCACTAGCATTAAGCACATTCTTGTCCCATAACCTGGCAATTTCTCTGGTAGATTTCACTCAACAAAAATGAATGTTTGTATCCACCAAGAGACAGATACAAGAATGCTAGTGGCAACTTTATTTATAATAGCCCCAAACTGAGAACAACCCAAATGTCCACCAATAGGAGAATGAAAAGATACTCTCTCACATAAAAGAGTAAACTATGGACTCAAGCACTAACGTGCATGAATCACAAAAACATATGAATGAAAGAAGCCAGACACAAAGTAGTAATACTGTATTCCAATTATATAAAGATCAAGAATAAACAAAGCTAATCTATGGTAATTGAAGCCAGAATAATGTTTACCTGTAGAGACAGTAATTGGTTAGGAAATGGAAGAGGAACATTTTTACACAATGCAAATGGTCTATATCAGGATCTGGATGGTGAATGTACAGGTGCATAGACATGTAATATTCATCAGACTTTACAGAAAGATTTGTGCACTTTACTTAAAAAGCAGTCCTTACAGGAAGGAAAAAAAGGGCAGCTTCTGGAGCCACACCCACCTGTTTTGACTCTGGAATTGGGTACTTTCTTGCTGTGACCTTGAGCAAGTAAAATAATCTGTGCCTTACTTCCCCACTGTGAATAATAACAGTGTCTGGCTCATGGAGCTGTGATGGGGATTAAGTGAGTTAATGGATAGACTTCTCAGCACAGAGCACCTAATACAGCCTTCATTCCATTCGTCCTTGTTACCAGGTTTCTGCTAAGCTCCCTTCCAGGGCTGAGATCTCAGAGGCTTCACCAGCTCACTTTCCCCCACTTTGCTGCAATAATCATTGGCTAGAGGTATTGTGATATGATGTCATTAAAGTTAATCTAGACGAAAATTTGATTTACCTAAAACTATTACACTGTAGACCTGGAGGAATTTCAGTTTTTGCCGTAATTGTTTTCAATGTGTGTTATAAAAAATAAATTCCACTATGTTCACGAATGTACAACTTATAATCTGACCAAAAGTGAGAGATGGGTAGATTTTCCTACTTGGGTCCTTCTGTGGACAGGTACTAGGTGCTGCTTTACGCCCAGTGACTTGTGAGGGAACAGAACTGCCCTTTAGTAACCCTGCTCACTTCCTGTTTTCTGCAGTAACAATTACATTAGGCAATATTATTACACATGGAATTGCATCATGCTGATTTTAAAACAATCCTCCCTGTAGCATTACACAGACACTGAATCATCATTTGTAGTTTGGGGGGCTTTACATGCCTGCAGTGGTGAAAACTGAAATTTTGTCCCACTTAAGGGAGTTTCTTCTTCCCTTTATTAATTGCAAAATAAATATATGTCACTTCAGAGGGCAGCAGCTGGACTACCTATGTTTGTGGGTAAGTCACTGACAAAATGCTTTCTAGTAAGAAAATATCTTTAAATATAAATGTATGGAATAAGTGTAATTAACTAGATGTAGATTAAGAAAAATGTAAGCCACATCTCCTAGTTCAGGCAGCAATCATTTGTGACTTAAACTGTGATGTAAAGTATCTGTGACCTATACCAGTCAGACACCAAATATTGGTGAGCTGCCTGGATTTGGGAGATGCAGTGAGAATGAGTCAGAGCCCACGACATGAGGGAGAGAAAGGGGGACCCTGAGGACTTGGGGTCCGGTGTGAGGATCCTGCACTCGGTTTCTGTGATGGTGTGTGCAGGGGAGTCACAAGTTCAGGTGGGCCTGTGGCAGGGCTGCCCATGGCCCCTGGTGAGCATGTGCGGCCAGCCGGGCCATGGGGGTGAGGCCGGCTTGGTGGCTTGGATTGCCTACTCCTCTGCAGGGTCCCAACGGGTTTCTAGATCCCTCCAGAGAAGCCTTTGGGTACATCCCATGGCTTCCCAGCCTCCCCCTCTCAGCCTGTGAAGAAGAATTCTGATCAAGTGTTGGGCATGAATACAGTCTTCCTGGAAGTGTGGGGCTTTGATTTGCAACCTTTTTACGTGCAGTCTTCATATATCAGGGGTCCCCAAACTTTTTGGCACCAAGGACTGGTTTCACAGAAGACAATTTTTCCATGGTTTGGGGGTGGGGTGGAGGGATGCTTTCGGGATGATTCAAATGCAATACTTTTATGTTGCACTTTTTTTTTTTTTTTAGACGGAGTCTCCCTCTGTTGCACTGGAGTGCAGTGGCATGATCTCGGCTCACTGCACCCTCTGCTTCCTGGGTTCAAGTGATTCTCCTGCCTCAGCCTCCTGAGTAGCTGGGACAACAGGCATGCACCATGACGCCCAGCTATCTTTTGTATTTTTAGTAGAGATGGGGCTTCACCATGTTGGCCAGGCTGGTCTCGAACTCCTGACTTCAAGTGATCCACCTGCCTCGACCTCCCAAAGTGCTAGGATTACAGGCATGAACCACCACGCCTGGCCTACTGTGTTTTTTGTATTTTGTTTTATTCTTATTTTATTGTTTTTCATTTTTCTTACGTCCCGAGGTACATGTGCAGGATGTGCAGGTTTGTTACATAGGTAAACGTGTGCCATGGTGGTTTGCTGCACCTATCAACCAACCACCTAGGTGTTAAGCCCAGCATATTGTGCTTTTTTTTTTCACCTCACTTGCCACTATAAAGCCTGCCACCAGATGTAGCTTAACTGTCACTTGCCACTCACTGATAGGGTTTTGATACGTGTCTGCAAGCAGTTGATTTATTATGGTCTCTGTGCAGTCAAACCTCTCTGCCAATGTTAATCTGTATTTGCAGCCACTCCCCAGCACGAGCACCAGCACCTCAGCTCCACCTTAGATCATCAGGCATTAGTTAGATTTAGATTCTCATTAGAAGCGTGCAACCTAGATCCCTTGAGTGCTCAGCTCACAATAGGGTTTTCACTCCTATGAGAGTCTAATGCCGCCACTGATCTGACAGGAGGGAGAGCTCAAGCCATAAAGCTCCCTCGCTTGCCGCTCACCTCCTGCTGTGTGGCCCCATTCCTAACGGGCCACGGACTGGTCTGCAGCCCAGGGGTTGGGGACTTGTCTTACATGACAGGGTGAGCTACCCTGAGTTAATCTGAGTGAGCTTCATTCTGTCGACCTTCTTCCACTCCACCACAGCGCTACACCAACCTGAACTTCGCTTCCTGAGACCTAAGATTCAGCCCCGTGCTCAGCAGACATCAGGGATCACCGACTCTGTGCCAGGAGCTGTTCTTGATGCTGGGAACGCAGGGGTGGACAAAACAGAGAAAGCCCTGCCCTCAGGTGTGGTCAGAAGAGACAGGGAAGGATTTGGAAGCTAAAGCTCAGATCCAGACTGGGCTTGTTTCAACTCGTTCCGTGGGCCTGATGTAGTCTAGAGATGATTCTTGGTGTGGGCTGTGGGAGCTCCTGCGGTGTAGTTTGGTGAGGGGCCAGCCCGAGGCAAACTGGGGACCTGTGTCTCCAACCTTCAGCACTTCTGCCCTTCAGGGTCATCCCTCCAGGTGCCCCACCCTGGGGACTTGAACTCTGCCCTTGTCCCCCAAACCACCTTACCCTAATGCTGTGGTTCTCCTGGTCCATGCAGGGCGCAGTGTCCTGCTGAGTGTGCAGGTGCCTGTCCCTGCCCTCTGCAATGTCATCTCCATGCAGCAGCAGCGTTTACCCACGGATGGATCCCCACCCCTGGACCATGCCTGGGTACAGGTTTTGTTCCGGTTGGTCTGCTATTGAGTATGGAGGCCAGGGTTCCACTCCAGACCCCTCTGACTCCCCTCACCAGGCTGTTCCCAGAGACTTGTGAGGGAAGTTGACAATAAATATGTAAATTCAGATGGGTTTCATGTTAGTGAAAACCTGAATATTGAAATATTACAAACCTAGGGTTGAAGATCTCAGGCTGGTGGGAGTGCCTTTGTGCATGTATCCACCCACTTTTCCTTGCAGAACTTTCTACACAACAATTCAGCACAGGAAGCATGGAGGAGTAAAGCCATCTGGGGAGAGATGAGCAGTGAAAACCGGGGGCCGGCAGGTTAGAGGAGGGGTGTGATCTCAGGGTGCAACGCTGTTGAATGCACGCCTCCCTCCCCCCATCCCTCTCTCGGCAGCTCCCAGGCAACTTAGTCACCCCCATCTTAATCTTACTCAACAGTCACAACAGTCTCTCTCCCTTTTTTTTTTTCGTTTGAGACAAGGTCTCGCTCTGTCACCCAGGCTGAAGTACAGGGGCGCGATCACAGCTCACTGCAACCTCTGCCTCCCAGGCTCAAGCGATCCTCCCACCTCAGCCACCTGAGTCGTTGAGACTACAGGTGCCCACCACCACGCCTGGCTAATTTTTAAAATTTTTTATAGAGATGAGGTCGCACCCTGTTGCTCAGGCTGGTCTTGAACTCCTGGGCTCAAGCGATCCTCTGGCCTCAGCCTCCCAAAGTGCTGGGATTACAGGTGTGAGCCACAATGCCCAGACTTCAACAGTCACAGCTATCTCTTGGTGTAGACTGTTTGCTATTGGCAAAAGGACAGACACAAAGACCAATGGAACAGAATAGAAAACCCAGAATCACACCCACTCAAAGATACAAAGCAAATCAGTGCAGGAAGGACAGCTTTTCCAGCAAGCGCTGCTGATGCATTTGGGTATCCACGGGCAGAAAAAAAGAAGAACCTGGACTTAAATTTTCTTATACAAAAGTTAACTCAAAATGCATCATAGATGTAGAACATTGGAGAATTTTGAAAGTTCTTCAGGCATTATGAATCCTAATCCTTTGTTGGAGATGAGATTTGCAGATATTTTCTCCTGGTCTGTTATTAACACTTTTCGTCTTCTTAACAGGGTCTTTCTCAGAGTCAACATTTTTCATTTTGATGTAGTCCCGTTTATCAATTTTTCATTTTATGGGTCATGCTTTTGGAACTCTTTGGCTCCGTATCCTAAAGATTTCCTCCTAATATTTTTTCCCTGAAAGGTTATTTCACATCTATGATGCATTTTGAGTTAACTTTTATATAAGAAAATTTAAGTCCAGTTTCTTTTTTTCTGCCCGTGGATACCCAAATGTGTCAGCAGCACTTGCTGGAAAAGCCATCCTTCCTCCAGTGATTTGCTTTGTATCTTTGAGTGGGTGTGATTCTGGGTTTTCCATTCTGTTCCATTGGTCTTTGCGTCTGTCCTTTTGCCAATAGCAAACAGTCTGGATTATTGTAGCTATAAAATAAGTCTTGATACCAGGTAAGCTGATTTCTCCTCCTTTATTCTTTGTTTTCAAAATCGTTTCAACTATTCTAACTCCTTGGCCTTTCTTTAAATTTTAGACTACTCTTGTTTATATATACAGAAAATTTTGCTGGGATTTTAATAGCAATTGCATTAAACATGCATATTTTGTTGATCATTGATATTTTTACTACGTTAAGTCTTCCAATCTATAAACAGTATTTCTCTCCTTTTTTCTTTAGTTCTTTTTTTACTTCTTTTATCAGGATTTTGTAGGTTTTAGCATACAAGTCCTGTACCTGTTTTGTTACATTTACTACTAAGTATTGAATTTTGTTTGAGCAGTTGTGAATGGTGTCACGTTTTTAATTCCAGTGTCCATGTGTTCATTGACAGAGCATAGAAATAAAATTTATGTATGTTTATCTTGTATCCTGCAACCTTGCTTGAACTCACTTATTGTTTCAGGAGTGCTTTTGTGGATAGATTGGGATTTCCTAGGTAGACAATCATGTCATTTGAAAATAGAAACAGTTTTGCTTTTTTTTCCCTTTCCAATCTGTCTGCCATTTATTTCCTTTTCTTGCTTTACCACACTGGCTGGAAATTCCAGCATCATGTTGAATAAGAGTGGTGAAAGCAAACATCCTTGCATTATTTTTGATATTAAGGAGGAAGCATTGAGTTGTTCACTATTAATTATATTATTAACTGTAGATTTCTTGATGCTGTTTATCAAGTGGAACTTCTCTATTCCGATTTTTCTGAGTGTTTTAACCATGAATGGGTAAAGAATTTTGTCAAGTGCTTTTTCTGCATCAATTGGCATGATCATGTGATTTTTTTCCTCTTTTATCTATTAATATAGTATATTACATTGATTGACTTTCAACTATTGAACCAGCCTTACGTCTCTGGAATAAACCCAACTTGAATGTGGTATATAATTTTTAAAATATATTCCTGACTCTGTCTGCTAGTATTTTGTTTGGGTTTTCTGTATTTATATTCATGAGGGCCATTGGTCTGCAGTGTAGTAGTCTTGCTGTGTTGCCCAGGCTGGAGTGCAGTGGCTATTCACAGGCATGACAATTGTGTACTAAGGCCTCGAACTCCTGGGCTCAAGAAACCCTCTTGCCTCAGCCAATGATCAACTATAGTATTTTTTAAAAATATTATATTTGTCTGATTTTGATACCTGGGTATGCTAACTAAATAAAATGAATTGAGAAGTATTTCTTCCTCTTCTGTTTTCTGGAGGAGATTGCCTAGAATTAGTGTTAATTTTTTAAAATGTTTGATAGAATTCTCCAGTGATATCATCTGGGCCTGGAGAATTAGGTGTTGTTTTTGTTGTTTTTTTTTTTTTGAGTTTTCAAAACTAAATTCAATGTTCTTAATAGTTATGAGACTATTCAAATAGTCTGTTTATATTCAGTGAGTTGTAGTTTGCATCTTGCGAGGAAGTGGTTCATTTCATCTGAGTTGTCAAATGCATGATTGCAGAGTTGTTTGTAGTGTTCCCACATTGTCCTTTGGATGCTTGTGGGATCTGTAGTGATGTCGCTTGCTCCATCCCTAATATCAGTAATTTGTATCTTCTCTGTTTTTCCTTTGCTCATCTTGCTAGAGGTTTGTCAATTTTATTGATTGTGGCCAGACATGGTGGCTCATGCCTGCAATCCCAGCACTTTGGGAGGCTGAGAAGGGCAGATCACCTGAGGTCAGGAATTCAAGACCAGCCTGGCTAACATGGTAAAAACCTGTCTCTACTAAAAATACAAAAATTAGCTGGGTGTGGTGGTGGGCACCTGTAATCCCAGCTACTTGGAGGCTGAAGCAGGAGAATTGCTTGAACCTGGGAGGCGGAGGTTATGGTGAGCCAAGATCATGACACTGCGCTCCAGCCTGGGTGACAGAGCAAGACTCCATCTCAAAAAAAAAAAAAGAAAGAAAGAAAAACAATTTATTGATTATTTCTAAGAACCAGCTTTGTGTTTCATTGATTTTCTCTACTGGCTTTCTCTTTTCAATTACATTGATTTCTGTGATTATTTGCTTTCTTTTCTGATTTTTCTCTCCTTTTTCTACATTCTTGAGGTAAGAGTTTCAATTATCATTTTGAGAGTTTTCCTCATTTCCAATGTATATGAATTCAGTGCTATAAATTTCCCTTTCCCGACTGTTTTAGTTGTGTCCCACAAATTTTGATATTTTTATTTTCATTTTTCATGTATTTTTATTTTCATTTTCATTCAGGTAAATGTATTTTTATTGCCCTTCAGACTCCCTCTTTGCCTCATAAATTATTTTAAAGTATGTTGTTTGGATTCTAACTGTTCAGAAGTTTTTCTTATATCTTCCTGTTATTGATTTCTAATTTGATTTCACTTTGACCAGAAAACACAGTCTGGTGCCAGCCATGGTGACTCATGCATGTAATCCCAGCACTTTGGGAGGCTGAGGTGGGAGGATCACTTGAGGCCAGGAGTTAGAGACCAGCATGGTGAAACCCCATCTCTACTAAAAGTACAAGAATTAGCCAGACATGGTGGCACACACCTGTAATCCCAGCTACTCAGGAGGCTGAGACATGAGAATCACTTGAGCCCGGGAGGTGGAGGTTGCAGTGAGCTGAGATCATGCCCCTGCATTCCAGCCTGGGTGACAGAGGGAGACTCTGTCTCAAAAATAAATAAATAAATAAATAAATAAATAAATAAACAAACAAACAAACAAACACAATCTGTACAATTTCAATTCTTTTGAGTTTGTTGAGGTTTGCTCTGTGGCCCAGAATATGGTCTAACTTGGTATCTGTTTTATGGATACTTGAATGTGCATTCTTCTGTTGTTGGGTGGAGTGTTATATAAATATTGATTAGATCCTATTGATGAATGGTGTTATTGAGTTCTTCTATATCCTGGTACTACAGGCATGGTGCCACCACATCTGGATAATTTTAAAATTTTTTGTAGACATGGGACCTCACTATGTTGCCCAGGCTGATCTCAAACTCCTGTGCTGAAGCAATCCTCCTGCCTCAGCCTCTCAAAGTGCTGTCCTTCTTGATGTTCAAAGTTTCATTCTTTTACCATTTTATTTATGTTTAAATAACTTCATTTCATCATTATTTTAGGTTATGTCTATGAGTGACACATTTTCTTAGTTTTTCTTTATCTGAGAATATCTTGATTTCTGGGTGGCCAGTTTTTTTTTTTTTTCTTTCAGGAAATAAAAAATGTTGTGCTAATTCTTTCTGTCTTCTTCTATTGTTTTCAGTGAGAAATATGCTGTCATGTAAATTGCTTTTTCCCCTATAGGTAAGGTATTGTTTCTCTCTCATTCCCTTTAAGATTTCTTCTTTGTCTTCCGTTTTCAGAAATTTGACTGTAATATGTCTTGGTATAGTTTTATTTGGGTTTATTCTGTGTGGAGTTTGCTAAGGTTCTTGAATCTGTAGGTTTATATCTTTTGGTAAGTTTGAGAGGTTTTCAGCTGTTATTTCTTTGATTACTTTTTAACCCCTCAGCCCCACTTCTGGGCTTCTGTTAGATCTGTATATACAGTCCTACAGGCCCCTCAAGTTGTGTTCATTTTTTGTTCAGCTTGTTTTTCTCTGTTGTTCAGATTTGATGATTTCTATTGTTCCATTTCCCAGTTTATTAATTTTTTCCTCTGTACTTTCCATTCTGCTATTAAGCCCATCTGCTGAGTTTTTAATATTGGTAATCCATTCTAAACTTTCTATTTTGTTCTTTTTATCTTCTATTTGTTTGCTAAGACTTTCTACTTTCTATTTTATTTTTTCAAGTCTGCTCATAATTGCTCACTGAAGCATTTTTATGATGGCTGCTTGTTAACATTTGTTGGATAATTCTAACACTGCTGTCCTCTTTGCATTGGCATGCATTGATTGGCATCCATCCATTAATTGGCTTCTCTGACATCACTGTGGGAGGGGACGGGGGCACGGCACTGCCACCTTACTACCAGGCAAGGGTAGAAGTCCAGGTTCCCTGCTCAGCCTTTGTTGACACCCAAAAGAGGGGCTCCTCATTACCACTGGATGGGGGTTGAAGTTCTGGCTTTCCATTTGGCCTCTACTGATACCTCCCTAGCTGGGGGAGGTAGAAGACCTTAACTACTGTTCCCCACATGGTCTTCATGACATCACAGGGTGATGAGTATCCTTGTTACCCTGGGTGGTGGTGAAAGTCCTGACTCTACTGGGTCTCCTGTCACCACCCCAGCAAGGTGGACGAGGAGCTTCTCATTAGTGCCCAGTGGGAGCAGAAGTCCAGACTTCCTAATTGGCCTTCTCTGACACATATATTATGGCTAGAAGAGTAAGAGTTGGTTTATGTGCCTAATTACAGCCTGAGGAGGGTGGAAATCTGAACTCCCCACTCTTTCTTTGCTGGCATGGGCAGACATTTGACCACAGTTTATTCTGGAATGTTTGGTTGAAGCAGAGAAGTTATTGTCTAAAAATTTTCTGTCCTCTAGGTTCCCCTTTTCCTATTCTTTTGGCTAGAGAGAGCAGGCTTTTGTTGGGACTTTTTTTTTTTTTTTTGGTCTGTGCTCATTTGCATTTCCAGGTTTTCAGCTTCTTCAACTCAAACTCTGGGACATATGATGCAAAACAAAAATCTAGGGACCTCACCACAGTGTGGCTCTTTGGGTCCCAAGAACCCTGGATGGTTTGCCTTCCTTTTCCTATCTTCTAGAGTCTCCTTATGTTGGTTTTGTGTAATATCCAAGGTTTTGAATTGTGCTTAGAGGGAGAAGTAGGGAAAAATATGTCTATTCCATCTTCCCACAAGCCTGTCCTATGACCTTGAACAGATTGAACTTGTGCTCCTTGTAGAAATCTGCCCATTTGGAATAGGTTTGCCGTCTTCACCCAATAAATACCTGATAGCAGTGAACGTGTGGAAAAGATACTTAGCCAGGTGCTAGGAGACCTGGATCCTTTTTCGGGGCTTTATGGCCCTAAGGAGGTTACAAACCTCAGGGAGCCTCCATTTTCTTTTTTTCATGTAGCAGGATAATTTACTGAGATAATTTATGATGTTAATTTTCCCTGCTCTAGCAATTTTCCCCTCCCTTTAAAAAGTAGTCATGTCTTTTTTTCTTTTTTAAAATGAGTTGTTTTTCTCCTAAAGCCTTTAGGGAGTTGCAGGACCTGAGGCAGAAGTTTCCAGGCATGCAGAAGATAATCTCTCTAATCAAACTTTTGCTTTTGAAAGCTTAGGCTCCACAAGGTGACTGCCCCAGGCCCTCCTGGAGAGGAGGAATGCAGAGCTGGGGTTCTGGGGGAGGGAGGCAGGAGGGTCAGGAGAAATGTCTCGGAGCCTGGAAAGGGGAGCTGTGGAGTCTGCAGGCACCAGGAGAGCTCAGAGGTCTCAGGGAGGCAAGAGGACTTCTGCTCAGGTGATCAGGGGGCTGAGTCCACAGAACACTTGAACTGTGGCCTTTGGAGCCATGGAGAGTTGATCTGGACCTGACCTGGGCTTGGCATGGAGGAGCTGCCTCTGAGGGACCAGGCACAGATCATCTGACTGATAGAAATAGCAAAATGTGGGCTGCCTGGTGCCTGGTGTGAAAGTGTAAAACCCATGAGGGTCCAGCGATGGCACCTGCCCTCCTACCCCACAGGGCGTTCTGAGGCAAAATGCAATCATGCACATTACAACATTTTCTAAAGCACTCGAGGTTGTCCAAACATAACTCATGGTTTTTATTAAGCACCTACTCCAGCTAGGCTCCGTGCTGGGAATGATGTTAGAGCAAAGCAATATTAGTGAGATGCTGGAATTTATCATCTCTTTGGAGAGATAATGCATATACTGGGTGAAGAAAAAGCTAAGGGTTAGAGGGTCAATCTAGAAACTACTTGTAAGGATTTTCTCATAGAGTGGCTTTGGGCCTCTGACTTTTAACTTCCTTGTCAAACTGATGATCGTAATCAAGACTTCTTAGCTGCAAGTGACTGAAATCTAATTCATACTAGTTCAAGGTCAGAAGGGAGAGTAGAGGATCCCGTAACAAAGAATAATAATAGTGAGCACCAGCATTTATAAGATGCACACTATGTGCCGGCCATGGCTTTCAAATGCTGACACCTCTCATCCTTGAAACAGTCTTCTGAGGTGAACAGGATGGATCATCAGCCCGCTTAATAGCTGAGGTCACAGGGGCACAGAGAAGAACGAGTTTGTTTAAAGAGCCGCCATCTGGCTCTGGGGCCCAGCACTTATCAAAAGTTAAAAATGGTTGCCCAGCCACTTGGGAAGGGCCAATGATGGACAATGGGTGTGAACTCGGGAGGGCAGGATGTAGGGGCTCCAGCGATGAAAGGGCTGATGAAAGGGCTTTGTCACTTCCTTCGTCTCCGGCTCTACTTCCCTGGGGGTGTTTACTTAATTCCTAGCCAGACAAACACTCTCCTTACATCAATGCCAAAAGGGAACAGGGAAAGAAACCCTCTCCCTCTTAGGGTCCAGGAAGTCCCTGCGAGAACTCTGATGGCCCTGCTGGGTTGTGTATCTTTTCCAGAACATCAGTAGTGGCCAGAGGGATGGAATGTTCTGGGAGGCTCCAGGTGGGGGTTGAGTTCTATGGTTGACCACACGGAGTCAGGGGTGGGAGGTTCCTTGGAGGAAACGTGGGGTACACAGTGGTTCCAGTTACTTCCTAGCAGGTATTTGTTATGGGTGTGATGGGAAGCTTTTAATTATTTGTGGGAAGGAGGCCTCCAGTAATTTTCCGGTATCTGTCTCTGAGACTTCTGTCTTAATCTTCAACTTTGAAGGTCATCTTGGGGCCAGATGTTATTTACTCTTTCTTCATTTGAAGAAATGGTTTCCTAGATCTTTCCCAGCCACTCTTGATTCCATGCTAATGGAAGAAAACAAAAGGAATTTGTCTGTAATACTTAACTTGTCTTGTCTTAACTTAATCTATGAAATATCTACTTGCAGTTTTTCCCCTGAAACCATCTCTCATCATCTGTCTTGCCACCATAGCTTCCAGGCATCTGCCGCCCCCCTCCCTCCACCCTGCACCTCCCTGCCTCCTTGATTTCCCTCATCTCATGGCCCCTCCTTTGCACTGACCTCCCACAGGCTGTGTGTGCTTGGTGAAGAAGGGGTCCTCTCTATAGCTGGGCTGGCTCACCAGAGGAAGCGAAGGAGCGTATCTGGATGCTGGAGACAGAATACCATTGAAGTCAAGAGTGCCAGCAAAATAGGAAACAAACAGTGGAGATTAAGCATTCTCATTTCTTTCTTCTTTTTTTTTTTTTTTTTTGAGACCAAGTCTCCCTCTGTTGCCCAGGCTGGAGTGCAGTGGCGTGATCTCAGCTCACTGCAACCTCCTCCTCCCAGGTTCATGCCATTCTCCTGCCTCAGCCTCTGGAGTAGCTGGGACTACAGGCATGTGCTACCACATCTAGCTAATTTTTGTATTTTTAGTAGAGACAGGGTTTCACCGCGTTGGCCAGGATGGTCTCAATCTCTTGACCTCCTGATCCGCCCGCCTCGGGCTCCCAAAGTGCTGGCATTACAGGTGTGAGCCACTGCACCTGGCCTCAGCATTCCCATTTCTTTCAAATGAACCAACACACAGAGTTGCTATTTGGTGTATCCAACCAGCCTTATGCTGCTGCCCTCCCTGATGACATGGTCTCTGTGTCTGACCCACTTTCCCAGGCTTCTGCTTGAAGGGCTAAGGCATGGTTTTCCTCTGCTCCTGTTCTTCTTCCTTTCTCCACTCACCTTTCCCTTCCTCCTTCCTTCCTCTCTCTGTCTCTACCTCTCTTCTTTCCTTCCTTACTTTCTCCCTGCTATGATCCAAATGTTGGTATCCTCCCCAAATTCATATGTTAGAACCTAATACCCATAGTGACAGCATTAAGAGATGCGATCCTGGGCCTGGCCTGGTGGCTCATGCCTGTAATCCCAGCACTTTGGGAGGCCGAGGCAGGTGGATCACCTGAGGTCAGGAATTCAAGACCAGCCTGGCCAACATGGCGAAATCCTGTCTCTACTAAAAATACAAAAAAAAAAAAAATTAGCTGGGCACGGTGGCATGCGCTGGTAATTCCAGCTACCTAGGAGGCTGAGGCAGGAGAATCGCTGGAATCTGGGGGGCAGAGGCTGCAGTGGGCCGAGATTGTGCCACTGCACTCCAGCCTGGGTGACAGAGCAAGACTCTGTCTTAAAAACAAAAATCAAAAAACAAAACAAAACAAAACAATAACAAAAAAAGAGATGCGGTCCTTGGGAAGTGATTAGGCCATGAGGAATGGGATTGACGAACTTATTAAATGGTTTGAAACAGGTTGAAAGGAGCCCCTTTCCTTTCTACCACGGGAGGGCACAGAAGGCACACCTATGAGGAACAGGCCTCCAGACACTGCATTTTCTGGCGTCTTGAATTTGGACTTCCCAGCCTCTAGAAGTGTGAACAATACATTTCTGTTGTTTTTAAGTTACGCAGTCTAAGGTATTTTGTTATAGGAGTCCAAATGGACTGAGACAGAAATTGGTACCAAGAAGCAGAGTGTTGCAGAGACAAAGACCTGCAGATGTGGAAGAGGCTCTGGAACTGGATAATGGGCAGAGGCTGGAAGAGTTTAGAGGAACAGGCTCAAAAGGCCTGGACTGCCAAGAGTGGACATAAAGGGTGATCCTAGTGAGGGCTGAGAAGAAGACACAGAGCCTCCGAGATTATGTAAGTGGCTGTGATCAGAATGCTGATAGAAGTATGGATGGTAAAGGCCACTCTGTTGAGGTGTCAGACAGAAATGAGGAACGTGTTACTGGAAACGGGAGGAAAGGCCATTCTTGTGACAGAGGGCAGAGGACTTGGCTGAACTGTTTGTGTCCTCATGTTCTGTGAAAGTCAGAGTGGCAAGGGATGAACTTGAATATTTGGTGGAAGAAACACTCTAAACCATGTCTTGAGGACACTGCTTACCTTCTCTCCACTGCTTATGGTAAAATGTGAGAAGGGAAGAAATCAATTAAAAACAGATTTTTTTTTTTTTTTTTTTGAGACGGACTCTTGCTGTGTTGCCAGTGGCACAATCTCGGCTCACTGCAAGCTCCGCTTCCCGGGTTCACACCATTCTCCTGCCTCAGCCTCCCGAGTAGCTGGGGCTACAGGTGCCCGCTACCATGCCCGGCTAATTTTTTGTATTTTTAGTAGAGATGGGGTTTCACCATGTTAGCCAGGATGGTCTCGATCTCCTGACCTCGTGATCCGCCCGCCTTGGCCTCCCAAAGTGCTGGGATTACAGGCATGAGCCACCGCACCTGGCCTAAAGACAGAATTTATAGTCAAAAAGGAGGCAGAACTTGCAGAATATTCTCAGCCTGACCATACTGTAAAGAATAAAAAAGCATGTTTAGAAGATCAAGGGTGTAGCCAAACTAGCGTTTCAGGCAGAGATTAGCATGGACAGGCAGAAGCCAGGTGCTGTGCATGAAGACAGTGACGGCATAACCCTGAAGGTGTTTCAGAGGTTATTATTGCTGCCCTCCCATCACAGGCCCAGGGTGCCGAGGTCTGGGGGACAGAACTATGCCCACAGAGGTGCCTGGAGTGCCTGCAGGACCTCGGCACCTGCTGCAGTGTGTCTCCCTCAGAGGGCACAATCAATAAACCTTGGGCTTCTGTGCAGGGCCATCTCCATGGGTGTGTAGAGGGTAGGAGCTATGGAGGCATGGCTAACTCCATCTGGATTTCAGAGGATGCTTTGGAGAGCCTTGGGGTCCAGGCAGAGAACTGCCACAGGGGCAGAGCCACTGCAGAGAGCCCCCACCAGGACAATGCCCAGTGGAGGTGTGGGGGCAGGGCCACCTGAAGACCTCAGACTAGCAGAGCCACTGACGTGCACCTCCAGCCTGAGAGAGCCACAGGCAGGAGACTCCAGCCCATGAGAGCTGCAGTATGGGCTGTGCCCAGCAAACCCATGTAGGAGGTGCCACCCAGAGCCCTGGGGGCCTAAGTCCCTCCTTAGAGTGTTCAGAAGGTGGGACCATGGAGTCAAAGAAGATATAATGCTTTTTGCCCTGTTGGGTTTTGGACTTACTTGAGACCTGTTATCGCTTTCTTCTTTTCTGTTTTTCTCTTTTTGGATGGAAGTGTCTGCCCTGTGCCTGCCCCATCCTTGCATTTTGGAAGCACATAACTTGTGTGACTTCACAAGTTCACCGCTGAAGGAATTTGCCCCAAGAGGACATTTACCTTGAGTCCCACTCACATCTGATTTAAATTATGTGTAGCTGGGACTCTGGGCTTTAGACTTTTTATTTGGTGCCGGGAACAATTTAAGACTTTGGGCCCTATTGAGATGGAATGAACATATTTGGCATGTGAGAAGACTGAATTCTGGAGGGCCAGGGGTGGAATGCTATGGTCTGAATGTTGGGGTTCCCCCTAAATTTATTTGTTGGGACTTAATGCTCAGTGTGATTAATACTCTGATAGTACTAAGAGGTGTGGCCTCTGGAAGGTGATTAGTTCATGAAGACTTTGCCTCATGAATAGGGTGGAGCTCTCATAAGACAGGTTGAAGGGCCCATCTCTTCCTCTTCCATCATGTGAGGACACAGAGGCGCCATCTATGAGGAACAGGCCCTCACCTGACACCAGAGATGCTGGAGTTTGACCTTGGACTTCCCAGCTTCCAGTGCTATGAACAATACCTTTCTGTAGTTTACAGATTTCCCAGTCTACGATATTTGTTACAGCAGCCAGAATAGACTAAGACACACGTACACTCCCTCCCTTGGTCAGAGAAGCCAACAGGGCCGGGGCCAGGCTGACCAGAAGGGAGATCTCCAGGCCCAGCCCAAGGCAAGCTCGCCACAGGGATGCGTCTCGAGCATGAGCACCTGCTGTGTTGTCCCGGCCTGGGATGACGAGGGCACGGTGTTCATCCCTGTCTCTCCCTCCCTCACATCACTCACCACTGTCAGACAGGAGAGCCACAAGCCCTCTTTCCTACTTACACTTGGGGCAGCATCTTCTGTTCTTAACTGGCTGGGAACTTTTATCTTCAGAGTCAGAGATCTGGGTTGTGAAAAGCAGGCAAGCAGACAAACATCTCTCTGCAGCCTTCTCCCCATTCTCCTACCCAGTTTCCAGAATTTGGGGGAAAAAAATCCCATAAGCTGTCATACTTCATATTGCCATCAGGCAGCAGTGGGAATGGTGCAGAGAGGAGCTGGGCAAAGGGGCAGAGGGACAGCTTTCTTTGTTTTTTTGTTTTCCTCCATGAAATGGGGAGGTGTCAAGTGAGCGAGATGTCCCCGGCCACACAGTGAAGCACAAGGCAGCCGAAGACACAGCAGGCAGGTCAGGTCTGTGTGCACATTGGCAGGCTGCATGCAGACCAGCCTCGGCCCAGGTGGAGAAGCAGAGGGATCTGCAGGGGAACCAGGGATTCAGAGACCTGTTGTTGGGGTCCTGCAGAAGATGGGGCAATTCAAGTCACCAAGCCAGTCTCACCCCAATGGCCTGGCTGGTTGCAGAAACTCACCAGGGACAAGGGGTCACCCCACCACAGGCCCACCTGGACATGTGACTCCCCTGCACCCACCCTCACAAGCACCAAGGGCAGGATCCTCACGCCAGAGGCCAAGTCCTCAGTGTGCCCCTTTCTCCCCTTCATGTTCAGCCTCAGCAGCTGGAAGTCCACAGAAATAAATCAGACACTTCTAAAATGGGACACCATAGGGAAGGCCAGATGGAATAAGAGTTCTCTTCCCACAGACCTAGACTTCCATTGACTCCACTCGAAGTCAACTGGGTGATGCTGTTGGCTGCAAGTCAAGGCCAACATGGGCTGTGCTAATAGATGCAGACCCTCTAGAGGGAAGGAGCACATCACCCTGGCCTGTTCTGTCCTGATCACACTGAATAGGTGTTCTTTGGTGGCCCTGAATTTCATGAGGGACACGAGGAACTGGCACCCATCCCGAGAAGGGGAAAGTGGGACAAAAGGGCGTCTTCTAGGAAGCCACACTGGAGAGACTGGGGGCATCTGGTCCAGAGAACAAGGGTCTGGAAAGAATGTTGTTGCCATCATTGGCTGGCCAGGGCCTACTCTGGGGAGTGACTCCATGTTGCTATGGTGTGCAGAGCAGTCAGGGTGATAGGGAGTCCAATTGGACACAGGTTCAGTTTGCTAATGGTGACAACACTTAATAATGGAGTGGGTTGCCAGTTGAGGTAGTGATATAGTTTGGCTGTGTCCCCACCCAAATCTCATCTTGAATTGTAGCTCCCATAATTCCCACATGTTGTAGGAAGGACCTGGTCAGAGATCACTGAATCATAGGGGCAGGTCTTTCCCATGCTATTCTCATGATAGTGAATAAGTCTCATGAGATCTGATGGCTTTATAAAGGGGAGTTTCCCTGCACAAGCTCTCTCTCTTGTCTGCCGCCATGTGAGACATGCCTTTCACCTTCCGCCATGATCATGAGGCTTCCCCAGCCACATGGAACTGTGAGTCCGTTAAATCTCTTTCCTTTGTAAATTGCCCAGTCTCAGGTATGTCTTTATCGGCAGCGTGAAAATGGACTAATACAGACAGGAAGTGGCTCCCCACTGGAAATTACCAGCTGTCAGCAATGCCTTAGCAGAAATTTCTGTTGGGGTTGGGACTAAGCTGGTCCTGTCGAGAGCTCCCCTTGCCTGGTTGATCCTCAGGGTTCTACTTAGAATGCCTCGAAAAGTCTTGGCTGGACACCCATGCCCAGTCTTTCTGCAGGGTCCCATTGGGGTTAACCTTCTCATTTCATCCCATGTGAACCAGGCCAGGCCCATCAGGGTTTGGCAACCCCCTGATGCAGTGGTTGCTGCCAGGTGACAGGAGCAAGCCTGCAGCTGCTGGGGGGCCATGCAGAGACAGCCTGCCAGAGGGGAGACCACCTGGGGAGGCCAGAGCCGTGGAGACAGCAAGAGACCAGGGGCTGAGGACAGAGTAGTACAGGTCTTTGGTCCCAGTAGTCCTGAAACCACTGCACTCCGAACCTTTCTGTACTTAGCTTAAGCCAGTTGGAGTTTCTGTCCTTTACAACCAAGAGCCTTGATAGGAATGGGGTCCTGTGCTACGCTACTGTTGGCTTCTTTCCCGATCGGGCGCTGGAGGGGAACACAGCAGTGACTACAGTGGGATGCTTACTCGGTGCTGGGCATGCTAGAAAGTGCTTGCCATGCCTTATTTCCCACGTGGTGGGGATTTTGACCCCACTGTACAGACAGATAAGTGAGGACCCTTTCACTTATCCTGCAACAGAAAATCCAGCAGCCAAAGCCAACAAGGGCCCAGCATAGCATCTTCCCTCTCTGACTTCATCCTCACGCTCCACACACCATCCCCCTGGCCATTCCCAGCAGCCCAGTAAGCACTGCCTCACACTTCCAGTTCCGGACCAGCCAGGATGGCCAGGCTGGATGGGGGCCATCCACCGGCTGAAGCCAATTGCCTATTCTCGAGCTGAAGGTGAATCAATCCCGCATAAATCTTCGGGCAGAGAACTGGGTGGGGGTAGAAGAGGGGGAATGTCTAGAAGGAAATTCTGGGCACATTCCTGGAAGTGAGGAGGATGGATATTGGACAGAAATTATGTCATTGCAGGCACCCTCACTTGCCCTGGCCACATGGACAGTTCCTCCCCGGCTGTGTTCCGTGCCTCCTCTCGTGCTCCAGGGCCTGTCTGTTCCTGGAGCGAGATGGGTCCCAGGGCTGGGCACCAGTCCCCATCTCCAGCCATCAGGCACTTTCCTCTCTGTGTTTTGGCGTAAACACTCCCTAGGTTTGTGGATCTGAATCCTCTTCCCAACACACTCAAGCTTTGCTGGCCTCCCTGCAGTGTATGTTTAAGGCACCACACAGCCTCCAAGGCCTGGCACCCGGGCAGTGGCACCTGGTAAACACAGCAGTCAGATTTCCTCATTTCAGCCAAGTGTAAAATCAAGGTAATGGATCTACTCTTTTTTTTTTTTTTTTTTTTTTTTTTTTTTGAGACGGAGTCTCACTCTGTCACCCCGGCTGGAGTGCAGTGGCTCAATCTCGGCTCACTGCAAGCTCCGCCTCCCAGGTTCATGCCATTCTCCTGCCTCAGCCTACATAGTAGCTGGGACTACAGGTGCCCGCCACCACACCTAGCTAATTTTTTGTATTTTTAGTAGAGACGGGGTTTCATCATGTTAGCCAGGATGGTCTCGATCTCCTGACCTCCCAAAGTGGTGGGATTACAGGTGTGAGCCACTGCGCCCGGCTGGATGACTCTTGAGACAACACCATTCAGACAAAGGCAAGGCCTCCCACTTAAACTCATAACCGTGTCTCCTTTCTCTCCTTCGATTTGAGCGGCTGAATTTGGTTACAGTCATCTGACCTGTGGGTGTGAAGTCCACCTGCCTGGCATAAAAAGCTGTGCCTCCTTTCTAGGTGAGGAGAAAGAGAGAGACCTGGCTCATCTGAGGTGTGGTTGGGAGGGGGGACCCAGGTGTGCTGGAAATGAAAAGAAATGCATTCCTGTTTTTCGTCCCAACATGCAAACAACTGAACAAAAGCATTAGGGCCTGAGACTGGGAGTAAAGAATTCCTTGTCACCATGGATACCAGGAAATGGCCCCACTTATATATAATAAGGGCTTTAGAGATGCTGGACCATCTGATATTCCAGCCTGGGGCCACATGGGAGTGTGCCCTGGTGTTATTCCTTATACAGTTCCATGAACATGGCTCTGGAAACACCTCTGTCTGCAGAAAATGAGGCTTTTCTTTTTTTGTTCGGGGGTGAACAGAGGGCAGAGGCCTGGGCATCTTCACTCAGCACCCCTTTGTAACCCAGCACTTAGCACCATGGCTGGCGCACAGCAATGTCACATGTGTGAGTGCACACGATGCCTCACTGCCAGGGGTCACCCCACACCGGTGCTGTTGGGGGCGTTGGAGTGGTTATCTCTTCTTTAGTCCTCAAGCTCCTACCTGGCAGAGAGCTGCCCAACACCGTCGGGGTGGGGTGGGCGGGAAGGGAAGAAGCAGCAGCAAGAAAGAAGCCCCCTGGCCCTCACTCTCCCTCCCTGGACGCCCCCTCTTCGACCCCATCACACAGCCGCTTGAGGCTTGGAGGCAGTGGATTTCCGAGCCTGGGAACCCCGGCGTCTGTCCGGTGTCCCCGCAGCCTCACCCGTGCTGGCCCAGCCCCCGCGAGTTCGGGACCCGGGGTTTCCGGGGTGGCAGGGGGTTCCCATGCCGCCTGCGAGGCCTCGGCTCGGGCCGCTCCCGGAACCTGCACTTCAGGGGTCCTGGTCCGCCGCCCCCAGCAGGAGCAAAACAAGAGCACGCGCACCTGCCGGCCCGCCCGCCCCCTTGGTGCCGGCCAATCGCGCGCTCGGGGCGGGGTCGGGCGCGCTGGAACCAGAGCCGGAGCCGGATCCCAGCCGGAGCCCAAGCGCAGCCCGCACCCCGCGCAGCGGCTGAGCCGGGAGCCAGCGCAGCCTCGGCCCCGCAGCTCAAGCCTCGTCCCCGCCGCCGCCGCCGCCGCCGCCGCCGCCGCCCCCGGGGCATGGCCTGTCTGATGGCCGCTTTCTCGGTCGGCACCGCCATGGTGAGTGAGCGCATCCTTCGTCCGCCGGGAACGGTTTTATTTTCAAGGAGAGCAGGAAACACACAAAGACTCGCAAGCTCGACCTGACACCCCTCCCAGGAGCGCGTCCTCTGGGCGCTGACCCAGGGCACCCTAGAGTGGCGCCCGGCTCCGATCGCTGCCCCTGCCCCTCCGCCAGGGCCACCTGGAGCCTCGGGATGCCCCTTGCACCGGCAGAGAGCACGGACTAGGTGGAGGGGCCGGGAGTGGGGCGGGGGCAGCGAGTTGCCCTACAAGTTGGACCGATGGCCTTGACCTGATGGCTTCTGGGCGGGGGGCGTGGGGAGCTGGGGACCCGGAGCGCACTGGGGACTGGGGAGGGGCCGCAGCTTGGGCCGGAGGGAAGAGGGGACTTGAAGAAGGGGAGCCCCGCGCGCGCGGCTGTGGGCTTGGGGACCGGGGACTTCTCGCGCCATCCCCAGGAACGCCAGGCAAGGTCTGGGGGAACAAAAGAGGAAGCTGCCCCCAGAGAGCCGGAGCCTGCGACTGCACTCCCGGGGACACCCTCTCCCGGACCCACTCGGGGAGGCGGCGGCGAAGGCCCGGGGAGACCCGCGAGGGGCAAGCCCGGATTCCTGCCGGCCGCCTTTCTGCGCGCGCCGGAGAGAGAGACGCGGTGGGGACAGGGATGCGCATTTCACTTCCCCGAGCTCCGGAGAGGGATGGCGGGGTGTCGGCGAGTTCACTGCTGGACACAGTTACTGTAAGTGCTGTTTCCAGGGGTGGTCAGGAATCTCCCTTTCTGGTTTTCTGGCATTAGGAACAAACAACAAACCAATCATCAGGCCCCCAGCCACCCACCTCACCTTATCCTAGCGCCCTTCATGTCTACGCCCAGCACACCAACATCGTAGAGGTAGCTAAAGTACAAATGGAAAGTCTTCCGTATTCCACGCCGTGTATCTGTGTAGTTACTACCCTGATATTACTTCCCCGAGGCTGTAAGCCCACAGTGCATGGCACGCTCCGGGGCTCACCCCGCCCCTCCCCTGTATTTCATTTTTAGCATCCTGTATTTGAAGTCAGCAGGGCTCAGCAGGATTTGACCGACAGTTACCTCTTGCCTTGAGCTCAAGAGAAAAAAAAAAAATAGCCAGGTTTCTGCGCATGCTCCGCTGTGACAACTGCATCCTATGATTCCAAACAGGTTACTGTAGAACATACGGAGCCTCGCCAGCTCATTATATAATGATTTTGTGTAAACGATAGAATGGGGCCGCAGACATGGCCAGGCGGTGGGTGGAGGAGGGGAGAGCCCGAGCGGGAGACCCGCAGGCTGACTCGCCTCTCTGGGCTGCCCTGCCTTCCCTGCGTGGCTTCTACGTAGAAGAGGCAGTGAACAAAACGGAAAAGCCGTTTCCCTCCCGGTGACACTTGCTTTTCTCTGGTTGAATCTTTGGGCAACACTTGGGAATTCTGCCTTTTGCACTTGTTCATCTATTAGGATTTCTAAATGAGGTTGACCATGGAAAATTAAGGAGGTTATTGATGTTAGTTGCAGGTAGAGAAAGTTATAGATCTTGTATTAGATGCTAGTTAACTCTTGAATTCCTTCTAGAGCTGCAAAGGTGGCTTGGTGTGGGTTTTCCTATAATGGACATGTGGAAAAATAATGAATCCGATGTTTTAAGGTACAGATTTTTAATACCAAGTTTTTAAAAAATGTTATATTATCATTTGATAATATGCCCCCGGAGCTCAACTGTCTTGTTATCACGTGGAGACAGTAACGGCTGGGCTCATTGTTTTGGAGAACATTATTTTATTTTGAAAATTATTTTCCTCTCTGAAAACTGGGTACTTTAAAAAAAGTTTAAACATTTCTATTCATGCACAGCTGTCCCACCCTGAAAGCAATAATCTGATGGTAGAAGCTAAGCAGAGTTAGGCCCCGGCTAGTCCTTGAATGAGAGACCACCTGGGAATTCTGGGGGCTGTAGGGTTAAAAGAAAAATAAATTAAAAATAAAATAAATTCTGGCCAAGTCATAAACAAAGAGCCCTTCAGAGATACCAGGATCTTAAGCTTTGCTTTTCCTTCACCTCCCTGCCCTGGGGTCCATCCTGGTGTGGACCCTCTGAGCTGTGAGTCAAAGGAGGTACTTGGGGGTGAGCCAGGCACTCGGGGGAACATGCTGGAGCCCCTGAGTTCGGTGGGCATACAAGGGGTGGCAAATGCGTCCAGTGGGAGGGTGGTATTTGGAGGTGTTCTGGGATTCCAAGTGACCCCTCAAGTGCGGTCTGGTCTCTGGCTCAGTTCAGGGTATGATGCCTTTGGTATTTTCTTCTGGGCAGTCGCCTTGGGGGCTCTTGGTCAGTGCATTTTCCTCTTATGTGCTTAGGATGCTTAGGCAGGTACCAAGGCTGGCAGCAGTGAACCAAAGAGAGAAGACAGACAGCTGCGTGCTAACTGTGCTGCTGACTGGCTCCTCCTCCTGTTTCCTGACTTCCTCCTAATGCTAGGAGAAAAAGTTTCTGTCTCTGTGTTCCTGGTGGAAATGGAGTGAATGCGGCTCACCACGGCCTGTGGGTGGCTTACTGACTGCTACAGACCCTCCCCAGCTAAACAGGCATCTCTATCTGCCCAGGATTCAAACTGCAATCACAGGCCACTCTGCTCAGCGCCCAGGAAAATATTCCCATGAACAGCAGCCAGGAACAATCCAAACAGGGTCTCTTTGGCATTCCACATCTATGAATGAACTTACTATGACGTACAATGTATTGTGCAGCACAAATCGTATGTGGCCCGGTGCGGGGGTGGGGGAAGGTCAAAGACAATGCTTCAGTAGGATAGGGAAACAGAAGAGTGAAAGGAAAAAATGAAGAGAGAAGATGCATGTGTTTTAATTTTAATGAGCTCAGGAGGCTAAGGAGAAACTCGCTGTAACCTACATTGCCGGCAGCTCTCATCGGAGGATGTGTTTCCAGAGAGCTGGTCTATTTCAGACTGACAGGCCACTGCCTCGCATCACGCAGTTTTCACGATCCTATTAATTGGGTGAGGCTGTTAGACGCTGTGGAGGAAAGGTGGTCAACTGTATGCATTGCTTTGCTGTTGGCTTATTTGGGGATGGGGCTGTATGATTTCCTTGGTGTGGATTTTCCTATAATGGACAAGGGCTGAAAGATGCCGAAACACCCACAACTCACCCGTGGAAGGCTAAGCAATAGTCAAGGGCCGTTACAGAGGCTTGTGGTCTCAGACCTGGAAGCCTCTCAGAGCAGGGCCCCAGCCTGGCCACGCCCTAATCATGGGGTCTTAAGCAATTCAGACCATGTCTCTGTGCTTCCGATACCTCCTCCGAACTGGAGATGGTCATCCCACCTCCCAGCACCCCTGTCCCTGTTAGGGTTGTGGAGGTAATAAGAGGCATAAACTATATAGGTTAGAGTTTAATAGTCACATGGTAATTGCTGGATCAATAAACACTATTGTTTATAATCACTTACCTAGCATGCACAAGCCATTATTATTTAATACTTTACATTGCAAGTACTTGATTCTGGCTTCTCTCTTTCTTACTCCCAAATCAGTTTAGTCACCCAGTTTTATCCTCCTGGCCTGTCCCCTTTCCTTCACCCCCACTACCAACAGCAGATCCAGGCCACCATCACCCCACCTGGCTCACAGCAGGAGACTCTTCTGCAGTTCTGGTCCTGTTATTCCCTCGGGGCTCCCCAAAGATCTCTAGATAAAATGCAAAACCCGTAACCAAGTTGGCAAGCCCTTCCCCATGGGGACCTTGTTTGCCCCTCTAGTCTCATCTTATTCTAAAGCCCCCTACTCTCCTGCCCCGACCCTACCAGCCCAAATCCACGCTCCAGCCCCTGCGTTTCTTACAGGTCTCTGAACGCTTCACTGTCTCATGCTGGTGGGACTTTGTCTATGCTGTTCCCTAGCAGAGGCCACCAGGAGCCAGCACTCCTCCATGTCACCTTGCTAAACTCAACTAAGATTCTATTTCTGCAGAAAGATTTCGTCCTGCGTCTCCCCATCTCAGGGTCTGTGTTGCGTTAGATATCCCTTCTGAGTTACCCATAGTATGCTTTCCGCCTGGCTCTTGGCTTGACCTATTGTAATTAGTTGGTCTTCCTCAAAATGAAAGAAGCAGATCATAGGCACACATGGGGAAAAGGCACCCACCAAGAGTCCTCAAGGCGACGGCCCAGAGGAAAATAACCAAAGCATCAAGAAGCACAGCTGAGCTTCTCAACAATCTGGAGGCACTTATGCTTTCCTCCTGGCTCTTGCCTTAACCTATTGTAATGAGTTGCCTGTTTTCTTGCCTGGGGCCAGATCTTGAACTTGAGCTTGCCAGGTCAGGGGCCATGTCTGCCTGGCTAATTGCTGACCCCAGGGCTTTATCTGGTGCTCAGTTTGTCCAGTGAATGAGTGAGTGAGACAGTGAGTGAGTGAGCAGATAGTGAGTCTAGCAGAGAAAGTCAGGGTCTCATGATAATGTAGATGGGTGGTGTGGTGGCCATTCACCCTGTATTAGTGTGGGCTTCAGCCACAAGAAAGAAGCATCTGTCCCTGGGCTTCAGCAGGGGCCTCACACCTGCAATGGGTGCCTGGGGAGAGGGTGCAGATGTTGCGTGGCAGCTGGCCTCCTGGGGTGGAGGTGGAGAGGACCCACAATGGGAGAGAAGTTGCTCGAGCACCCTAGGACTTACCCTCAACTGCACACACAGCCATCGGGGGTCACGTGGCAGAGCCCACATCTGCCAGCAGGATTGGGTAGAACCCAGCGCGTTCTGTGTCTTTATTTGTGTGGCAAGGTGGGGATGGAAATGGACACAGGGAACCAGACCTAGAGCGCATTGTCTTGTCCCACAGCTTTGTTGACATCCCCCCTCCAAAGCCCAGATTTGGTGTTTTTGGGGCTCTTTTGGAATCAAAGTGAGCTCTAAACACCTGGGGCAGCAGCATGGGATCCCAGAGGGCAGGCTGAGGGGCATGGCGTAGCAGCTCCTCCAAGAGGCCCTGCCACAGGGGCATTGGGACCAGCTGGGAGGAGGCTTCGGGGTCGCTCCCTTGGAGTCTGCATCTTATCATCACACCAGACCCCTAAGGAAGGCGGATCCCTTGTCAGACACACATACACCCTCCCAGCTCTGCTCGGGAATGCGGGGAACCCACTTACGCTGGCATCCAAGACACCCCACATGCCCGGGACCAGCAGACCAAGCTCAGCTTTGTCAGAGTTTCACTTGGCACCTTTAGTTTTAGCCACACAATATTATAGTGCAGGAGCTAAGTTTTGATTTCATGAAGGACTTCAGAGGTAGAAGATGCCTGGAAGGGGTGTGTGTGTGCTTTTGGCACTGTGAGATGTTCTCTCTCGATTTGGAAGACAGCAAGAAAAAGCACAGCAATTTGCTCCCCCAGGGTTCTTCTGTGTTTTGAAGGTACCTGAAGCTTATTGATTTGCTCACGGTTGCCAGGCCATTGAAAAAGGGTATTTCTTTCTTTGCATAGGTACTTCTGGGTTCTTGGCAATCAGTTACAGTTCGTTTGACTCCCAATGGAAGCTTTAAAAGCCAATGGTAGCTACAAAAGATTAGGTATTCTCTTGATGCAGTGAAATGAACACCTATCTTTTTTTTTTTTTTATGACTCAAATTCTGGGATAACTTCTGCTACTCACTTGATTGTGAGACCTGGAACACGGTCCTTAAATTGTCTATATCTCAGTTTCCTTGTTTGTCTAACATATTAAAAAATGTTAACCATTCCAACTTTTCAGCACTATTATGAAGAGGTAGCAAGAGAGTAGAATTGTAAGTGATTTGGAAATTTTAAATGCAAAATACAAAGGCCAATCCCCACAAAACTCAGCAGCTCAGGTGATGTCATTGCTCCTGAGACATTTTTATGAGATTACGCGAGAAAGGCACAAAACAGCTCAGTGTAAATATAAGTTTCTCGGTTTTTTATTTCTTAGGCACCTGGTGTGTCTTTATTGAGGTTTTTAAAATGAGGGGACTGTAAATAGATCGATGCCTATGGTGGCCAGTGTTTTCTTCTTTGAGGCAAGTGATGATTCATGGATTATAGTTTTATGATTAGATTTTATGATTCCAAAGTAAGACTTGTAGATCAGTGTAACACTTTACCTTAAGCATTTTTTAATAGAAGAAAATGTGACGGAGATGACAAATTCCTCTAGGTGGGCACATTTCTCCTGGGGCCAAAGGTGCTCCTGCAGTGGAAGAAGTGTTGCTATTAATAACCAATGACCCTGAGCCTCATGGTGAATCTCTTCATGTTCTTTTTCTTGATGCAGCTTATAACAGGTCTTGTTGCTTCCTCTGGTTTTTCTAGAATGCCAGCAGTTACTCTGCAGAGATGACGGAGCCCAAGTCGGTGTGTGTCTCGGTGGATGAGGTGGTGTCCAGCAACATGGAGGCCACTGAGACGGACCTGCTGAATGGACATCTGAAAAAAGTAGATAATAACCTCACGGAAGCCCAGCGCTTCTCCTCCTTGCCTCGGAGGGCAGCTGTGAACATTGAATTCAGGGACCTTTCCTATTCGGTTCCTGAAGGACCCTGGTGGAGGAAGAAAGGTAGGGAGGGCGGCTGCTTTGTGTATCAAGCTGGGAGGAGCCTCTGAAGGAGGCAACAGGTTGTTTGGGCAAAATCGGGGTCTGGAGGTTGAGAGGCTGAGCTTCTCTTCCCAACGCCGTCACTGCTGTGGTCAATTTATTCTATTGCTTTCTGCCTGAATTTTCCTCTCCTATAAAATGAACAGGTTGGATTTGGTGATCTCAAAGTTCATGGTTGCTCTGAAATTCTGCGATGTCATTATGGAGAATTTCACAAAGATTGACGGGTGTCAAAGTGTGCCTGTTTCTGGCATGTGCTGAGAGAGTCCTCTTTTGTGGATGCTGTTCATGTCCATCTTTCAAGATGGAACTGTTTTTCAACCGCCCAGAGCAAAATGGGGGACAGGTGCCCCCCTCCCAAGCGTGAAGTGTTAAAAAGTGGCCAGTGACCTAGACTGACCTCTCCAGAGACCCATCTTGAAAGGATTCTTTTGTGGGTGGTTGTGGTAGGCTAGAAAGAAAACTAAACTGTTGAAAAGAGCTGATACATAAAAATAGAAAAAACAGAGAGGATAGAGCTCAGGAGGTGTCTGGAACGCCACACAGTGCAGGAGTTTGCCACTAGCTTGTTGCATGTTACAGGAAATTGATGAGTGGTAGTTTGAGTTTTCTCAGCAACCTTCCCTAGCTCTAGAGTTTCACAGTTTGTGGAGTTAATGCCGCCCTGGGTTGGTGTGTTTTTTTCAAGCCTGATCTGTTTCTTCTGTGGAATTTATCCTTCATCTCCTTATGCTCCAAGCACTCATTGTCTGCTCCTAAGTGGATCAGACAGGTGGGTTGGGGGAGCTGATAGGCAGAGGACGTGTCAGACTTCATCAAGAAACCATGGTCCCTAGTTTCTACTGAATCATGGAAAGCAATTTGAAAATCTGGGAGGACTTTGGAACAATACAAATGACTCAGGTACCCCTGGAATATGCTAATATTTTAGGACTTTGAACTTAAAACTGGATTCAGCCCTTCTTTCATTTTGAAGAAGACCAATCAAGACTCACGTTTTAAATTTTCAGTTGTCTTTCTTCTTTTCCCTATTATCTTCTTTTTGTTTTTCTACCCTCTTGAAGCTAAGTCTTTGAGACCCTTAGCATGGGCAGTCCCATCTTCATTGTAATCACAATTTTAGAGCTTTGAAAGACTGGTCCCTGGGATCTGCAAGCCCAGTTGGTGGCTGGGTAACTGTATGTCTGTGTTTGCACAAGCAGAAACAGATTCAGTACCTTCTCAACAGACAACAGTATAGCACTGTGATGTGATACTTGCATTTTCAGAGCATACCAGCCTGTTCTGTTAAGAAAGCAGCTCTGTGGCAGGCTCAGATGTGGGCCCACTCCTTTGATCATGTTGAAATTTCAACATAGGGTTCTAGAATTCTCCTTCTCAACTTAAAGAAATATTTTATAGAAAAATGTATCAAGAAACCAGGACACCGCGTCATGTTTTGGCGTCGTTTGTCTATATAGACAAATTATGGCAAAGCAGTGAGCAACATAGAGCGATTCCTGTCCGTCTGTTATGTGTGGCCTTGGAAATGTTGTCATGACAGTAGAAAATGCTGGGAAAGGTGTCTTGTAAAATGAAGATGGGTTGTAATGCAGAAATGAAGACATCTGAAACCTGGTGGCATCTGGGTTTGAAATGTCTTGGCATAAGCCTGGCACACAGGTGTAGCCAGTGTTTGCAAGCAGTGAGTATCGCTCCCCTACCCAGTGTGTTTGTCCATTTTCACACTGCTATAAAGAACTACCTGAGACTGGGTCATTTTTAAAGGAAAGAGGTTTAATTGGCTCACAGTTTGGCATGGTTGGGGAGGGCTCAGGAAACTTACAATCATGGCAGAAGGTGAAGGGGAAGCAAGGCATGTCTTACATGGTGGCATGGGGTGAGGGGAGAGAGAGAGAGAGAGCATAAAAGAACCCACACACATTTAGAACATTAGATCTCATGAGAACTCCCTCACTATCATGAGAACAGCATGAGGGAACCGCCCCCAGGATCCAATCACACCTCTCGCCCAGTCCCTCCCTTGACACGTGGGGATTACAATTCAAGATGAGATTTGGGTGGGGACACAGAGCCAAACCACATCACCCAGTATGTGACTTGTCACCCCTATATTCTCTAAGTGTTTAAACTGATCACATGAATCATCACAGTTAGCCAGCTGGTAATGGCTTGTAGTGAGGGAGGAGCCCCAACTGTCCATTCTTAGGAGCGCAGCCCGGGCGGGGTGGCCACCAGATAGAGACTTGCCCTACAGTAACCTTGTGTGCTCAGGCAGGGGAAGAGCCTGCAATGGGCCGCCGAGGGACCTGCCCATGACTCAGAAATGGGTGGAGCCAGAGGGGTTGACAGACAGGATATGTCTGCTGTGTTCCAGCTGCTGGTTTCTGCAGGGGCCAAGGGTAGTTTTGCTGTCTGGCTTCCTACCCACTGCCCTCCCCAGCCACAGCAGCACCTGCGTCTGTCTTCCCTCTCCCTGCTCCTCCTCCCCTGCCTGCCCCATCCTTTCCTTTGTTCCTGGTGCCTACAATTCAGAGTCTAGATGGTTTATCACTCCAGCACACAGAATAGAAAGGAAACTGAGACAAAGGTGGTTAAGGGACTTGCCCATGCTCCTGGGCTTGAAAGGGGCAGGGCTGGGATGAGGACAGCAATTTCTAGCTCTGTGCACTCCGACACAGTGGCCATGCCTTGTCTAGCACAGGGCCTTATGGGGTGCCAGGGTCCATGTAGCCAGCAGGGAAGCAGAGCTCTTCCTGGAGGCTCTGGTGCCCACAGGATTTCCTGCTGTTGGTGGTTCAGTTGCCACTGCTGAAGAGTTTTTCCTGCCAAAGGGTGCTAGCTGCAGAAGCCCTCTCTGTGCCCACTGTTGTCCCAACACCAGCCTGTTCTTGGGTGCTGCGTCCAGTTGGCTCCAAACTTGGGTACCATATTTCCCCAACCAAAAGCCAGGACAATCAATAACAGTGCGCATTAAATGCGGATCTTGTGTTGGGGCTGCAGGAGGAGCTGCATCCCACTGGACCTCACCCACACGGGTCGCCACCCTCCTGGTCCGCCTCTGCGCCTGCTGGTCCACCAAGTCGGCCTCTTTTGCCCCTCCCATGCATGGGTTCCTCCTGCTCCTGCTTTTGTCCCTCCAATTGCTGGCGGTGGTCTCAGTCCCCAGCCATGATTAGGTTAGGCTGAGAAGTCAGAGCCCAGCCTCACTCTGCATTTCTCTCTTCTCACAGTGGCGGAGTTTGTATTTGGCATCATCTCTGTGCGACTCCAAGTGTGACGTTGGGTCAGGGGCTACTTCTCTGACTGCTCTCAGTATATTCATTTTGCTGTCTGTATCAAGTCCATTGTTTTCAACTTTTAAAAATTCAGTTTGATGCATTGAGCTAATTGTAATGATCACGCGGAGGCTGGATGTCCTGGCATTGCTGGGGAGGTGTCTCCGAAGGTAAGAAGTGAAGCAGTTTTGAAAGTGCCTGGTTCTGGCCGGGCACAGTGGCTCACGCCTGTAATCCCAGCACTTTGGGAGGCTGAGGCAGGTGGATCACGAGGTCAGGAGTTCGAGACCAGCCTGGCCAACATAGTGAAACCCTGTCTCTAGTAGAAATACAAAAAAAATAGCCAAGCGTGGTGGCGAGTGCCTGTAATCCCAGCTACTCGGGAGGCTGAAGCAGGAGAATTGCTTGAATCCAGGAGGCAGAGGTTGCAGTGAGTCGGGATCGTACCATTGTACTCCAGCCCAGGTGACAGTGTGAGACTCTGTCTCAAAAAAAAAACACAAAAACAAAAGAAAGAAAGAAAGAAAGTGCCTGGTCCCATGGTTCACAGTAGGGCAAAGGAAACAGGAGCTCGGGCGCAGAGCTGATTCACTCAAAGGCAGAGCCAGGGCTAGGACCCAGCTATTCTGACTCCAAGTTCCTTCCCATTACAAAGACACTGGACCACTCCGGTTGTTTCCAGGAAAGACTTTTTCTCACATGATTTCCCCCAAAACATGGTGCTGCGATACAAACGCAACATACAACGCCCTAGCAAAGCTGAGCATTGTGACCAGAATAACTTTATGAAGTCCTACGTAATTATTTTAAAGAAGGAGAACTTCACAATCCTTACAAGAAAGGCGATGCGGGAAACAGTAGCGGCATTTTTAAGAAGAGATGCCAGGCACTGATTCTGTAAAACTTTTGAGCTTGACAGTTACTAAGCGTTGAATATGGCATTTTAACAAAACATCTTGTATTTTCAATTGTAGTTACATTTTCACCATATGACTAATGATGTCTTTGGAGGGAAAACTAGATCATATAATAGATTCCTAGCAGAAAACATAATTGTGAGAGGAACTATTCTCAGGAGAGAGGAGTACACCCCAAGGATAATTTCCCCGGCCTCAGATACAGTAATTACTCTCCCTCAAGGAATTCACTCACGTAGCTTGTGTTGATGGGACAAATGGCTCGGAACAATATCAGCTTTGGTGCTGTCACACAAACTGCGCTGGGGACAGATCAGAGTGATCTGGTTTATTTGTTCCTCCTCACCCTTAGGTGTGACTCTTTTGAAAGCAGCCTTTTCTTCCTACAGAGTAGACACTATGTTGAGAACATTTAGGAATGTGGTTAAGAGTAAGTTCACAGAATAAAATTCTTCTTAGGTAAAGATGATGGGGATGAGCAGATTTTATCGTAAGCTGCTTTCAGAGCCCATTCACACAAGGGTCTCATTTTATTAGGGCGTGATTGGCCACAGTGAACAAATGGAATGCTTGGGTACTCGTACACTGCCCATCCCCCAGGAGATCCCGGCGGTTCCCACGCGTAGTTGACTGAATGATAGCCGTTCTTCAATCCATTTGGCTCATGGGGCCGATTCAGGAAGGATCTGCACATTCTTCCTGTGGAAACCTGTGACATGAGGCTCAGAGACGTGACCAAGGTCATAGGAGTGGGGAGGAAGGAACTCAGAACCAGGTCTGTGGGATTTCAGGCCAAAAAGGAGCGTAGCAAGTGCTTAGCTCTGACGTGGGCACAGGACTGGACCACCAAGGCACAGCTGTGCCTAGCCCCGTGTTATGAAATGGTGTGGGGTTGCCTTGGCTGTAAACTGATGTATTTTCCTTTTAATTGGCCTGCTTGGATGTCAGCGGCCATTGGCCATTTATAGGGATTTCCTGTCCCTCTGGAGAGGCTCCAGCTTCCCTCTTCTCACCAGGAAGGGGAGGCTGATGTGCATGGCGTGCTTTCTCTCCAACAGGTGAAGCGATTCTCAGAAATCAAATTTACCTCCCAAGATTACCTTGAGGCGAAGTTCAGGTTGAGAACAAATGTAGTCATATCTGGGGCTTTAGAGCGTTTTCTTTCCTATCTGCAGTCAGGCCGTGGCCTCCACATGGTGACGCTCTGATGGAATGGAATGTCGCCTCCTTCTTTGAAACCCAACCCTCCAGGCTCATCCTTGCCAAAAACCAGGAAGGGGTTAAATATTCCGGGCAGCGCCAAGTCAGATTATCTGTATTGGTTTGCTTCTACGCTATAAAAATGCATTTGGACACCTTTCTCAAATTCGGGGTTGCTTTCTCTTAATTTCTATAGCCATTTCACAAGGCCTGTAATGACAGGCCAGCTAAAGTGCATGGAAGGCATCATGAATAAATCCTTTCAGGAATTCCATTAAGGGAAGACTGGATTCCAACCAAGTGCTAGTGACTTGATCCAACCTGCTAGAACAGGGAGGGGAGGCAGCCCGGTTAAAGGCAGAGTGTGGAGATCCTGTGGCTAGGGGTTTTGAGAGGGGCAGATGCTCAGGCTGAAGGGGGATGGATAGTTCCCTAGCATAAGTGAGTTACTTTTGTGCTTCTTTGAGGCTGTTGTGCTAAAGTGGGCTTTCTTGTGGGCCCACAGGACATTTCTTTTAGTCCTTTGCCTTTAATGGAGGTGACAGCTGACCCCTGGTGCAGTGTCGTGGCCCCAGGCCACTTGCAGGGATGGCTTGCTTGAGGCTGGGGCATTGACAAAGAGTCTGCCTTGGAGAATTCAGAGGACTGGAGAACCCTTCTCTTCCCCGCTGGGGCCAGTTCCTAGGTTCTCAGTGGCCCCCAGGTGGGTGGGCTACCACTCAGGCCCTGAGGGGTAGCACTCCTTTGGTGATGAGGTCTTCTGGAACAGTTCTGACCCCTCTGCCTTACAGGGCCCCAAAGAGGCTTTGAAAAAATTTTGAGAATGGACCAACTCTCACAGCAGATTCATGAGAGTTGAATGTTTAGCCGCCATGTGCAAGACCAAAGGGGTTTGCTACTTTCTTGGACAGGCTTCATATCCAAGGGGTCTAGATGCTCCCCTCCAGCCAGCACATTTTCTCCCTGTGAGCACGTTGCAAGGGAAACCAAACCCTCACCAGCTTGGGCCTGGGATCTGGGTGTGTGACTCCTTAGTGTGGCGTTGTTAGCGGTGGCAGCCTCCCTGGACAAGGCTCAGATGGCTCTGCCAACATTGGCCTTGGGGTCTGCTTTTCTCTTTGCCACCCTCAGATTGGCAGGTTCTTTATTTGGACATGTTAATACTTTGTCATTTTCCCAGAGAGTGCTCCTGTTCTTGAACCATCTGGCCCCTTCAGTGCAACTCTGTAGGACTGTGCTCTGCTCCGTGGGGGTTGGTGTCACTGTTTAACTGCTGGAGGATGTTCTTACCACAATCGTTTTCACCTGCATGGTGGGTGCCCCCCTGCCTTCCTCTACTGCCTTGAATAGGCTTGTATCTTGAAAAGTTCACGTTCTCAAATGGAGGCCCTCCCTATAAACCAGAACCTAATCCACCAGTCCAAGAAATCACCAAAGGTGACATTTTGCTGAACATGACACCGTTTCTTTTGTTTATAAATTGGCAGGAAGAAAAATGTTTAGTAACCATACACCTGCTCTTTCTGAGTTCAGTTCTAGAATCAACAGATTAGCTATGAACAAAGAAAACCATGTGGGTCAGATTAAATATATCCTGAAGGACTAAACCGTAAAACTAGGGATTTGTCATGGAGGTGCATTCATCAAACTCAGTTGATGAAGTTCCAACACCTGCATAGGAAACTTACTCTCAAATACAATGTACCCAGTGCCGACTGTTTTTGCTCACATTGTGAAAAAACGCAAAAAGATGGGTTTTCAGTCATGAGTGGTGGCGGGTGGGCCTGCAGGGATCCAGTCTGACCTGCAGCCAAGAGTTTCACTTCCCACTTTGTCAGCTGTGTGCTGTTTGTCACCTCCGTGCTCTGTGGGGTAAATGGCATTTGGTGTCAAAAGTAAGACACACCAGGGTGACTTCAGGGCTGTGATTACATCCAGCTGAGACCTATATTTAGAGTCCAAATCTTGGAGCCAAAAGGAGTCGTGCTGCCGTAGCCCGCCCTCCTGCCCCGTGGAGGGAGCCTTCTTGCACCATTTCTGACAAGGGACAGCCAGCTTCTGTCTGAGCACTTCCAGCAACCAGGAACTGACACCTCCCAGGCAGCCGGGCTATGTTTGCACAACCCTCATTCTTAGAAAATGCTTCTGTCTGTTGAGCTGCAATCTGTATTTGAGCAATGTTCATTTGTGGATCCAGGTTCTGTTTTTTGAAACTCCGTAGACCAAGTTAATCTTGGTCTTGAAATAAGCTCACAAATCAAGGGGAAAAGCCCAGCCAAGTACAGAACAATAACCAAATACATTACAATCCAGAGCTACCTTGAGAGGAGGAAATAAGAAGCACATGGCCCTTGCAGGAAATGAGGTCAGAGTCCTGCTTTGGGAGGTGGGCATCACTGCGGCATCCGCAGGGTGCAGGTCAGTGGGCAGGCGCCCCTGCTGGAAGGTTCTTGCTGTCTGTAAACTGATAAGGGTGGAACCCGCTGGAAGGGCAGAACCTGAGTCACGTTCTTTCTGTTTCTTTTACTGTTATAAGGCAACTTGGTGCCTTCCAACCAAAAAAGTCCCCCTCTCTGATATCTCAACTGCCTGTCTTGAAAGTGAACCTTTTGGCAGGAGTTTTTATGGGATTTCTCAGTTGTTATTTCTCTCCTCCCACTGTTTTGGGAGAAGTGTTTTTTTTTGTTGTTGTTGTTTTAATTAAAAATAACTGGTGTTTACTGAGCAAATCGTGTTTGCTTTATTTGGCGCTTTGCCTCATTAAGCCTTTGGGGAGCAGCATGGGACACACATCAGTATGGGCATCTTCTCCAGAAGGGAAGGAGGGTGGAGGGGGAACGAGGGCCTGCCCAGGACCGCTGGCAGGTAGGGGGCAGGTCCAGGACTGGACTTAACACCTGGAGTCCCAACTCCCTGCCTCTATAAGCGCCACTGAGAACTCATCTCTTTGCAATCGCTCAGACCCAGATAATAAAATAAGCTGGGTTGAGTTTTCCTTACCCAAGACATAAACCCCAAACCCTGCTGACAATGAGGAGCTACAAAAGGCCTCTCCTCCTCCTGGGGCACGTGTTCCGGGAATTCTTTCATGGATGCAGGTATGGGGGCATCTTTGGCCTCTGTCCTTTGTCTGGAGCTCCCCGCACCTGGCTGGGGGCTGCACTGGACACCTCTGCCCACCCTGGCCCTGGGGTTATCAGGCCACCTGGCCTCCACCCAGACGTTCCCTCCCAGGGCGGGATTCATCCTGGCCCGTGGTGATGTGCAGGCTCCCGGAAGGCCGGGCTCTGCCCACTAAGTGTCAGCTCTAACGCAGGCTCTCCATACTGAGTAAAAAAGCCCGTCCTTTCTCTGGCTGGTGCAGGTGCTGACTCTGCAGGCCTGTGGACGCAGGGTGACGTTCGCGCTCTTGCCCGAGCTCAACGCCCGGGAGAAAACAGCGCTGCCGGAGCCCCTCGCGCGCGCAGGTGCGGGCGGGGCGGGTGCGCGCTGCCGCGCGTGTGCAGCGCCCGCCCATCCGCCGCCACCGCCCGCGCCGGGGTTACTACCGGTCAACGCTCGCTAGTAACCTCCGCGGCGGAGCGGCGGCGCGGGGAGCGGCGCGATTGGCTGCGGGCGCCCCGCGCTGTTGCCAAGCGCGAGGAGGCAGCTGCAGCCCCGAGCGGGGTCGCAGCCTCCCTGGGACAGGGGCGGCCCTATGCATAGGGGATCACCCGGGCCATGCAAATCCCGGCGCCCCGCGCGTGCTGGTGTTCTCCTCCCCAGGTCCAGGAACACCGGTCCAGGAAGCCTGAGAGCGCTGGCAGTAGGAAGGGTCGCCAGTGTGGACCTGAGGGTGGAGGTGTTGCCACCCGGGGCGGCCTGCGCTCCATTCAGGCTTGAGCGGTGACTGGGAGACCCCGGGAATGGAAATGGCGCTCAAATGCTGGTGTGGTGTCCGCAGGGGAACGGCCCGCGGGTGTGTGGAGTCTGCGCCCCTGTGGCTTCAGCTGCGTCGGGGGACTGCGGGAATCTTCCAGACTCCAGTTTAAATCAGAGAGGTGTGTCCACGAAAAGAGTCAAACTAAAACATTTAAAGAGATTTATCCTGAGTGACCATGGCCCGTGACACAGCCTCAGGAGACCAGGAGAACACGTGCCCAAAGGGGTCGGGAACAGCTTGGTTTCATACTTTTAGGGAGACGTAAGACAGTGATCAATATTTAAGATGTACATTGGTTCCGTCTAGAAAGGTGGGACAGCCCAAAGGGGGACTTCCAGGTTATAGGTAAATTTAAATTTTTTTCTAATTGGTTAAGTTATTATCGATAGAAAGGGATGTCTGGGTTACGATACGGGGCTGTGGGGACCTAGGTTGTATCATGCGGATGAGGCCTCCAGGCAGCAGGCTTGAGAGAGAACAGACTGTAAATGCTTCGTATCAGACTTAAGGTCTGTGTTGATGTTAATGTTACAGGCTACGATAAGGCATGTCAGACGGACCGCCACTTCCCGTCATGGCCTGAACCAGTCTTTCAGGGGAAATTTTAGAGTGCCCTGGCCAAGGAGGGAGTCCATCCCCATGGTTCAGGGGGCCTTTGAATTTTATTTTTGATTTACAGGTCTTTACTTCAGGTGGCACAATTTTCCTAGGAGACAGTTGATTTTTGATTCCTTATAAAACGTGCTGGTTTTGTTTTTAGCTGACAGTGTGGGGTGAAGCTGTAAGGGAGCCAGGGCCTCCTGGGGTTGATCCAAGCATGTCTGAGCCTTCTCTGGGGTCAGCACTGAAAAGTGGCCAGGGTGGGGTTTGGAACCTTGGAATTGCCCTTGGGAATCTGCAGCGTTGGCTCCGCTAAGCCGGCTGGAATCCGGAGATCATGCGGCAAGGTCACGCTTCCCGGCTGCCTGCCGAGTCACTTCTACCCTAGGCAGGTTAGAGGCAAGGACAGATGACAGCTGAACTTTACGGAGTGTTTTCCAGGGCATCTATTACAGTTTTGTGTGTGTGAACCCAAAAGTGTGATAACAAACATCATTTCCATCAGCTGTACTGTGTTTGAGTATCCGCAAGGCCTGGGGCCACCTCAGTGGAGTCGGAGGTGCCACGCTTTGCTGTCTCTGGAGACCAGGGCCTTCTCTAGACACCCGGCGGGACTAGTTCCTTTGGGCATAATTTAGGTGTTTTGTGAAATGTTAAACATTGTCTTTCAGACGCTTTGCTCAACCTTTTGGGCTCCTGACCAAATGCAAAGAGACCCAAGGGCTTGCTTTTCCTTGCACTCTTGGGTTTTCATTGCCTGCTTGCTTATTTGATTTTGTGACTGTGGAGCTGGCATTTCTGTAAGCCCATATAGAAATTACAGTTTCCAAGCCTAAACCCACTAAGCCAACAGGGGCACACAGGAAACCAGAGATGGTGGTGGATGAAAACCTTTGCAACAAGAAGGAAGGGTACATCTATGATAACTATGGTGTTACATTACTAAAAACAGTAAGGATGAGTGTCACTAACATGAGAATGTACTCTACACAAAAGTCTGGTGAAAAAGGGAGGAGCCCTTTCACTAAGTTTCATATTTATCAGCACTCACGTTAAGAATTACAGCAGAAGCTGCAGGTTTCCTGTTTCTGAAGACCTGCGAATGAGTTTGTCCAGAAAATGGCCGTGTCCTGAATGGTGTGAGCAGGAGGCCATCCAGCCTTGTGCCTCTAGGCCTCCTCCCCTTCAGTTGTCATAAATGTGCCATGTGCCCCTGCCCAAACCCAGCAGCCTTTCTCTGAATTTCATCTGGTTTAGAGAGGAAAATGGGCAGCATCATTTTGTCACCTTCTCTCTTCCCAGGGGCGTTCTGTGCTTCTTGAGAACTATACCTCAATATCTGAGTTGGCTAAGTCTCTAGAATATGAATTTCAAAGAGCTTAGCCTGGCCAGCAGGGCTCTCTTGGAGCCCTTTTTCTCTCCCAGCCCTGCGTCTCCGCAGCCACTCCCCATGGGCTAGCCAGGCTGAACTGCCAGTCATTCTAGCATTTGTGCTTTCTTTGGGCCACTCTCTCTACCAAGAACCCACCTCATCTCCCCAGGCTAGGGGAAGCCTTCCTTCATTCACCCTTAACCCTGTGGCCAGGAGAGTCTTTCTTGGTTACTCTTCGTACTCCTCTGCCCCTACGATCATGGGATTATGGCACTCAGCATGGGATTTTGTGCTTCTCTTCTGAGCTTCCAAAATTACCCCTGCGTCTCAGCTGCCCAGCCAGTGCCTGGCTCAGAGCTGGCATGCAAATGAATGAATGGAATCACAAAAAGCTAAATCACAGTAGAAGAGCCTATACTTTTACCCTCAAAGACAGCTTGGTAGAGAGGAGAAGTAGAGAGGAAAACCAAGAGCCTTGAGATGCTGGGCTGTTTTGATCTTCCCTTGCTGTGTCAAACCCATGAGCCACCTCTGACTAAGCTTCACGCAGGTGGTTTCTGAGGGCTGTTTCTTTGGCCGCACAGCACCGTGGATGGACAGAGGGGTGGCTGGGGAATGGTAAGAGCCTGGATTCTGGGTCAAGCAGCCTACTCTTGAATGCCAGCTCCACCTCTTCTTAACCATGTGACCCTGGGCCTCAGTTTTTGCATCTGCAGAACAGGGCTGATCCAAGTGCCAAACTCAGGATTGGAGTGAGGAATAGCAGAGGTCATCACTACAGCCAGGGCTGGCACACAATAGTGCTCAAGGTATTTTAATGTTACAGGTCAAATTTTGCTAAAAATTGATTTTCGTGTTCCTGGTTTCATGAAGGCAAATACTCCTCTTTCTAATAATAATAGTATTAGCTTGGTATTTATTAGTCTGTGAGCAGTAACTTACTCTGTCTTCACAGCAACCCTGCGGTCAGGTTTTCTACCCATTCTTTTTGAGGGAGGAAGATGCTGTGGCCGGAAGCAGTGAGGGCCTTTGCTTGGGCATCACAGAGAGTGCCATCTCTTACACAAAATGGGGATTTCGAATCTCAACACTCTGAGCTCTGTGCTTTCCCCCAAGACAGGCTACATGCTCCCTGGAGTTGTCCTCCAAGAGAATCTTTGTATGGTTCCTTTTCTGAGACTTCTGGTTTCTTCCTCATGGCTCATATTATGACTAATTTCAGACGCGTTAAATCCCTCTATCTTGAGACTTGTGTACTTGCGTGTACAAGACAGGTAACAGTCTTATTATTTCTGAGAGATCTCTCAAGTACTTTCAGATCGCTGGATGACAAGCTTTGCATCTTTGAACTATTTATATTTCAGTATCTACATTTGTGAGTTACTGGATGGAAATTTCCACCATTCAAACAAAGCTTGGCAAGCAACATTACACTTCAGAATTTGGCTCACGGGCGAGGTTGATGCAGGTTATCTTAGGAGGATGTGAGATGTTATCAGCTCCTGCGTGTTTTAGTCTTGTGGCTAGATGGTCATGACTGAAAATTGAGGATGTTGTGCCCACTGCTCTGGTTGGCAGCTCGTGGCAGGGAGAGGTGGCAGCAGCTCTGGGGTTGGTGGGAGCCACAGTCTCACACCTATTGGCAGGTCGTGAACATTGTTCTTGGATTTGCAAATATTTAATGTAAATCCATTAATGTTGTAGCTTTATAGAAAATGCACTTACTCTCCTTTGTGGTAATTCTAAATTAATATGTAACAAGGAGGTTAAGATGAATTGAACTATATGTGGAGCTTAGTTAAAATTTTCTTTCTCCCGCTATTTCTTTCAAAAAAATGATTCCAGGTGTAGTACTTGTTAGCAAAATGCCCTCAGTAAAGGAGGAGGCAGTATAGGATAGAGCTCAGGAATGTGGGCTCCACAGTAAGAGAGTCTGGGTTCAGAATTGGCTCCACCGCCTACTAGCAGGGCAACTGGGTGACTTACCCCTCCTGTGAAAAGGAAATATTAATAATAAAAATATCCATCTTATTAGATCAAATAGCTTGATACCTGTGAAGCACTGTGACCAGCTTGTGGCACTTAATAAACCATGGCTACCCTTCTTATATGTGATGTAATAAAATCATAATAGCTTAGAATCACTAAGATGGATCAAAGCCTTTTAGTTCTCATTCTAAATGTGAAGTGTGGCTTGATACCTTAGGCTTTAGAAATGAAAGGGAAAGAGCAAGGGTATAGTTGGTGGCCACTGTTGATTTAGTGTTTCCTAGGCGCCGGGCAGTGTGCTCAGAGCCTCACACCTATGTGCTCCCATGAGCCTCATTGCTGCCCTTTGAGAGTGGAGGGGCAAGGGGAGGTGTAGGGGCCTGGTCCGGGGTCACAGGGCTGTAAGTAGCAGAGCCAAGAGGTGACCCAGGTAGCTGCTTCCAGAGCCCCACACTGGTCCCCTGGCTGGGCTACATCTTACCTTTGTGTGTCTTTGGTGACCCATGCTCCTAGAGCCAGCTTCCGGTTGGGGCAGAAGACCGTCCGGGGCCTGGCCCCTGGCTAATACGATGGCTACTGCTCATCTGCTCTGTGTCGTAGATGCTCACATCACTTGGGTGATGAGCCTTTGTCACGTGGCCTCTGCAGAATCAGCTAGCTGGGCAAGGGGCCTAAGCTCCGGAAGGTTCCCCTTTGGTCATTTTTGGGTGTCTGGTGATTGCCAGGCTTCCAGTATCTCACCACTCAAATTAGAGCCCCAGAAAGGGAGCATGGTGTCATTTCATCCCCTGGGCCGTGGTTGTGGGAGCCCATGGTGCCTTCTGCAGGGCACTGGAGAACGCTGTGTGTGCTCATCTTGGGACAGGCAGGAGAGGAGGGCAGGTGGCAGGATGAGGGCGGCTGTAGCCTGCAGGTCACACAGTGTTATGCCAGACCACGGTGCCTGCCACGCTGGGTCTCCAACGGCCACACGAGGCACTGCTTCCATGTTATCAGTGAGGAAACTGTGGCCTGGAGACAGGTGGGCGATGAGTTCAAGTTCCTGCTGCCAACAGGTGGACCCCAGGACCAAGCCTAGCCCAGTTGACCCCTGGCTCCTCCTGTTTGCTCTTTGAGATCATATGAAACAGCCAGTGACTGCCTAGGGCCATGGCCCTTTTCAGTGAACTTGAAACATTAAAATGTTTACTGCCTTCACACTTATGGCTTAAAAAGTTGTTTGGTTTGTGTTTTCTTTGAGATGGAGTCTCGCTTTGTCACCCAGTCTGGAGTGCAGTAGCGCAATCTCAGCTCACTGCAACCTCCGCCTCACAGATTCAAGTGATTCTTCTGCCTCAGCCTCCCACGTAGCTGGGATTACAGGCGCCCATCACACCCGGCTAATTTTTGTGTTTTTAGTAGAGATGGGGTTTCGCCATGTTGGCCAGGCCGGTCTCGAACTGCTGACCTCAGGTGATCCACCCGCCTTGGCCTCCCAAAATGCTGGGATTACAGGCGTGAGCCACCGCACCCAGCCAGAAAGTTAATTTTAATGAGAATGAAGCCGCATCATTGAAAAGTCTGATGAGCTTGGGAGTTGTCTAATGGTGGAGGCTGCCAGCCAGGTCTCATGACCTGGACCAGATTAAGCCCTACTGTCCATCTTCAGGGAGAGTAAACAGCGTGACCAGCACGGGCCACGCTTGCTCACACCCACCAGATGTGCGTTCCCGCACCACCCAGGGGACCGAGGGCACAGGTGGGGAGTTAGGAGGGAATTCAGGGCATGGGCAGACCCTCTGAAGGAATCCAGGAGGCTTGGGATCTGGAATGGACACTCTGGGCTGACAGTCAACAGTCCTGGTGAATAGCATGTTGGTCTCTGGGACTCTTATCCTTCTGACTTTCACAGACACGTAGTGAGAGCACTGGCCACGTTCAGACGTGACTGCCTGTCAGGATTCTGACGGAGGTGACCCTGGCTGGGCCACCAGCTTTCAGCATCCATTTATCGTAAAAGCCAAGTGCACAGTGGAGATGCTTTTCTCCCCACAACATCCGTGAGCTCATCATAAACAGAAACGGGGAAATTCATCAGAGTGTGTTTCTGTGAGGAGTTAAAAAATCCACAGGGCAGTAATCCCAGCACTTTGGGAGGCTGAGGCGGGTGAATTACTTGAGGTCAGGAGTTTGAGACTAGCCTGGCCAACATGGTGAAACCCCATCTCTACTAAAAATACAAAAATTAGCTGGGCATGATGGTACACGCCTGTAGTCCCAGCTACTCAGGAGGCCGAGGCACAAGAATCACTTGAACCCGAGAGGCAGAGGTTGCAGTGAGCTGAGATCGCACCACTGCACTCCAGCCTGAGTGACAGAGTGAGACCCTGTCTCAAAAAAAAAAAATAACAAAAAAAAAACAAAACCCAAAATCCCTAAGGTGTTTATAATTTTATACTGTTTCCTAAGGGATTCTCTTGCATTAAAAATGCCCTGCTGGGTGCAGTAGCTCACACCTGTAATTCCAGCACCTTGTGGGGCTGAGGTGGGAGGATTGCTTGAGAGCAGGAGGTCGAGACCAGCCTGGGCATCAGAGACCCTATCTCTATTAAAAAAAAAAAAAAGCCAGGCATGGGGCATGCCTGTGGCCCCAGTTACTTGGGAGGCTGAGGTGGGAGGATCACTTGAGGCCAGGAGGTTGAGGCTGCAGTGAGTCATTATCACACCACTGCACTCCAGCCTGGACAACAGAGCAAGACCCTGTCTCAAAAAAAAAAAAAAAAAAAGAACTCCCCATGGTGTTTTTGGTTACTTGTTTTACAAATATGCCTGCCATTGAAAGCACAAAACAGTGAAATCCCTTTCTAAAGTATATGGGGCCAGCCACAAAGTAGACTCCAGTACATTTTATTTTAAGCAAAGTTACAAAGCACATGCAGTTCTTACTACTGTATTTTGATTTTCTGAGTTTCCTTTAGGAAATATTGGCTTTTTAAAAAGACTATACAATGGGCCTGGCACAGTGGCTCAGGCCTATAACCCCAGTGCTTTGGGAGGCCAAGGCAGGAGGACTGCTTGTGCCCAGGAGTCCAAGGCCAGCCTCAGCAACATAGCGAGACGCTGTCTCTACAGAAAATAAGATGAGCAGAGCATAGTAGTGTGCACCTGTAGTCCCAGCTACTGAGGAGGCTGAGCGGGGAGGGTTGCTTGAGGCTAGGAGTTCAAGGCTGCAGTAAGCTATGATAGCACTGCTGCATACTCCAGCCTGGGTGACAGCAGAGACCCTGTCCCTAAAAACAAAACAACACAAAAACTCAAACTGCACAATGAGAGAGGAGGAGGGAGCTGTATTATAGATGTGTGGTACCTGGAACCAAGTGGTGACGCTGAGGAGGGCGGAAGGAGCATGATGAGAGGTGGCTGGGTGACTTGGCTGCTGGAGAACGCTGGCCATTAGGGCACATTCATTCTGTTCCGGCTCTTGTGTTATTTCACACTTTCCACATCCCAGTCCTTTAGAGCCGACCATGAACCGGGGCAGTGAACCATATCGTTGTTTGTTGTGTTTTTTGGTTTTTGTGACTTCAGAGGCTGAAGTGCAATGAGGCAATCAAGCGAGCTCCACCATGGCCCTGAGGGCTTGTGAAAATGCAGGTGGCTGGGCTGCACCCCCGGGGGTCTGAGTGAGCAGGTTTGGGGCAGGCAGGGTTCCGTGTCTGATAAGTATGGGGCGATGCTGCTGTTGCTGGTCCAGGGATCCCACTTTGAGAACTGCTGAATTAGAGTAAAGAGGAGTTGATGGCCATGTGGGAGCCACCCTGAGCCCTGGGAAAACTGGAGCAGGAGGTGGCATCACCCACACTTGCACCACAGGCAGGAGTGAGGGCCCTGCTCTCCCATGGTCAGGCAGCCTCAGCATCTCACCACTCCCTGGCCTTCAAAGTCAGCTTTCCTTGTGAACCTGGGTGGTCAGAGATGCAGACAGCAGGGCCAGGTGGTGTCTCACGAGTCGCACTATGAATGTGGGGAGCCCGTCGGCCCCTCCCTCTGCAGGGAGGAGAGTTAAAGCTCATGTCCTCCAGGGTACCTTCCTCGGGGGTGGTGGACTGCTGCACGCCAGGGAACAGGGCAGAAGTGCCTGGATTCAGCAATTTATATTATTATTTAAGAGAGAGCAGATTTTATTTTTATCTTAATCTGTTTCACAGAACCATATTTTAATACCGTGTGTGTGCGCGTGTGTGTGTGTGTGTGTGTGTGTGTGTGTGTGTGTGTGTGTGCGCTGGTTTATAATATCACCTGGGCGGGATAAAGAAGATTAGGTTCCTTTCTGCTTATTTGTAAAACCTGTTCAAGCTGCAGTAAGATTGTCATGATCTCCATCATCATCTGATTTATCCCCCAGCCAGTTCCTCTGTAAAATCTGGAAAGACAGTAGTTGCTGAGGGGCTGCAACAGAGGATTGGCGTGAGAGTGGAGAGGTTTTTGCAGGATTCCCGGCGCCCTGTCCAGACAGCGGTGGTGGAGAGAAGCAAAGAGAAGTGCAGTTTCTATCTAAACTAGTAATTTTCTTTCCTCTTCTGTAAGCCCTCTTTATCTTTGGCTTTTTTTTTTTTTTTTTTTTTTGAGACGGAGTCTCACTCTGTCGCCCAGGCTGGAGTGCAGTGGTGCGATCTCGGCTCACTGCAAGCTCCGCCTCCCGGGTTCACGCCATTCTCCTGCCTCAGCCTCCCGAATAGCTGGGACTACAGGCGCCCGCCACCACGCCCGGCTAATTTTTTGTATTTTTTAGTAAAGACGGGGTTTCACCATGTTAACCAGGATGGTCTCAATCTCCTGACCTCGTGATCCGCCCATCTCGGCCTCCCAAAGTGCTGGGATTACAGGCGTGAGCCCCCACGCCCGGCCTATCTTTGGCTTTAAAAAAATGTTTTAAATTGCTCTTTTCTTGCTAAAACATCACTGTAAGTGATAAAATTATTTGCAGAGGCTGGAACATGAGGTTAGCTGGGGGTGGAGAGGGCATCCTAGGAGTGGACATGGGAGCTCACAGGGATTCAGGAGGGCATCCAGACCCTGAACTTCCTTCGTCCCCTCCCAGTGCAAGGTTCTGACAAGAGCCTGCCTGAGCCCTTCTCTCAGTATTTAGTAACACTCGATCCTAACAGAAGAAGGTCGGCCATTTCCACCGTCCTCTGTGCCAGCTCTCAGGACCAGATTAGAAACACAGTTAACACAGCCATTGCCTTGCCAATAAATTGATAAAGCTAAAAGACTTCAAAAGCTTCTCTTCTGCACTGCATTTCCTAAAGTCTAATTTACAGTCTTGTCTTACTTTGCAATTCCCACTCTTTTTTTTGGTGAAGAAATTGAGCTTTTCCTCATCTAAAATCACGGCAGATTTTGAGTTGCAAGGATCACAATTAGTGAATTTTAAAAATTATACCTGGAACAGGCACATGGCAGTGGTCGTCTGAGAATGAGCTGGGAGGTGTGAAACCTTCTTGCCACTGACACTCAAGGACAGGGCTGTTTACATGACATCCATTTCCAAGCCACAGAAAGCTTGGGAACACCCACTTAGAGCTGAGAGTGACCTTCCCTATGGGAGAGGCACACTTACAAAGGGAACGACCGTAGGCAGGTGAAATCCCCACCTTGCTGTTGGAACCCGAGCTTCAGAGAGGGCTGTTGACTTGGCTGGAGCCATCCGTGGAAGGGGTGCATTGAAACCACAGGTGAGAACTCCATGTGGGAATCCACCACCCTCTGAGAACGACCCTCAGGAAGAGGACCTCCTTCCCCAGTCATGTCCCAGCTCTGCCCCCACGCGCTCCACGAGCTCAGGCCTGCAGTGGGAGCTGAGCGTCTGGAGTGAGGAGTGGTGTTTGCCAGACCTTGTGTTCCCTGGGCTGCCTGGAGGGGCTCCTCCAGTGAATCTAGACACCCCACACTTTGTACCAGGGAGTGGAAAGGGTGATATGAACTTCTGCATCCGAGGACTTCTGAAAAGCCACAGATGGAAGAACCAAAGAAAACAGGATTTACTTAGAAGGTTGAGCCTCTCCACTGGCTCGCATATAGGTCTAACTTACAAGGAACCTGTTGGGTTGTGGTTTTTGTAGTTATAAAAATTATTAAGGAACCAGAAAATTGCATTCTTCTCCAATTGGTTTTAGGCATTCAGTCCAGATACAAGGATTATGAAACTTAAAAAGCAGCATCTTAAGCCCGGCTTAACCCCAAACAACATCTTAACCCCAGTGAAGTGTTCTTGAAGGGTGGGTGCGGCCACACATCCTGCAATCCAGTGCAGACCAGATGGCCTCCCTGGCCAACCACGGGGACAGGAAGAAGAAGGACAGAGGACACAGGAGAGACAGGACTGAGCTGGGTTCCCATGTGGTGTGAGGGAGGCAGGGAATGGCCCAGAAGGCTGGATCTGCAAACAGGAGTCGCATCAGAGACAGAGAAGAGAGCACAGCTCAAGGCTGAGATAAGACCAGGAGAACTGGGGCTGTATTTCCTTATCTATTCCTGAGATCCATGCTTTCTGAAAATCATCTGCACATCTAAGCATCTTGGCACAACTCCGATGAGGAGGGGATGGGGCACCAGGCAGCAGACTCTGATGAGGAGGGGAGGGGGCACCAGGCAGCAGACTCTGATGAGGAGGAGACAGGGCACCAGGCAGCAGAAAGTGCTGACTCAGCAGCACAAGACCACATGGCCGGCTTCCCTTCTTCCTCGGAATGGCCTGGAATTCGATCAAGAACAGCAGCCCCAGGAGCATCCTAGAGAGGTGGGGGCAGGCGGGGGACATGGTGAGGGAGGGAGTGGCAACTCTGGGCAGGTGGCAAGAGCCAGCTGATGAGTACAGGGAGGGAGTTCCCTTCTCCACCCATCCACACTGACATCTGGGGAACTCATTTAAGCTACAGATGCCAGCTTTTGGATTTGCAGAACGGTGCAGTGACTGAATTCGCCATCCAAACACTTAGAAGAATAAATGCACCAGTTTCTACAGAGGCTGTAGATATAAAGCCATTTCTCAAGAGGAATGATAGTTGTCACTGGATATAGGATAGCTTTGAAAAGGAAAGATTATGGAGATATTTGTCACCTCTTTAAGATACTGGCAAAACAATAAAGCTGTTCTAATAATTTACCTGTTAATAAATATTTTCATAAAATAATCTCAGTCCATGTGCAAAAATAATAAACAATGCTGCTTTGCTCTGATGGCTAAAAGAAAGAGATTCTCAGTTCCAGCTTTTCCTCACTGACGTAAAGGGATGGGATATCATTTCATGAGCTTTTAAGTTTCTTCATCATTTTTCCTTTCAGAAAGTAACAAATGTAATTTCAAGATACAATGGCGTATGTGTATATATATGAATATGTATGTATTGATGCTTCTATACATAAAGACACATGTATGATTATATTTTAATGAGAGCACTTTTTTTAAGTCAGGAAAAGACCTTAAAGATTCATATAGTCCACGCTCCACATTTCATAGATTAGAAACCCAAGGCGCAGGCTGAGATTTTTAGTTTAAAATAAACCAGTTTTTGAGATGAAATTCTGGTACTGCCACATCTAAATTTGAATCTTATATGCCTGTATTTATTTGTTCTGAGCAAGAAGGTTTGATTCCATCATTAATTAAAAAGTCTCAGGCAACCAGACTGGGATAAGTTTTTAAAAGAAAAAAAAATCCTACAATTAAAATGAAGCCACAAGACTTAGAATTTGACCGTGATTTTAAAACTATTCTAAAGAAACTTTGTTTTACTTCAAGTTAGACGTGACTGTCTAAGGTAAGGTATATGAACTATTATAAACTTCCCAGAAACAATTTCTAGCTGGTCCTCTTTCTGTTTCTTGGTGAGTTTGTGTCTTTCTCTGAGTAATTTTCAGGATAAAAATATTTGAAATTCTTTTTTCTATTTTCATTATGGGGAAAAAGCATCTTGTCTTCATTCAACAAACTTTTATTATCTGTTATAAGCAAAGTATTTTTGCTCAGTCTTGGGGAGGAAAAAGTAAAGATAGCATGTCCCTCAATGAGTTTATAATTGATAGGGACACAAGGAGCTCTCACTATCAGGCAGGGGTTATCTAAGACAGTGAATAATGCCCAGAGAAGGGTTATAGGAATTGGAGGAGGATGAGAATCTCTGGAGAAATCACAGCCTTTGGAAAAGGCCACAAAGAGGGGCAGAACCCGGGGGCACCCGGTGGAGAACTGAGCAGGTGTGGTGTTTAGAATTTAGGTAACGGGAGAGTATGGTGATGGGCAGTCTTGGAAATGGACTTTCTGGGAAGCATTTGGGTGGAGATCTTGGACTAGACTGGTGACTATGGTGTAGTGGGTTGATGGTGACCCTCCAAAATGGTACATACATGTCCCAACTCTCAGAACCTGTAAATGTGACCTTATTCAGAAAAAGGTCAATTTGCAGACAGATGTGATTAAGTTAAGGATGTCCAGATGGGGCCACCCCGGATTAGGATGGATTCAAAATCCAAGGACATGATCTTACAAGAGAAGAAGAGAAGAAAAAGTCACAGAGATGCAGGGGAGAAGAGACAGAGACATGTGGAGGAGACAGCCCCATGAAGATGGAGGCAGCCGTTGGAGTAACACAGCCACAGCCCACAGACGCCTGGGGCCAGCAAGAGCCTGGAGACGCAAGGAAGGACCCTCCCCTGGAGCCTCCGGAGGGAGTGTGGCATCGCGGACATCTCGATTTTGAACTTCTGCCCTCAGAACGGTGAGACGGCACATTTTGTGGCATTTTCTTGGGGCAGCCTGAGGTCACTAATATTATACAAAAGAAAAGGAAGCAAAGATGGTCATGAGAGAGCAACGTTTTGAAAAAGAAAAGTGGTAGGAAGCATAGAGAGGAGGATAAAGAAGATTAGGTTTCTTTCTGCTTATTTGTTAAACCTGTTCAAGCTGCAGTAAGATTGTCATGATCTCCGTCGTCATCTGATTTATCCCCCAGCCAGTTTCTCTGTAAAATCTGGAAAGATAGTAGTTGCTGAGGGGCCTCATTAGAGGATTGGTGTGAGAGTGGAGATGTGTCTGTTGCAGGACTCCTGGGACCTGTCCAGACAGCAGTGGTGGAGGGAAGCGAAGTGAAGTGCAGTTCTGTCTAAACTAGAGAACCCTGGAGCAAGGAAGACTGTGAGGCACCACCCGTGGGGGGTGCAGGGCAGCTGCCACAGACGTTGTTTGGCTTCATGAAGCTGAGTTGAAGATACGCACCCTCTGTGGCCCAGCATTTTCACTTCGACCTGAATACAGCGCTCTCAGCAGCACTGTTCATAACAACAACAAGACTGGATATGACCCAAATGCTCATTGAAAGAAGAGTGAATAAACCAGGCAGGTGCGGTGGCTCACGCCTGTAATCTCAGAACTTTAGGAGGCCGAGGCGGGTGAATTGTTTGAGCCCAGGAGTTCGAGAGCAGCCTGGGCAACATGGCGAAACCCTGCCTCTGCAAAATAAAAAAATTTAAAAAATTAAAAAAAAAAACACCTGGGCATGGTGGTGCACACCTGTAGTCCCAGTTACTTGGGGGGCTGAGGGAGGACTTTTTGAGCCAGGGAGATTGAGGTTGCGGTGAGCCATGATTGTGCCACTGCACTCTGGCCTGAGTGACAGAGCAAGACCTCTCTCAAAAAAAAAAAAAAAAAAGAGCGAATAAACAAACTGTGATGGGTCCACAGTGGAATATTATACAGCCCAGAAAAGAAATGAAGCACAGTTACAGGCATCAACAAGAACAGATCTCATGGACAAGATAATGGAGAGGGAGAAAAAGCAATTCCTGGAACACATGCAATGTGATGCCTTTTCTAAAAACTTCAAAACATTCAAAAGTCACCAAAATTGTTAAAGGATAAATACGAACGTGGTGCAAGATAGAGAAAAACAAGGATGTAATACCATTCAAGAGAGTGGGGACATCTGGTGAAGGCAGGGGACTGGGATGAGGGAGGGGCGCCGGGCCTGGGGTGTGTTGCTGAGATTACCGCCTGGCTGGCTCGTGGGCACATTTATTTTTCATTGATTTATTCATTTATTTTTCTTCCTCACATCTCACAAGCAAGTGATCTGCACAGAAAGTAAGTGTCATATTGTGTGTGGACTCCGGAGCCAGACCACTCAGTTTAAGTTCTGTTTCTGGTCGGTTTCACTTCTGCTTACTAGCTATGGTTCTTGGGGAAGGTTATTTTAGGTCTCTGGTGCCTCAGTTTTCTCATCTGGGTGTATTGAAATATGGACCTTGCAGGGTTCTGGTGAGAATTAAATGAGTTCTGTGTTGAGAATTAAGTGAGTTAATGTATGCGAAAGCTTAGAATCGTGCCCTGCGGCATAGTAGATCTATATAAGCATCAGCTATTGCCATCATCAGCATCATCATTTTGTAAATGTAAGGCAGTTTGAAATCAAAAAAGTAAAAAGACGGTATGGAGCTGTAAAGAAGTGAGAGGGAGGGCCAGGCGCAGTGGCTCACACCTGTAATCCCGGCACTTTGGGAGGCTGAGGCAGGCAGATCACCAGGGTCAGGAGTTTGAGACCAGCCTGGCCAGCATGATGAAATCCCATCTCTACTAAAAATACAAAAATTAGCCAGGCATGGTGGTGCACGCCTGTAGTCCCAGCTACTTGGGAGGCTGAGGCAGGAGAATCACTTGAACCTGGGAGGCGGAGGTTGCAGTCAGCCGAGATGGCGCCACTGCACTCCAGCCTGGGTGACAGAGTGAGATTCCATCTCAAAAAAAAAAAAAAAGTGAGAGGGGGATGAAGAGTCCTCACTGGGTGAGGAAGGTGCCCGTGTGTTGTGTGTCTTGGGTCACGTGTGAACACATATGGGGGTGCAGGGGGAGGGGGCGTTTAAAGGATTCTAAGTCTAAACCACTGAGGACTCTTGGGGACAGGAGGAGAGATGAAGACTGGAGGAGGAACTGAGGGTTTCTAGCTGCGCGTGTTGACCTTCTCCTGGGGTGGCACATCCCATTGAAGCCATGTTCCCAGGGGACAAGCAGAGTGGACCCAGCTCTTTGGGGACTTTGGTGCTTCCAGTCTTATTTTGAAGGCATTATAGAGGGGGTGGAAGCCAGATCCAAACCCAGTTCACTTCCCATTCCCTGCCCCATGCCTCAGTGGTCTTTGGTTTCCCGTGGGTGCTCTGGGCATCCTGCATGGAGGGGGACTCCAGGCTCCCAGAGATAGGCAGCCGCATGCAGTGGTGCCCAAACGTGGAGGAGCACAGTCCAGCTAGCCTGTTGGAAGAGAGCCCTGAAAACAGGGCTGGGACCTCCCAGGGAATGAGTCAGGGGCCACCCATGAGCCTCCCTGCAGGCCTCCTCTGGTGGCCGCTCATGGTCATTGAGATTTTAGTTCTTTGGGTCACACACACAGTGAGCGCCAGTGGACAGAACTTGCCTGTGTGAGGTCAGGGTCTCTCCCGCGGTACCCTCCATGTGGGCCATTCCTGAGTCTCATTTTCACTGATGGGAACATAACACAAACGTGCTTTGTCTCTCTTGCACTTACCCCTTTCCTCCCTGGCATGCTGTGCTGCTGGCATGGAGGCAGGGTCAGGAGCCCAACAAGGGGTGTGTGCGGGGTATAGGAAGGTGGCCCCCAGACCCCGCAGGGATCGGCTTGGGAGAGACCCACCAGACACATGAAGGGAAGCAACAGCAGCACTAAGTGGTATTGCTGGCAGGAACGGCAGGGATCACAACACAAAGGCAACAACAGAAACGAACACAGGGACAGCTCAGCGCCCAGCAGACATGAACTTGCCTGACCATACCCTGTGAGGAGCTAGGGCTGTCACTATCTCCTCTGGAATACAGAGGCCCACGGTCGGTCGGTGACCTACCCAGGAGGGAAGTGGGATTCAGACCTGACTAGTTTGCCTCCAGGCCCTACTGTTTTGACTCTCCTGATGGTAAAATGATGAGTCTGCAAATTGAACAAGTGCTTGGAGGAAGGAGGTTTGCTTTAGGTTTGGGCAGGAAAGGGAGGACCTGTATTCATGGAGGCCCAACCGGGTGGCAAATGCTTCACAGTCCTGATCTCATTTTGTCTCCCCAGCAGCACCAGGTGGAAGGAGGTACGTGTTGTTACCTCAGTTTACAAATGAGATAACAGAGGCTCAGCGAGATACACTAAGTTGTCTTAAGTCTGAAGATGAATAAGGACTCGATGTAGGATTAGAGCTGTGGCCAGCCACCGTGTGAAGTTTACTTGCTTCTTGGGGCCACAAAACTGGCTCGATGAGCGGGCAGGACAAGGTTGGGATGATAGGGTGGTCCTTTTCAATGGGATGAATGGCAGCGGCCAACGCATGTTTGGGAGACCCTGACCAGACCAGCCTGGTGTGGGGGAAGTGGAGGCGAGGCGGGGGGAATGGGAAACGTGTCTGGAAGGGCCCAATTGTGGAAAGAAGGCCTTGAACCCCAGGCCTAGGCACAGTCGGTCCTAGAGGGAGACAGTGGGGGCCCACCCAGAGAGAGCTGGGAGACTCAGAATCCCACTGGAGCCCCTACTCTTCCCAGGCAGGCCACGCCAGCACTGGCCTTGGGCATGGGAGGGCCTCCCAAGTCATGTGCAGGCCCAAAGTCCTTGCTTTACTTTACAAGACAAGCACAGAGCCGAGGCCCAAGGCTTGCATGTGGCATCATCTCCGTGTCCGTCGAATCTGAAAGGACCAGGGAAGCTCAGGAAGCTGAGTTCAGAGGCATCCCTCTGCTTGGCAGCCACCCTGACCATGCCATTGGGTTGCTGGAAACCCCAGCTGTGGAAACGGAACCGCTGATTCTGAAGCTCTCCCCGCAATGCTTCTTGGATGTGGCCATGCACGGGGGCAAGGGTTTGATGAGAGCATCTGTGCCATTGCCCGGACAAGAAGGAGCTGTTGGCTGTCATTCTTTCCAGAAATCTCAGCAATGTAAATGTTCAGGGAGAGCAATAAGACCTCGTGGTTGCCAGCCAACTCCTGCTTCTGGAAGCTTTCCAAATCTCCCTGTGCCTACCATTGTGCCTGTGCTGGATTTCTGCTTGTTTTTCCTTTTTCTTTCAGAGTTTGAATTTGGGTTTGGGAGGATAGTAATTTGATATATTAGAGCAGCGATAATCGCTGTCATTAAGCAGAACCCAGCTCCTTAATGTCTGTGTGTGGACGGGCCAAGTGCGAGCCAGTGTGTGGGGCTGGGATGCCTGAGAGCACAGAGAAACACAAAGCCAGGGCCGCCGGGCAGCTGGGGCAGGTTAGGGACACTTCTTTCGTTGTCCTGTTTGAGACTCAGCCATGGCTGCTTTGGATGGTCTCTGGTTGGTGTTGGACTATGATTTTTCTTTAGCGGGGGTGACTCTGATGTCATTCAGCTTGGAGATGTGTCCCAAATAAACCTTTAATCACAGAAAAGGTGCTTGGAAGGACAAGGGGCACCTTCCTGGCCCGGTGACTGCAGCTTGGGGATCACCCTCCCATTGCCTGGCTTTCCCTCCTACTTTCCGAGCAACCACCTCTTGGGTTTGGCGTTTTAAGGTTTCCCCACTTGGATTTTAACCCCCATTGGCAGCAGGTTTAGGAAAGCCATCAGAGGGAAGCCCTCCTCCCTGACATCATCCCCGCCCAGGTGGTGTTGGGGCGAGTGAGGTTCTGGTGCTGGGGAAGCTGCTGCTTGAGGATAGCAGTGGGAAGAAGTTTCATGGCAGCAGCTGCCACCTATGTGTTCTGCAGAGCACCTGGCAGGAGAGACTCGCCTTCCCAGTCTCGGCACGCCTGGATGCCGCATTAGCACACAGGGAGGGTCATGGTCAGAGCTTCAGGATGCAGTGGGCGAGGTGTCTAAGATCCAGATGCTAGCCTTGGAGGAGCTGGTGGGACAAAGGCTGTTCCCAGGGATTGCACCTGCCTGGCCCTGCATCCAGGGAGGATCCTTTCAGCTGGAGATGCCGGAAGTTGGCAGAGCTGGGGTAAAGGGCAGAAACATAAAGACCAGGTCAGCAGCAGCTCCAACTAAGGCAGATGCCCAGAGCAGATCAGAGAAGCAGACCAGAGATGAGCCGGCACCGCTGTGGGGGAAGGATCATCCCAGCCATCATGTGGTTTGGGGGAAAGCTGGGACCCCACTTGGTACAATTTAGGAAGGTACAGAAGAATGTGCATTCCATCATGTGGGTTCTGCTTCTCCCCTGAAGCCTCTGTCAAGAGCTGCTTTGGGTCTTGGTATGGAGAAATGCCTTCATTTGGCCAGACCCATCTGGCAGAGGCAGTCACGATGCCATTGGACCCCCAGGCAAGCAGCCCCTCCTAGAGAGCGAGGGTCTTGGAAGGCCTGGTATGACCCCCATGCCACTCTGTTTCCTAGGGAACCCTAAAGGGAAACCGCACGTGAGGGACTCCACTGAGATAACCCTGACGTCACCGTGCCACTGTGCCCCTTGTCTGCAGGGTAACTTGGCTTTGAAGGAGCATCAGGGGACCCTCTGTAGGACTGGGGGTGAGATCGATGGACCTGCCAGCTGTTATTGTTGGGATTATAGGGAAGTGAGGAGGTCGTGTGTGCCTCCTTGGGGTCTGAGTGCCTCCTTGGGGTGCCTAAGGGAGACTGAACATCATTTTGGTGATATTTATTGATGTAACTACTCCCTTTGCACGATATTTATTGATGTGACTATTCCCCATCACTTGTGGGATGCTGAGCTGTGCATAGCACAGTTCAAAATATCTGATCTAAGCAGGCAGGAAGGAGACAGCTGCTGGTGCTGCTTAGAGTTAGGCGCAGGGATGAAACCCATGAGATGAGGAGGCTGGTGGAGGAAAGGGACTGGGGGCAGTGGAGGGATGGAGAAATGGACAGAAGTATGGATGGGGAATGCTGAATGTGAGGGAGACCCCAGAACCGGATGACACAAGAAAACAATCCTTGGCTGTGGCCGGGTGACCATGTTAAGGCCATTAAAGTCATGCTTGGAGAAACCACATAGATGCTTGCAGCTTTGCCTGTCATCCAGTGGACTTCAGAGCACAGCATCCGTTCGAAATCCAGCGGCAGATTTTCATAGTCTGACAAATTAAATCAGCTGTTCTCCTGGCGCCAGAGTGGGCTTCCTGCCCCACACTCACTGAGGGGTGGTAGGGAGGGGTGGCCTGTCCTTTGCACACTAGTGGGCAAATGATACTGTCTTCATTTTATGAGCAGTTCTTGCCCCCTGTGACTTAGAATCCCTCACGTGTGTTTTGAGATCCATTTTGATGTTATTAAGCCCAACTTCCCAGACCTTCTTCCTGTTCTTCTTGTTGGCACAAAAGCCCCCTTCCTGTTTCAGAAGGTGCAAAAAGCAAGAGGATTGATCAGCGCGTGGCTTTGCCACATGATCACGAAAATGGAGGCGGTCGATGAGAAGGCCCTTAGGCATTAGGGGGAAGAAACAAGTAGAGTAAAAAGGAAATGTCACTGGATGTCATAGAATATGGATTTCTGTCCTTTCTGCCTTGAGCTTTCTCTTGGGGAGGGAGGAAGAGGGGTCTGGGAGAACAAGACAGCCCGTTCTGAGCAGAAGCCCCTTTCAGCTCTGGGCTGAGATGAATGGGGAGCGAGGGGGAGGGGAGGGAGTGTAGCGCAGCTGGGCTCATCCCATCAATGTTGGCATCCAAAGAAAAATCACGGCTTTGGGTGGGGAAACTGGGTCCTGCTGTGTAGTTTTCAGATTGAAGTTGATGTGAGACTTGGAGATCATTTGGCAACCTTATTGGTGCTATTGGCATAATTTAAATAATGGGAAGGATTTTATTCTTAATTGTTCCAGCCAGGTTTAGAAGCCTGGAAAAAGACCAGTTCTGCTTTTAGAAGTATAAAAATACCGCAGGGATGGAAAATGCTTCATGCCTGACAGGCAGATGTAAATGATTTCCAGTTATATTTCAGTACCTGCGCAGGGGCAGGGCCCCGTTGCTAGTGATCTGATGAACTAGTCAGCCAGTGGGGCGCGGTGTGCAGGGGGCGTGTGTGTGCACACAGGATGTATGTACATGGTGTGTCTGTGCCTACATATGATAGTGTGTACATGGTGTGTCTGTGCACGCATGATTGTGTGTACATGGTGTGTGTGCACATGATGCACATGTGTGTATATGGGTAGACGTGTATGTGATGTGTGTCTGAGTGCATGGTGTGAGTGCACACATGTCCATGTGTGGGTGTGTGTGCATGCGCGTGTGCCTGTGTGCACATGGTGTGTGCATGGCATGGGTGTGTATCATGGCCTGTGTGTGCACACTGTGTGTACAGGGCAGACGCACTCACTGAGGGCCCCTTCAGTTGTAATAGGCAGAAGGAGCGCACGAGGAGGCTGAAACGCCAGTTAGAATTTCAGCTGTGAGCTCTTCTCTTCCCCACTTAGGGCTGGGATGTTTTCACAGAAATCACAGAGCAGCTCTCAGAGCCCAAACTCATTGTTTCTCCTGGTTTTGTTTGTGTTGACTTTCCCTTTAATCCATGCTCAAGCCCCTCACCTGTTTAGAGGGGATGTGGCCCGACTTTCAATGAAAATCTCTCCAGTTCTCCTGCCGTGGCCTCTCGGGCTCCTGGGGAACAGCACCCTGAGCCTTCTCCTTCTTAACTGGTGAGTTCTGCAGAGAATGGGGCTATGGTTGATAGTGTAGTCTTTGGGAACTTTTGTTATTGGACAAATGTCCACTTTGTTTTCTAGGACATCTCTTTGTGTCCCCCAGAGTGAACCAGCTGGAGCCAGGGAGCCCCTAGAGCAGTAGCAGCCATTAGGGGGAGCCACTGGGAGTCAGGTGCCTTGACTTGGATCCAGGTGTGCACCCTTTCTTTCCAAGGGTCTCTGGGTGAGGCCCGTGACCTTCCCAAGCCTCTCCCTGTCTTGTGAAACCTGGGCGTGATATACCTCCCTTTTAGGGCTGCTGCGATCATTTAGGCAGATTAAACCTCATAAGTGGTTTCCCATACAAGAAAGATGCTAGCAGTGCAACAGACAGAACACTTACCTGCCTGCCCTCCCGCCAGGAGGTGGTCTTCCAACTTTTGCCCGGAGTCTACAGAGGGTGGGCCCTCTCTGCTGGGGCTCCGGGACATGGTCAGGAGAGGTTGGTCTGTCTGTACCGCCATTCTCTTGGCCAGACTGTGGTGTCTGGTCCCTACTCACACCTTCCTGTCAGAGTATCCAGAGGCCGCAGAGTATCCACACCCTGGCTGGGTGTACTGGCTACAGATGGCTGTGGCTCCAGGTCACCTGCGTGCCTGGGTGATGAGAAATAATGTCACAACAAATATCCCATCTGCATTCTCTGGGACACTGACCCATGAAGAGAAAGCAGTTCTCACAGTTTTTACAGGCACAGGTCAGCTCTCAGAGTGCTGGGGACAGGGTTCCCACCAGGCAGCCCTTTCTGCTCCTCCCAGAGACTGATGGCTTCTCTGCATTCAGAGGGATCTGGGAGCATTGCAGGAATAGGCTCTGGCTCTTCAGAAATGATCACGAGCTTAAGGAACTGGGTCTGCAATGTGAAGCCTTAGGTCCACTCTCCTTGGTGGGAGCTCATGCCCTCCCCAGGCTCCAGGACCCAGTCAGGATTCTTAATTCACGTGGCTATGTCAGCGCAGCTGTCACTCCCGGAAATGAAGAGAGACCCCTCTTGCCGTCCTTCTCACATTGCTTGCACTTTCCAGCATGCATTTTGTTGTGATGTTTTGTCTGTAATTGCAACTCCAGCAGCAGCCAGTGTTTATTAACCATTTTCTATATGCCGGGCTCAATGTGAGGCATTTCGAACACATTCTCTTGTTTGGTCTTCACAGACACCCTTAAGGTTAAGTACTCATTTCATGCCCATTACCAGATGAAGAAAACAAATTTTAAAAACTCAAGGAACTTGCCCAAGGTCACACGGCTAATTAGAGGCCGAATCTAGAGCCGATTTGGAAATTTCAGGGCCCACTGGAATCTCCTGGGTCATGCCCCAGGCCAATTCCTTCAGAAGCGTTTCTCAAACTCCCCAGGAGATTCCAGTCAATCAATTTGCAGGCAGCTTTTTGGGAACCCAGCTGGGCTGGAGTCTATGTAGAATATCCATGGCACCCGCAGCCTCTGCAGCATCTGGCCTGAGTTATTCTTCCATTGCCCGGTGCTATCATACAGATACAGGACTGGTGACTACAAACAGTGTTAGCAGGACGTACTTGGAGCTCATTTGGCAGTGGGAGTGGACGTGCTGGGGGCCATCCCCCTTCCACCTGAAGCGTTCTTGTCCTAAAGCATGTTGCTGAGACAGCTGTGTAGGGCGTGGCGGTGACCCTGGGGAAGGACCGTACTGAGAGCTCCAGACTCCAGCCAGCCTCCTCACTTTGGCCACATTCCAACAATGCTTACTGCCTTCCACAGTGGATGAAATATTCCAGAAATCAGAATGTGTTGAAATGTGTGGCAAAGAAGAATGTCATACTTGCATATGTGCTTACACTGGCCACTGAACTGCATACACAGTCCCAAGAGGTCTCCCTGCACCGCGAGGCCCATGCTAGAAAAGGCGTTCTTCAGGAACAGACTGAGGCTTCATGAAGATCCTTCCCTCCATCCATCACTCCATTAATCCTCCCCTCCATTCATCCCTCCACTCATCCCTTCATTTACTCCATCCATCCTTCCTCCCATTTTCCCATCCACTCCATCAGCCTCTCCATCCATCCCTCCACTCATCCCTTCATTTACTCCATCCATCCTTCCTCCCATTTCCCCATCCACTCCATCAGCCTCTCCATCCATCCCTCCACTCATCCCTCAACTCACCTCTTCATCCACTCCATCCATCCTTCCACACTTTTCCCCATCCACTCCATCAGCCTCTCCATCCATCCCTCCATTAATCCTCCCCTCCACTCATCCCTCCACTCATCCCTTCATTTACTCCATCCATCCTTCCTCCCATTTCCCCACCCACTCCATAAGCCTCTCCAACCATCCCTCCATCTGTTCCTCCATTAATTCTTCCCTCCACCCATCCCTCCCTTTATCTCTCCATCTATTTCTCTCTCCATCCCTCCCTTCATGTCTTCCTCTATCCCTCCTCCATCCCTCCCTCTATTCCTCCCTCCATCCCTCTTTCCATCTCTCCCTCCATCCTTCCCTCCATCCCACCTTCCATATCCCCCCCATCCCTCCCTCCATATCTTCCTCCATCCCTTCCTCCATCCCTCAATGCATCCCTCTCTCCATCCAGAGTTCACCACACCCTGAGTCCCCAGTGCTGCACTCCTGAAACTCACTCTGGGATTTGCAACTGGGGGTTGCCTTGAACATGTTCCCTGTGTATCCGGTTGAATTTTGGAAACACCCATATCTCCATCCACTCTATCAGCCTCTCCATCCATCCCTCCATCCATCCCTCCATTAATCCTCCTCTAGAGCATTCTACTAGAGAACAGCCGAGGTCAGCCTTCCTCTGCCTCTCAGGGGAGTAGGGCGCCTGCTGGCAGCTGCTGTAAGACTCGGGATGAGGGCTGCCCCCTGCAGGTGGCTCTGAAAGCTGCAGCTCTGAGTGGTGCCCCCAGCAGCAGCTTTGTTCCCTAATTAGGAGGGCACAGTGGCTGTCTAGAAGCACCCAGGAGGGAGCTGCTCCAGAACTTTCTTTATCAGCTGACAAATCAACCTTCTCATGTGAGGGGAGTTTGAGTCGTTCACTCCAGAATTCTGGAGAACCGTAGGATTCGGAGCTCCTTGAGGGCATAGCCAGTGCTTTCCCTTGTTCCTGGTGGTGATCCAAGCTTGCCTTTCTCTCAGACCTGCCTCAGTTGTCCTGTTCTCATACCCTGTTTTCCCCCAAGAACACAGGGTGCATCCCCAGCCTTAGCTGGATTTTCTTCCACCTTGCAAAGGCCCCTGCCTGGGAGACATGTCTTGGTGTGAGAGAGACGACATTGCGTTCCCAGATGTCGCTGGTGCTGGGCTCAGCTCCAAAGTTCTGGAGCAGAGTCAGCAAAGCACAGCCTGGAGACCAGATCTGTGCTCTGCCTGAGTTTGTAAGTGAAGTTTTGTTGCAGTAGCCACAGCCGTGCATGTACAGGTGGCAGCTTTAGCTTCTGCTAAACTGGAGAGCTCAGTGTTTGTGACAGACTGCGTGTCCTGCAAAATCGAAAATGTCTGTGATTCAGCTCTTCAGGGAAAAAGGGTGCCGATGTCTGGCCTACAGGGCTCAAGCATTGTCATCATGCCCCCATCCAACCGTCCACTCAAGGTGCATTGACTGAGGCTGGCTGGCTGGAGTCATCATGTGGGCCCTCAGGCTATGGAGGCAAATCGAGTGGCATTGCCTCTGCGGAGCTGGCCATTACCTTGTTTCCTAACTGTCACTCATTTGATAAAAACTGACAAGGTTGCTAGAGCCACGTGTTTGCAAACCAGTGGGCATTCGCACGTGCATGTAATCCACACAGTTACTCGGTGATGGGAGTATACTTGAGGGAAAGCAGCTCACAGATTTGCCACTTGCCACAGGTCATGGTTTAGGAAGAGGCAGAGGTGGGGTGTTTTCTCATTAGCCCATTCCCTCCTCCCTTTGGATGGAAGAAAGGAAAAGAGCAGGGGAGAGAGAGGCCAATGGCAAAGGAGCACAGCGGGAGAAAGAAGGCCCCCAGGCTTGAGCGGCCCTGAAGCTCAGCAGCTGTGGGTTGGACGGTGGTGTTGGCTTGCTCTTCCCCTTCCCTCCTGGTTTCTTCAGGCCAGTGCGGCATCCTGCACGTGGTCAGTCCAAGTCCAGGGAGGGCCCCATCACCTGGGGGTGGTCGCTATCAGTGGCAAAGTCTTGTCAGCAGCTCATGGGGCAGGAAGGGCCTATGGTTGGGGGTTTCCTGGCGATCCCATGGAGGAAGGTGAGGATGAGTTGTGTTGCTTCTCGGGTGAAGCTGGTCACGTGGCCCTAAAGGCATTCAGAGTAGATGCTCACTTCAACCCTGCAGGTGGCATTGGGCGGCAAGCATTTCTAGGACCCAGCTTCCACCACGGAGCCGAATGGTGGCCCGGCTGGGGCCAGGGCTCCTCTCGAGGGGGCCTGAGATGCTGAGACCCATGACGCTGCTGCTCCTGCCAGGGGCTCATCACCTGTGAAACACAAGCCGGGGAGCCTGAGTGTGGCAGAGTCTCCCTCCCCAGGGTTCCCTCTGCAGGATTTTGTTTGGGTTCTTTTGAAGTTGAAAAGATTTTCAAAAGAGCTCACCAGAATATCTAAAACCATGTTATTTAGGGAGGAGAGGAGCCGCATGGAAGGGCCCCAACTCCCCAGTGACCCCCTCCACCAAACGCACACCAACTGGTGGCATTAGAGGTGACAGTGCAGCAGGATGGACTTCTTACTTCCCCTCTCAGTCTTTGCACTCAGCCCCAAGCAGCTCCTGCCAAGGAGCCAAGGAGAGGAAAATATCCCTTAGCAGGAAGGAAGGAAAATAGAGGCATCCCAGAAACTGAACAAGGACCCAGAAAGCAAACCCCACCTCTGTTCCCCCATGAGCTACCCACTTTTCCCCACAGCCCCACAGCTGTGTGCCTCCCTCTCTCCCATTTTCTTTTTTTTTTTGAGACGGAGTCTCGCTCTGCCAGGCTGGAGTGCAGTGGCACCATCTCAGCTCACTGCAACCTCCTCCGCCTCCCTCGTTCAAGCGATTCTCCTGCCTCAGCCTCCTGAGTAGCTGGGACTACAGGCGCCAGCCACCACACCCGGCTAATTTTTTGTATTTTTAGTAGAGACAGGGTTTCACCATGTTAGCCAGGATGGTCTCGATCTCCTGACCTTGTGATCCACCCGCCTCGGCCTCCCAAAGTGCTGGGATTACAGGCATGAGTCACCGTACCCGGCCCCTCTCTCCCGTTTTCTACCCTCTTTCTTCTTCTAGTACGGTGAGGTGGGGGCGGGTGCTCTTGTCCTCCTTCCCCCTCTCCACCACCCCCCCTCTCCCGCCCCACCCAGGCAGCTCTGGAGTCCTGCTGGCTGCAAGTTTACTAAACGGAGGCATTTGTGAGGGGATTTCAGATACCCTGCTGTGCTCAGGCCAGGGTGACAGTGTTTTGATGTTTGCGGTTGGAAAGCTGACCTCCTGGATGTGGGGTGACGGGAGCGGCCGGTGGGAACAGTACTGTCTGCATGGCATCTTCTCCCATGAGAAAGGATGACTCCTGAGAAAACAGACAAGCAGGATAGCAAACTCCATCGCAGACTCCCTGGCCTGGTCGAAGGGGCACAGAATCCACAGGGGCCTGGGGGAAGCTTGGGCAGCTCCCCACCCCCTCTCTCCACTGAAACCCCGAGCGAGAGTCCCTCTGTGTATCGGGGACTGCCCGCTTGTGAGGAGACGCATTGCCTCGCTCTGGCTTGGAAGAGGAATGTCCTGCCTGGCCCGGCCCCCTCGGGAAGCTGGCGGGTGAGTGAACAAGACAAGGATGGTGAAACACGCTGCAACCTCGGCCGCGGAGCTCCATAAACACAGGATGGCCTCTTGTCCCTGCTGTTTATCCACATTTATGTTTATGGCGTACTTAACTCACGGAGAGGTCAGAACGCTGAGCTATCAGAGTAACATTTGACATTTGGACAACCACAAAACAAGGCCCTGATTCTCTGCGGGTGCCCACTTCACCTGGTCCCAGCCCAGCCCAGTGCAGGTGGACAACACGCCTTTGTTGGTGCTGCTGGGAAACAAAACCCAATGACCGATCTTCCCCAGGGTCTCTCGAGAAGCAGCCGGCCCCTTTCCAAACTGCAACTCGTTCAATGAAACCTGAGTGAGCTAGTCACTTGCTTATTATGTTCTGCAGGTAACCAGGACTGGGGGGTTAATGGTTCCCAAGGGGCTCAGATCCCTTGGTTGCTGGGCAGGTAGTAGGAGAGGTTTTTCTCACACGAAGCCTTAGGGAGCATGCATTTGGCTTGGGGAAGCATACTTCCTAGCAGAGGCTGCAAGGAGTCCTTCATGTAAACAGGGCTTGAGTCCTCCGTAAGGGACAGGAGACCTTCCCACATCCTGGCAAGAATTCTTCTTTTTTCTGAGGATGTTTTGTGGAATGAAAAATAAATTGAAAGGTAAAGGTCAGTTGCACAAGTGAAGATCTCTTTGAATGGGCATAGGAATTCTTACGGCCGTAGATTTCAGAGCATCTCACTGCATCAGCGCTGCCAGCTACCCTGCCCACACCTGGGTGGTATTCTTAGCCTTAGGTGACCCACGGGGTTTCTTCTTTATGAGGGGAAAGGCTTGAAATTCCTTCTGATCCTCTGTTCAATATTTCATGCGATATCAGACTAAATGCACAATTCTGGATTGAGCTGACTGTATTGATTCAATGGGAATATGCCCACTCGGAGGAGGAGGGAGGGAGGAGGGGAACGGCTGGGAACCGCTCTGCGGGGCCTGGCAAAGGCACTCTTGGCCCCGGGTGCAAGAGCCGCCTCCGGGTTTGGCAGAAGGGGTTGGAATCTTGGATCCTCTGCTGACCTACCGTGTGACCTTGAGCAGGTCATTAACCCTCTCCAAGCTCTTGTATGTCACCTGTAAAAGATGGAGAAGAACACAGTAGTCGCTTGCTGTGAGGCCTAAGCGGAGTGACAGGAGCAAGGCTGGCGCGGTGCCCACCCCAGTGAGCTCTGGCCTGGTGAGGCCCGTTCTGTGACTCATGGCCTCTGCCAGGGGACTGGGCTGGCCCTGCCTGTGCCTCCTTCAAGGGCACATTTCTACAGAGTGAGGAAAACTCTCCTAGCCCCGAGCGATGCTGCCGTGTCCCCCGACTCTTCCTAGGTGTTGACAGTTGACAGGTCTCGGTTCTCTTTGCAAAGCACTGTTAGCTAATGTAGGAAATGTAAACATTCAGTGCCTTCCTGAAATTCCTTCTAGACCGGAACCACCTTGTTCCAGGGGCTGTCTGGCAAGTGGTATAGCCCAGCCACAGCAGCTAACAGGGCTCATGGGATTACTGGGGGGTAATCTCCATCTCAGAAAGGTGCCTTGACTTTTCCATGGGCAAAGGAATGTTGCCTTCATTTCCAAGGGAGGAAACCGTCTTTTTTATTGTTTGTTTTGGAAAAGTTGTATTTCTTTGTTTAAAAATCAACACCTTTGGGGGTTTACTTTAGATTTAAAAGTAGTTAGCCCTGAAGCGACAGGAAGGGGACGTGAGGGAGCTCCTAGGAGTGGGCCATGTCCCAGTTCTGATCTGGGGGCTGGGACCCTGGTGTGTTCGATCTGGAAAAGCATGTGAAGCTGTGTATTTATGGTCTGCGCACTTCTCTGTGTTTTCTACACCTCAGCGACATTTACAGCAAAATGTAATTACTCAGAAGTGAACACAACAGGCACATTTCCATGGCCATTGTCTACGGGTTTCCTGATGACTTCTGTCTCGCCCACTTGGGGAGGGGTTTGTGCTTATGTAACACAAGACAGACGGAGCCAGCAACCCCGTAAAAATGCCTGAAGTAGGTTGATCCTGCCGTTAGACTGTGGGGAGGGGCCAGGCGGCTGGGCCTGCAGTGGCCTCTGGGCATTGCCTGATGGCTCTGGTCCCAAAGGGGTCTGTCCTGTCAGAAGGGAGGTGTGGGAAGAGACGACAAGGCCACGGCGTTGCCTGAGACGGGATGTTGCTCAAGGTTCATTTGTGCCAAGAGCCCTTCCTGTCTTGTGAGTGCCACGAACATTTCCTTCCAGTAACCATTGTGCAGGCTCCATTCCAGGTTCGCGGGGCATGATAATCAAGAAGCTGGTCTTGCTCACGTCCTCATGGAGCTGACATTCTCAGGGCCTCCAGGGCAGTGACAGAGCTGGAAGCAGAAGAAGACGTGCGTCACATGGCGGCTGTCGGATGCCCTGCTCATCTGGGGTGCCTGGTTTGGGGTTGGCCAGCTGGCCTTTAGGAGGAGCAGCTTCATTCCAGCGTTATCTCCTTATACTCATGATCACCGGAATTCGGGATGTCTGCACAGGCTGTCTCTGAATCTCTAATGTTCTAAAAGTGGCTCATTCTGAAGGAGGGGATAACTCAGGAAACTCTTTAGTATTCACTTAATTTTAAACATTACTAAATGCTTCATCTGCGTGGTTTTTAAACATCTGTTCATCCATCCATCTGTCTGTCCCTCTGTCCATCCATCCATCCATCCTTCCATCCATCTGTCCATCCATCCATCCGTCAATCTATCCATCCATTCATTCATCTATTCATCCATCTGTCCATCCATCCATCCATTCATCCATTCATCCATTCATCCATCTGTTCATCCATTCATCCATTCATCCATCCATTCAGCGACACTTGAGTATCTACACTGGGCCAGGGCCGAATGTTTAGAGATGGAAAGGTGAGGTTCCTACTTCTCAGAGGATGCTGGCAAAGGAAAGGTGAAGGGCAAGAGAGAGAAGGTGGAGAGAAAGAGAGAGAGGAGGAGAGACAGAGAGGAGAGAGAGGGAGACAGAGGAGAGAGGGAAGGAGGTGGGGGAGAGATGGCCACATGGGGAAAGGGGGAGGACCAGGAGAGAAGAGATAGAGGAGCGCTGTTTGGGGTGCTGGTTGGTGTGCTCTGGGGAGCTCTCCAGGGTCTTGACTGGGGGCACGTGCATGGGGAGGGTTGGGTCTTGGGAAGCCTTGACAACACCAGGACTCCATCTCTGGCCTTGAGGCCACTAGCTCTCATGGTTTCTGCCCGTGGTGGCAGACAGTGAGTGGGAGGGTGCCACCTCTTGGGCCCTTTGGCTGAGCTCCTCGAGATCAGAGCCAGCTTGTTGGTGCTCGCTTGTGCTGGCCCCCCATCCCCATGCAGGACAGCTTCACACCATCTTTCCGAGTGCACACAGGGGTTCATAGGAGCTGCAGCTGTGCTCGGGCAGGGCTGCACCCCGATAACAGAGTCCAGAGTGCTCAGGCCCTCACGTCCCTCATTCCTGCACCCACAGGTCAGTTTCCTCCTGGAGGCTGCATCCAGTGCAGCAGCCCCGGGTGACGCTTTCTCCCTAGCATTGTGCTCTGCTGTGGGTTGAGTTGCATCCCCCAAATAGATATGTTGAAGTTCTAACCCCTGCTCCCTAAGAATGTGGCCTTACTTGAAACAGAGTCACTGCAGATGGCATTAGTTAAGATGAGGTCATGCTGAAGTAGGGTGGGCCCCTGATCTCATATGACAGCTGTCTGGATAAGAAGATGGGAATTTGGACACAGAGTCACAGATACACAGGGGAGAGGCCCATGCGCAGACAGAGGAGAGATCAAAGGGAGGCAGCCACGAGTCAAGGAACACCTGGAGCACCAGCGGCTGGCAGAGACAGGGGAGGTCCTCCCCTAGCACGTTCAGGGGGAGCACGGCCCTGAGGGCACTTCCAGTGAGGACTTCCAGCCTCCGGGGCTGTGAGAGGATGAGCCCTGGAAAGGGGTCAGCTCTAACACACCACAGGGCGGCCTGACCACTGTTGACTTCTCAGGCTTTCCAGATGTGCACCTCTGGTCCACTACACCGGACTGCGAGCTGGCTCAGGACCGCAGGCTGGGATGGCCTGGAGACATTTTTCTCCACCTCTACAGTCAGTGGTGTCCTGCCGGCCCTGGCCTCCCCCTTAGTGAGGCAGCCCCCTCGCGCACTGCCATAGCTTGCCCCTCGTGGCTTGAGGGATTAATCTATAGGCCTCCCCTTCCTGGACAGGGTTCTTCTCTCTTAAGCCTGGATAAGTGGGCTTGCTCTTGGTTTTGCTTTGACAGTGGACTTGTGAATTGCAATATGAAGCTGGGTGTGGTGGCTCACATCTGTAATCCCAGCACTTTGGGAGGCCCACGTGGGCGGATCACGAGGTCAGGAGATTGAGACCATCCTGGCTAACACAGTGAAACCACATCTCTACTAAAAATACAAAAAATTAGCCTGGCATGGTGGTGCGCACCTGTAATCCCAGCTACTCAGGAGGCTGAGGCAGGAGAATCGCTTGAACCCAAGAGGCAGAGTTTGCAGTGAGCCGAGATTGCGCCACTGCACTCCAGCCTGGGTGACAGAGCGAGACTCTGTCTCAAAATAAATAAATAAAATAAAATAAAATAAAATAAAAGAATTGCAATATGAAATTCAGCCAAGGTGAGTCTGATTAGGAGGGTTTGGGATCAAGGTGCTTCCACTGCTCCTTTTATAGTGAGTAGCTCTGAAGGACCAGCATGCTCTGTTCCTGTCTCTCCCAAGTATGCATCATCTTAGGGAACAAACCATAAAAGGGGCAGAGATAGACTCTGTGGGTTGTCTTTGGAATATCCCAAGGGATTTGCTCCTCTCTGATCATGTAGGTCTGCGGCTCCAAGGGCAGTCCGTCACCACCCTATCTGGAGCACTCTTCTATCCTCCTCCCATCTCTGTCCTCTGGCGATGACCACAGCCCCGGGCACTGCTAGTTGTGCCCCTTGCTAAGCTCCCATATTTTGTGTTAAGGAGCAAGGATTTTCACAGGCTCATAGAGCATTTGCTTCCTTTCTAGGGTAATTAAGACTACACTAGAAACCATCTTGTCCGGTTCTCTTTTACAGATGTTGACATTAGGGCCCCAAGAAGATACGTAGCCTGCTGGTGTCACTTAGGGAATTAATTCCTGAGCAGGTGTCTGGTGCCTGGGGCCCTGCTCAGACCCCATTCTCTCCTCTGGTTCTCGATGGCCCTCACCTCCCATTTCTTTCCATTTCCCAGAGGAGTCTGGTTGAACTTATGGCTTTTTTTGCCTTGATTAATTGACTATGAATTTATGTCCCCTAAAAAAGGATTAAGTTGCATCATTTCTTCTTAGCATGCAGTGCTCAGAGACAACCCAGCAATTGATAAAGACTTTAGGGTTGGTGCAGGGAAAGGGGGAAACAGACACTGATTAAAGATAAATGGGGAGTGGAGCCTTCCTCCCACCCAGGCTCACAGAGGCCGGCCCTGCCCGCCTAGCGCTCTCGCGGGTTCTGGTCTGCAGTTTTTATCTGAGTTCCGTTTAGTGTCTGGTCTGAGGCTCTGGTCTGGTTTGGGTTCTGTCTGGGTTCTGTCTAGGTCTAATCTGGGTTCTCTCTAGACCTGGTCTGGGTGTGGTCTGGGTTCTGTCTGGGTCTGGTTTGGGTTCTGTCTGGGTCTGATCTGGGTCTGGTCTAGGTTCTTTCTGGGTCTGATCTGGGTTCTGTCTGGGTGTGGTCCGAGTTCTGTCTGGGTCTGGTCTGGGTTCTGTCTGGGTCTGATCTGGGTTCTGTCTGGGTGTGGTCTGAGTTCTGTCTGGGTCTGGTCTGGGTTCTGTCTGGGTCTGCTCTGGGTTCTGTCTGGGTGTGGTCTGGGTTCTTTCTGGGTCTGATCTGGGTTCTGTCTGGGTGTGGTCTGGGTTCTGTCTGGGTGTGGTCTGGGTTCTGTCTGGGTCTGGTCTGAGTTCTGTCTGGGTCTGGTCTGGGTTCTGTCTGGGTCTGGTCTGAGTTCTATCTGGGTCTGGTCTGGGTTCTGTCTCGGTGTGGTCTGGGTTCTGCCTGGGTGTGGTCTGGGTTCTGTCTGGGTCTGGTCTGGGTTCTGTCTGGGTGTGGTCTGGGTTCTGTCTGGGTCTGGTCTGGGTTCTGTCTGGGTCTGATCTGGGTCTGGTCTGGGTTCTGTCTGGGTGTGGTCTGGGTTCTGTCTGGGTGTGGTCTGGGTTCTGTCTGGGTGTGGTCTGGGTTCTGTCTAAGTTCTGGTCTGGCTGTTCTAGTCTGCGGCTCTGGTCTGGCCTGGGTTGTGTCTAAGCTCTGGTCTGGGCTACCATCTGGCTGTTTCAAATACTGAACCTGGGCATCCTGCACGGGGCTGATGGGCCTTCACTGGGCCTGGCTCTGGCAGTCTCTGCACTTGTTATCCTGGGCACTCACTATCCCAGCCAGAAAAACAGTGGAAGACAGTGTGCCCTGTGAACGAGAGCCCACAAGGACAGGGAGGCAGGTGCATGTCCATTATGCCAAGAAGTGGGCTGAGCAGAGCTCAGGGGTGGGAAAGTAGGGCAGGCGGGGTGGGATGGTCGCATCTTCGCTTTATATTTCTGTAATGGGAACCAAGTGGAGGACTCTGCGGGGAGGGTGATTTCCTTACATAAATAGAGGTAGGGGTGTGTGTGTGTGTGTGTGTGTGTGTGCGCGCGCGCGCTGGATACTCAGGAAACCCGACTACCACAGGAAGCCTCTGGCTGGTGTTTCCTGGGCCCCTCAGCCCAGGACTCACTTTTAGATGTGCACAAGGTCACTGTTGTACCCGGGCTGTCCCACAGCAGGGCAGACTAATGTTTACTGGACTTTGTTTCCAGAGCCACTTTTAAGATTCTTCAATTCCAAATGCATGTCTTTTTTTAAAAAAAAGAAAGAAAGAAAAATAAGTTTCTAATATTAGAGAAGTACAGCCCTGAATTGGGTTTTGTGTCCACTGCTGGACCCCATGAGGGCCAGGTGGAGTGGACCTCTGCAGCCCCAGTTGTGTGCACTCTCTGTTTGGTGCAAATTCCAGTTTGCTGGTTCTCAATAGCAAGACCAGCCTGAGACCACCTGTCCTGCTCTTCCCATGAGAGGGCCGAATGCTCCCAGCCTCCATGCCATGTCCTGTTCCTGGGGTCCTGGGGGTCATTGCAGCCTGTATGTGCTTCCTCCAGCCAGGGTGATCATCGGGTGCCCCAGTGAGCCCCAGCACTGAGGGTCAGCCCCAGGCACTGTCAAAGGTGAGAGCTCAGAGGCTGTGCCCAGAAAGAGAGGTGGGCCCTGCCTGCCCTGGACGGAGGGAGAGAGGCTTCTCAGAGCCCGAGGCATGAACCCTCAGGTGGGTCGTGGCCATAGTCAGATGATGGCTGCTGGTGAGCTCAGTGACCAGGCGTCTTCAGGCAGCTCATAAGTTTGAGAGGACACAGCCTAAGGGAGGTTTGCTGGGGAGTAGCCCCACTTCCACCCTGAATAGACAAGAGATGGTAAAGCAGGTACCCAGCACTTAGTGCTTTCTTGGGGATATCGCGTGGGTCCCCGGGGGCCTGGGTGCCCGAAGTGCCGCAGTACTCCATGGTGCAGAGAGCTTGCTCCTGTGGAGGAAGTGTCTATGTGGTCCCCAGCTCCTCTGTCTGCCTGTCCACTGAGGGGCACCCATGGCTCAGCAGAAGGGCTATTCTTGGGGTTCCCGGTCCTCCTCCAGCCCCGCTAATCTGTGTAGGCCTCAAGTGCTGTGTGTTTGTAAGCATTGTCATCCACAGTCCTATTGTACGAGCTGGTTCACCCGCAGCTCTGAGCTGCTCTCCAGCCCCAGCCCTTTCTTCCTGTGCCCCTACCCCCGCTGGGATGACTCTCCTCACCCTCCCTGGGGCGACAACCGCCCTGTCTGTAATGAGTGGCAGTCCCAAGCTTCCTGACTGGCTTCCGCAGCTCTCTGACTCCCCTAAACAAGGCCTCAGGGACTCCACATCCAAATTAAGGCGGCACCTGGTGGCAGGTTGGCATTTTCCGGTGTCCTATCTATGAAAGACAGGAAGACAGCTGGGAGCAAACTCCCCTGGGCCAGACTCTTGGAAACATAAAGGCTTGGGTGCCCAGCTGGGGACCGGGAGAAAGTCTAAAACACGGGACTGGGCCAAGGACCCCACAGGTCCCTGTCTCATTAGGTCCCCTGAAACGTGTGGAAGCTAAAATGGCATTCACGTGATTCTTGATCATTTAACAGTGGATTCTGATCTGATACTACACTGAGAAGTGCCCCTGGGCCGGGCGCGGTGGCTCACGCCTGTAATCCCAGCACTTTGGGAGGCCGAGGCGGGCGGATCACAAGGAGATTGAGACCATCCTGGCTAACACGGTGAAACCCTGTCTCTACTAAAAATACAAAAAATTAGCCAGGCATGGTGGCAGGCGCCTCTAGTACTAGCTACTCGGGAGGCTGAGGCAGGAGAATGGTGTGAACCCGGGAGGCGGAACTTGCAGTGAGCCAAGATTGTGCCACTGCACTCTAGCATGGGCGACAGAGCAAGACTCAGTCTCAAAAAAAAAAAAAAAAAAAAAAGTGCCCCTGGATTGGGAGACATTATCTATGCATCCAGTTGCTTCTGTTTTATTATTTACAGCACTTTTAAACAGTCTATTTGAAAAAAAATTAATGTGGCTTTGCTTGGGATGTGCAGCTTTTCCCCTTTTATAAAGCTCTCAGATGGAGACTTGGCAGAAATTCCAAAGCAGTTTGGTGTGGCTCCAAAATGACAAACTTTCTTAATTATTAATTAAGGGATTAATAATATATTGATTATTTAATCATATGTTGATTATTTATAAATAAATCATATATACATAATTTATACTTATGTAAATATATAAAGCATAAATAAATAATTTGTAGATGCAGTAAGTGAATTATTAATTAAAACAGACACATGCATGGCATCTCGGGGCAGGAGCAAGCTGGTAGTGCTGCAGCTCAGAGCTGGGTTCTGCCCATACTGGCCGAGGGCTTGGGCAGGTCACCTGGGCCCACCGGACATCGCTTCCTCACTCTGAGACGGGAATGGTGGATTCCCCATAGACTAGACAATGAGTGGGAAAGTGCTTTGTGAGCTCTAAAGCATTACACACGTGCTGGTAATTATTATCATTATTATAACCTGTGAAATGCAATTGAAGACGTAGACCAGGGAATTCGAAAGACATGAAGTTCATGTTCTTCCCTGGAATGCAGCCTTTTCTATGATGCATGTCAAAGGTTGCCTTTGGCCTTGGTCATGTGTACTTGAACATTTGCATATTTACTGCATTAGAGATAAAATGAAATGAATATGAATATGATCTGCTTTTTTGCAGGATACAAGACCCTCCTGAAAGGAATTTCCGGGAAGTTCAATAGTGGTGAGTTGGTGGCCATTATGGGTCCTTCCGGGGCCGGGAAGTCCACGCTGATGAACATCCTGGCTGGATACAGGTGAGCAGCCCTGCCCAGGGCGCAAAGTTCTCTCCCGGGTGTCAGGCCAGCAGTGGGAACAGTGGAGCTCCTTCCATCAGCCCCATCACCTGGAGCAGGCTGTGGTCTACAGCAGTAGTCCAGGGGAGAGAGTGACATTGAGAGGCTGCACTTGCCAAGGGCCATATGATGGGTGGAGAGCCACACTCAGAGAGGGGTCCCTGGAGACAGTGGCCACAGCAGCACCCTGGATGAGCTCAGCCTGGCTAAAGGGACAGGAGGAAGTAGGAAGGTCAAGTTCAGGGAGAGGGGTGGCCAGAGAACTTGGAGAGAACAGGAGTGAATGCAAGTTGAAGAGAGACAAGGCATTTTCAGAAGAGAATGAGAACTGTTTGGCTGGGGCTTGTGATGGTCTTAGTTGTTTAGAAGTTTGAGCCGGGTGTGGTGGCTCGCACCTGCAATCGCAGCACTTTGGGAGGCCGAGGTGGGCGGATTACCTGAGGTCAGGAGTTCTAGACCAGCCTGGCCAACATGATGAAACCCCATCTCTACTGAAGATACAGAAAAAATTAGCTGGGCGTGGTGGCAGGTGCTATAATCCCAGCTACTTAGGAGGCTGAGGCAGGAGAATCATTTGAACCCAGGAGGCAGAGGTTGCAGTGAGCTGAGATCACACCACTGCACTCCAGCCTGGGTGACAAGAGCGAGACTCCATCTCAAAAACACACAAACAACAACAACAACAAAGAAAAACAACAAAGAAGTTTGGCGACCATTGTGTCCAATGTCATCCATTTGGGAATGATTAGAAAACTTAGAATCTTTAGAAGTGTTTAGAAAATGCTCTGTTAAAGTCAGTTATTTTCATGTCTGATTGGTTTTATTTACTAACTTTGGCAAATAGTAATAATAGTAATAATTTCATTTACTGAAAAAATGGCAAATATCACCCTTTTCCTTAGAGCTTCTGAATTACACCTTAATGCCAGAAATTGGGGTTTGAAAAAACCTCACTTATGGCAAATTCCTGCCTGTGACAGTCACATCTAAAGGTTGAAGTTGAATCCTCAGAGTGAGGCAGGGCCAGAGAGGAGTGGAGTATTCTTGCAGGGGTGGCTGTTTCTCAGATCATCAATACACCCACAGCTCCTGGCAGCCTGTGTGGGTGCTTGGCATCTCGGAGCTGCAGAGGCCACTCAGGATGGGGCCTTCAGACCTGGGGATCCAGGGGAAGCCAGTTGACCCCAGCCTGTGCCTGGAGGAGAGAAGAGACCCGGCCGCAGGCCCACAGTCATAGTAACAAGCTGAGTAAAGTTGGAAGCTAGACATGCTTTCATTAGTCTCCGTAGATTCGCCTCTGTTTTATTCCCCATAACGTCTAGGAGGTAGGGCTAGAGAGACTGGATCCTTAGAAGCACAGTGTGTAGACTGCCTGTGGCATGCACCAGCTCCCGGGCTGCACTGATGCTCCCAGAACGGCAGGCAGCAGAGGCGCACAGTAGGTCTGCAGTGAGCCGATGAACCAGCCAGTGAATGAGTGTGCCTGGTGAGGCCGTGCCTGCCTTGCATGAGCACCTGGGAGGCTCTCAGCCTGCTCAGCAGAGAGAATTCTCCCTGGTGGAGAAGGGCCATCCACTCGGCTGAGCTGGTCCGGGCCCCAGGCCCCTCTCTGCTCCTTCCCAGGCCTGAAGTCTGCAGAGGTCCGGCCTTTGGGCAGTTGGGTGTAGCCTGAGCTACACACAGAATTGTTCAGAAGCCAACGTTACAAACCCCCACAAATCCAGGGGCTGTACATCCTGACCTCGCGGCTGCTTATAGGACCATCCCTGCCAATCTTTGTTTGGCAGGTCAAGAAAGTGCTGCCGTTACCCTTAGTATAAACACACCATCCCACGGAGGCCTGTGTGCAGCTTCCTCTTCCCAGCAGGAGCTTTCTCTGTGGAATGTCTTCCTCCCGATCGCTGCAGTGCTAGCGAGGTCCGGTCCCTTTCTGCCCCTCGGGGTCCCCGTGGCCAGTGGTTCAGCTGGGAAGATGCTGGGAGGCAAGCCCCCGTCTCTGGCTCCCCTCTCCTGCCCCGGGAGGTGGAGGAGGAGCAGGAGCCCGGCTGACGGCTTCTCCTGTCCTTGGTTCTGCAGGGAGACGGGCATGAAGGGGGCCGTCCTCATCAACGGCCTGCCCCGGGACCTGCGCTGCTTCCGGAAGGTGTCCTGCTACATCATGCAGGATGACATGCTGCTGCCGCATCTCACTGTGCAGGAGGCCATGATGGTGAGCTCCGCCCTGCCCCGCCCCACTCCGCCCCTGCCGCCTGTCCCCAGCGCCCACATTAGACACAGCACTGGCCGAGTGCCCAGCTGCGAGGGACCCAAGGGCTCTGCCACGCGGCCTGCACAGGGCCAGCAACCTCCCTCTAGCGGAGTTCTAACACCAGACTCGCTGTTGGGACAGGCAGCATCATCCCAAAACCCCCCAAGACTGTGAGTTTAATGGACCTTGTTTGGCAGGGTTGGGGTCAAGTTTCTGAGAAGGTTATTAACCCGGCTGGCTTGGGTGATCCTCTCCAGGGCAGCCACCATACTATTTCTCCTGCAGGCCAGTGCTTGGGATTCTCCTTCCTGTCAGCTATCCTTGAGTCTTTCCGTGTCTTTGGCCCAAGCACCCACTCGCCTGGTGCCTTGGTCAGGATACCAAGGGTCTATTCCTCTGACTCACCTGCCTCCCAGGTGGGAAAATGAAACCAGCAGTGGCCGAGCATCTCCTGGGTCCCAGGCCCTGAGCACATAGCTCTACACACACCAGATATGTCATCCCAAAAAAGTGGGTGGGAAATGGAGCTTCCCCCAGTGAAGCCAGGAGCCCAGGGTCACACGGCTGCTGATGGCCACACGTGGCCAGGGCTGTCTGTCTCCAAAGGCGCACCTTTAACTGCCAGCTCAGCTTCCCTGCCGTGCACCTGCTTTATCCTCACAGCCTCAGTGTCCTCATCTGCAAGACCGTATGGGGTTGGTGTAAATATTGAAAGGGAAAATACAGGGAAGGTGGGGTAGAATTCTGACATGCAGTTGGTGCCTAATCAATTCAACTTGGTCACTGTTTCTTTTCACTCCTAGTAAGCCTCCCCACAGTATCTTCACTTATGTCCTCTGTGGATAAATCCAGTATTTGGGGAAGTTTAAAAATATCTTCCCCTCTTGGGGCCACAGAAGGGTCCAGGGGATATCCTCTGCCTGGGTTTCTGGAATAGCTGGTTGTGCTCCTTGGACAGACCGCGACCCAGCCAAGTGCCATGCATCTGGGTTTCCAGGGCCTTTTTTTTTTTTTTTTGGGGACAGAGTCTCGCTCTGTCACCGAGGCTGGAATGCAGTGGCACGATCTCAGCTCACTGCAACCTCCGCCTCCCAGGTTCAAGCGATTCTTCTGCCTCAGCCTCCCAAGTAGCTGGGACTACAGGCGCCCACCACCATGCCCGGCTGATTTGTGTATTTTTGGTAGAGATGGGGTTTCACTATGTTGGCCAGGCTGGTCTTGAACTCCTGACCTCGTGATCTGCCCACCTCAGCCTCCCAAAGTGCTAGGATTACAGGTGTGAGCCACCGTGCCCGGCAGGGGCCATTTTTTTTTTTAAAGGCCCAACTCATGGCGACTGAAACCACACAGACCTAACTGTGAGCAGAGGCAACCACCAGAATCCTCCCATTAAGAGGAGATTGAAAATCAGTGTGCAGCTCCAGTTGCCAGTCATGGCTGGCTTTATGTGGGGGACTGTTTATATTTCTGCTTCCTCCTTGTTCGCTGCAAAAGAAGAGTCCCCAGGCTTCATGTCTCTCCTGGCACCCTAGGGGGCATCCTCAGCTTGATCTGCTCTGTGCTTTGGTCAGTAGATGGGGGTTCGCCTTGGTTTTCCACCTGGAGAGACCCTGACTTGGGTTGGGCAAAGCTTCTTCCCCATGGTGTCTGAGAGTGGCACGTGAAGGGCAGTGCCAAGGGGTTCTTAGCTCAGCAAAGAGAAGCAGGTTACGTTTGCAGACACATGATCTGCTCCCTAAACTTCTTTGTGGGGAAACAGAAGCAGGAACCTGTGGGGCTGTTCCCATTCGTGTTCCCTGGTCCTGCGTGTTCTGTGGGTAAGCAGACGCCATTCCCCTGGGCCCAGCATCCCTGGGCGGTGTGTGCCCCATGGAGCCCTGACTGCTGATCTGGCCTCCAAATGGATGTTCAGATGGGGCGCAGAGGACCTCTGAGGAGTTGGCGAACAGATGCTGCAAAGCAGTCGTGAAGTTTTTCTTGACCCTAATGTTCACTGTTCCATGTATGCCCTAAGTGCAAACTCCATGCACACCCTCTTGATTCCTGAACAGCTCCTGCGTCTTGGGTAGCCCGAGTTTGACTTCTCAGTAAGTTCTTGAGTGAACCCCATGGCCACATGCTCGAGACCCTTCACTGGGACCGCAGCTCAATGGCTGCATTCTCCACAGATGCGACTAGGGACTCCTGCTGTCCTCTCCCAACCTCGCCACCGAACCTGCTGTGAAATGATCTATTTTCACAATCAAATTCAGTTCGATTTTGATTCTGAGAATTTCATGAGGCCCTGGAGAAATACTCTGAGGCTATGGTACATGTTACCACTCAAGGTCCTGTCTCACACGGAGGAGATATTGGCCGCCCGTTGCGGAGTCCGGATCCCACATCAGACACAGTTGTGCATGTTTATGCTTTTCATCCTTGCAGCCAGGCAGACTGAGAAATGGCAGGCAGTGTCACATGGCAGGAGCGTGGGCCTGACCCTGTCCAGCTCTGGGGCCTGAGACCTCTTTGCCCCACACCCCGCCCCCCTCCCCGCCACCGCCCTGCATCTCACCCTCTCCTCTGATCCTCACAGCAACTTCTCTAGCTAATGAGGTGGACAGAGCTTAACCTCACCATTGTGCCAGTGAGGAAATGGAGGTTGCACGTTTGCCCAAGGCCACGGGAGGCAGGAGGGTGGAAGCAAGGCCCGTCCTGTGCATGGTGATCTACTCTGGGTTTTCCCAAGCAGGGCCAGGAGCCCAGTGCTGTGTTAGCAAACGGGATCTCAAAAAACACAACAACAACAAAACGCGGCATCCTGACGTGTCGCCCTCGTAAATTCCTGTGCTGTAAAGACTCTCCTGTGGATAAGTTCAAGCCTCAGCAGTTTAACAGGCGGTTTGTGGAATTCCTAACTCGCACCACTGGTTCCGCCCAGGCTGGTCGCCAAGCCCCTGATGCCTGGGGCTTTCTTACCTCTAAATGGCCCACATCTGACTTCTCTCCTGGGTACAGCAGAGAATTCAACTGAGATAGCAGGAAGCATCGCACATGGACTGCTCTCCTGCCATCCTACCATTGTTAAAGCAGGGGCATCGGAAGCCAAGAACTCCTTGGGTTTTCCATGATGATCAGCTAGCTGCACGGTGGCTAGTGGCACCGTGGCTAGCTGCATGGTGGCTAGTTGCACCGTGGCTAGTGGCCTTATGCCTAGCTGCACTGTGGATAGCTGCACCGTGACTAGTGGCACCGTGGCTAGCTGCACCGTGGCTAGCGGCATTGTGGCTAGCTGCACTGTGGGTAGCTGCACCGTGGCTAGTGGCACTGTGGCTAGCTGCATCTTGGCTAGCTGCACCGTGGCCTGCAGTGCGGGCATGAGGCTCACACTGCCAGTGGCCGTCTGTTCTGCTTCCACACTGTTGTCCTTGTCCCCTGCAGGTGTCGGCACATCTGAAGCTTCAGGAGAAGGATGAAGGCAGAAGGGAAATGGTAAGTGGGTTGTTTGGTGCCCACAAGTGGTCCAGAAAGTGCATGACGTGCATGTGGAAGGTGTGCCTGCCGGGGCATTTTGGCATTGGCTTTTGTTTGTTGATTTGTTTTTGCCTTGCCTTCCGTGTGTGGGACAGGCAACATTTCAGGGAGTGCTGTGGCCTGCAGCAGCCAGAGGCCAAGAAAGGCAGATCTGGTGCACACGCTCATGGCTTTGATTCTCAGATTCAGGAGTCGGAATGTAATGTGAGGGACAACAGACTTGGCACTCATGGGGCCAGAAGATGCCAGCTTCAGGGTTAGACCAAGAGTGCTGCCCTTTTAGTGTTTAATATGATCGATATTAAATTTTTTATAAGACAATAACAATGAAGATGGTTAGTCATTCGTTTAAAAATAACCACCCTCCATCCACCTACACTTGCAAGAAGAAATTTAGTTCTTACATGTTATTAACCGGCCTCTTAAAAAAGAAAATAAATACGTTTCCAGGATGATGAAGACTTTCTAATCCCTTTAGCCATTTTTTTTTTGGCTTCCTAAACCCAGGGAGCAGGGACAGATGCAGGTGGGCAGAGCCAGGGGGAGCAGCAGAAAGCCACACAGAGGAAGGAGGCCACCAGCCTGGACTCACACACCCTCCACGGGAAACCCACTGTCCTCCTCTCCACTGCAGCTAGTGCTGGTGGGATTTTCAGTGTGAGATGGAATTTGGGGAAACCCCCCTTCTATAAGATTATCTTTCTCTCCTAACACCCTTAAAGGCTCACAGTCTGGCAGCAGCTGAGAGTGGGGTTTGCCGGGTTAGTGCCAATGGCTCGACATGGCCCTTTGTGTTCTGGTATAAAATGAAGTGATTGATGGGACAGAGTCAAACATACTGAGGAACAGTCATAGCAATTCTATTTCCGGCATTTCCCCCTCTCCGGTCATCTGTAATAGCTAATATTAAGTAAATGTAAACCACTTTGGTATGGAAAAAAAGAGTTGGACAACCTTAATGCTCCTCCTCCCCCATCAACTGTGCCCTTCAAAACTCAGGATTCAGCCCGTGTCACCGGGGCTGGGGGGTGAAATGCCCGGTGCAGGTGGAAAGAGCCTAATGTCTGAGAGAAGGAAAATGACTCTTTGTTGCTACAGAAAATGTTCTGTGTGGAATTCTTTTATTCTGAGATTGAAAAGAAAATGGATGAGTGGAAACCAAAAGAGAGAAAATGTGGAAATCACATGTGTTCCTGGCCCTTCATGGGGGCAGAAGACCCAGCCTTGTGAGTTTATTGTCTAGGCTGAAAGGCGAGAGCCCCCTCTGGATAGTGTTTTCTAAACAATGTAACGTAGACACCCCCCCACAACACACACACCACCTCCCAAGCCCGAGAATGTTACTTATACCAAGTTATGGAAGATGAGTGTTATGGCCTGAATTCCCCCCAAAAGATGATATGTTAAAGCCTACACCCCAGAAACCCAGAAATGGCTGTATTTGAAGATCGGGTCTTTACAGAAGTAATGAAGTTAAAATGGGGTCATATGGGTGGGCCTCAGTCCAGTCTAACTGTGTCCCTGTAAGAAGAGGAGAGGAGGACCCAGACACACCAAGGGATGGCCCCGTGAGGACACAGGGAGGAGGCGGCATCTGCCAGCCCAGGAGAGGGGCCTCAGGAACCAACCCTGCTGCCCTCGATCTCAGACTTTGGCCTCCAGAATTGAGGCGGGAGTTTCTGTTGTGGAAACCAGCCAGTGTGGGGGACTTCGTTACAGCAGTGAACGTAACAAACGAGAGCCTTAGTTCCAGGCACACAGAAGAACATGGAGAAAAGCAGGTGTCAGAGCTGAGTCTCGGCGAAGTCTCCCATGGGAGATGAACCCAAATCAACAGAACGGGGCCCTGGGATTGAGCCAGGGCGACCTTCACTCTCCCTGTCTGAGGTCAGTTTTGCCACCCCCCAGTCCTGGGCCCTCCTTGCCATCAGCTACAGGACAAGAGGAGAGGCCGGCAAGAGTGTGCAGGGCCCCCATGAAGCAGAGGCTTTTCCACCCGGAGACTCAAGAAGCTGCTCCTCCCGAAGCCTGGATGCAGTGCCCCTGGATCCGCCTTTCAGGGCCCTCCTTCCCATCCCCCGGCCTCCCTGCTTTCATGGGGTGTCGGAAGCACAATCCAATCTCTTTGTCTCGGATAGCCCTCCATCGAGGTCCCAAAGACCCCTCCAGATGCTGGCCTGCAAGCTGAGGGGCGGCTGTGGGGGCTCCAAGGAGAGACGGTGGAAGTGGTCACTGATGCTCGGCGTGGAGGAGGAGCCAAGAGCTCTGGAGAGGGAGGCGCTGGAGAGAGGGAATTCTGTCTCTCTGACCCAAAATAAGGCCCAAGGACAGAGCAAACGGTGGAGAGGGTCTCGGGGATCACCGGAGGCCGGGGGAGCAGACGCAGGAGGCGGAGGGCGGAGAGACTTGCTAACACGGAGAGGCCCTGTGGTGAAGTAGAGCTGAGCACACGGGGGAGCCCTCCATCCTGGCCTCCTGGAACCCACCGGATGGCCTTGGGCCACTGCCTGCTGTGCCCCGAGCCGAGCTTCACCTGTAACGTGGGGACAGGAAGCCAGGCCCCACCTGCCTTTTGGGGCAGTGCAACCTGAACTGGATGGTTTCTTTAAGGTCTCTGAGCTCGATGGAGCCCATGTGATCCATATGGGAGGGGCTGTGGGATTGCTTCCCTGCAGCATAAGGCGACAGCCACCAGCCTTTTCCGGGGTAGCTGGTGAAAGTCGCTCTCCCCATGGGCTGGGCGCACAGTGAGTGCTGCTCAGCAGGCTCCGTGCTGAAGTCACAGCAAGCCAGGCCCTTGGCCTGCCGGAGCTGGAAGACCCAGAACAAGCTGGCATCTTGGTGGAGAATGGAGGCGCCTCCCAGGAGTAGCTACACGGGACCCGAAGGCAGATGGCACCCATAGGTGTGTGTCCTCGTGGTGCCTGGGCCCTGCCTAAGACACGGCCCGGATGAGAGCCTCCAGCTATTTTCAACTGGGTTTACAAGGGCAAAAATATCAGCTCATGTGGCTGAATCATCCCTGAGGGGTGAGCCCCTGGCGCCGTCCTCAGATTCCTCTTCGGCTGGATTGAACAATGCAGAGAGCCCTCCCCACAGGACCTGGAGGCCACGCTGCGTCCTGCACATGCTCCTCACCAGCAGACCCAGCTGTTCCTCAGCCATGGCACAGGTGCATGCCTCGCCATCGGGCCCACCATCAGGATTGCTTCAGGAGAACAGGGCAGCAACTTTGTGCCTTCACTCACTTCCCTCCAACCCCCGATGTGCACCTAGGTCAAAGTTCTCTCTCTGTCTCATGGAAACACAATGGGATGGAATGTTCTAGAAGATCATGGAATTTTTGCTGTGTTGTTCACGGCCTTCCTTAATTCCCAGCAAAGCAGCCTCAGCCCTCCAGAGCCCTCCAGCAAGGCCACTTCCTCAGGAGTGAGGTCTCCAGGGGCAGCCTGGGCTGCCGAGATCCTCCCTGGAGCGCCCGCCGGGAAGCCCCAGGGGGGCTGGAGCTACAAGTGGCCTTGCAGGTTTTTTGTTTGTTTGTTTAGGGAAAATGTATAAATAACTGAGATCATTGTTTGTTCTTTCTGACTAGTCTTTAAAACAGAACCCTTCTGGGTGGCATCACTCCTGAGCGGACACTGGAGAAAGTGGGGTGGGCCCAGCTCATGGGCAGGGGTGCGGAGGGAAAGGCACCCACAGCGGCCTCCGCTTCCAGCATCCCCTCCGTGAGGGTGGAGGGAGAGAAGAAGATGTGCCGCATGTGTGGGGCCCCCACAGTGAGCCTGGAAGCACCAGAGCCACTCAGTCGGCCAAGAGCGTCGCCCAGTGGTTCCAGAAGATCTGGAGGCCTCGTCCTGGGAAGACCAGCAGTCGATGCCAGCTGGGAAGAGGGCTCTGCCCACCTTGCACGCCCCCCACCCACCAGCCTTTTCCAGACAGCCTTCCAGAAGCTGTTTCTGGGTTGGCGGCCCTCAGAGCCAGGCATCCAGCAGAGGCACCAGGGCTGGGGTGAGGGCATCAGCAAGGAGGTTCAGGACAGGGCTGGAGCCCAGGTCGGCTGACCCTGTACTGCCACCTGCCCTGGCCTGTCCAGCAGCCGTGCCCCGGTTCTTTCTGTCACCAAAGCTGCACTTTGTACCGACTGTGCATAAATAATTCAGAAGCTCAGAGTGGAAATTTTCTTCCTCGTGAGTTCTTCCTCCCTTCAGATGACTTCATCTCCCTAGAGGAGCCGCTGGAGTAGGGTCCGCTTGCTATGGCTCCCAGGGGCCGGCCACCACAGGGCTGCCCTGGCAGGGTGGGGACAATAGCTGGGTGAATGCTGGAGGGAGCTCCAGGTGGGCTGTCCCCAGGGTAGGGAGGCAGGGATGGCAGTGGCTGACCCAGGGCCTGCTTCTGAGATGATGCTGGGGCTGAAAGCAGCACCAAGCCAGCACAGAAATCTGCTGACCTTCGTGTTCCCTGAGTCGATACAGGATCAATAATCCGGAGCAGACAGGGAGGGCTCCGTGCGCAGTGCCCTGCTTGTTCCTGGCGTGCAGCCTGCTTCCCAGAGCCTGTGCCGTGGTGTGGCTACCGTGGGTCATGACTGCTTTGAGGGGTACTGCAGATCTGTTTCGTTGCCTTCCTGGCACCTCAGAGACCTTGCTTTCAAGTCAAACCTATTTACAAGAACAAAAGTGACTCTGTCCCCCTCCCCGAGAGCCCTGGTGTGTGTGACCGTGTTCCTGCCCTTAATGCCTACCTCAGCGATGACAAGAGTGCTGGGAACAGCCCCCACGGACTCCATGCTGCTCTGTGCACTCTGCATCCACTCTTTCAAGTAACCATCACAGCGACCCTCCCCTTCGTTCTGGGCAGAAACCACCAGAAATTGTGCATCCTCTCATGTGTCCATTCATCAAGTATTGACTGGACACCTTCTCCGTATGGGGCACTGGGCTAGGCTTAGCAGTGAGGAACGTGCCCTGGGCACCTGCCAGAGGCCATATGACTGATGAGGATGCAGGCCCTTGTATCTGACCCCAGCACTGTTGCACAGCCTCTGGGCAGTGCAGAGCCTCTGGGCAGTCTCTGTCCCTCATCAGGACGGCTGATGTGGAAATGGCACCTGCCCCACTTGGCACTGGGCAGCCTGGAGTGGGTTCGACTTGCGTGGCCTCCACGTGGGCCAGGCACGGTGTGTCCAGCAGGCTGAGGGCGGCTGGCAGGTCTTCCTGCATGGGCCATGGGAGGTGGTGAGCTTTGGCGGGCAGCTCCCAATGTCTCTCGTTCTGTTGCCCCCAGGTCAAGGAGATACTGACAGCGCTGGGCTTGCTGTCTTGCGCCAACACGCGGACCGGGAGCCTGTCAGGTGGTCAGCGCAAGCGCCTGGCCATCGCGCTGGAGCTGGTGAACAACCCTCCAGTCATGTTCTTCGATGAGCCCACCAGGTAAGTCAGGAGCATCTGAGCTGGTGTCCAGGGGCAGGAAGAACCCCCTGTATTCAGCGGTTCTTCCAGGTGACCCTGACATCCTGATGTAGCCTCAGAGGGGGTGAGTTGAGCTCACCCGGCGGTTCCTCCTTCCATCTGGGACCACTGGGCAGAAGAGCTGACTTATGCCCCCTCTCTCACTCACTCTGTGCTCAGGCCTGCAAGGCTTGTGTTGACCCTGGGGGTATGGCTTTGGGGGAAACGTCCTTTCACGATGCATATCTCTTCCATGACACCAAGTTCCCCGTGGCTCAGCCACTCTGAGGGCCAAGGTCATGGGACGACCTGGGAAACGGTGTGTCTTCAGGTGTGTTCTGGAAACGCCCTGCAGTTTAGCACAGCAGAGGCTCAGAGATGCCTGCAGGACAGGATCCTGCCTCGGTTGCTCACCAGCTCTCTATACCCACGGGCGCTCTGACCCCGCCTGCAGGACAGGATCCTGCCTCAGTTGCTCACCAGCTCTCTATACCCACGGGCGCTCTGACCCCTTTCCTGGGTGATGCCCTTTATGTTTGGGGCTCCCTGCGGAATCACTACCCTGGAGTCCTGGATCTGGTGCCCCCAGCCGCAGGTTGAGCTCGCCTGACTCCTGCATGTGTCCTGTCCAGTTGTCCCAGGCAGGATGGGTGGCCAGGAACCAGGCTTCTCCTGAAATGACTTCAGCCAGACTTTACGTTGTCTCATTTCTGCCACTCACTCACCTCTCCAAAGTCCAGCGAGATTTGACAGTAGTGTGACAGCAGCCTTCTGAGGGGGGGATGGCGGGGCTCACTTGTTTCCTTCTCTTGGGCCTGCACAGTAACAGCCCACAGTGTCTATAAGATACTTCAGGAAAAGAGACCACAATGAACCCTTGAATAGCATCTTGCAGGCTGAATGCCCTGAGATGGGTGGGCTCCGGGGGACTGCCCAACACACACTGTCCCCCGGGCCTGTCACTTCAGAGTTGAGGGGATGAGAGCAGGAGTAGATCTGAGGGGCTAGGAAAGGAGAAGAGAGGTCCCCCCAGGACCCTGCTGGACAGTGAAACACCTGCTGGAGTAAAGCCCACCTGGGCTGCAGCAAGGCCACCTTCTATGGGGTGATGCCCCCATCGCCAGCCCCATAGATGGGAGGTGGGGAGTGGGGGTGGTGACTGCGGGGCACTAGACCACCTGAGGCACAGCTGCCTGCCTGGACAGTTGTGAAGTCCCCCCCCACCCAAATGAGTGGGGAACCCCCACCTCTTTCCCACCTGGACAGTTGTGAAGTACCACCCACCACCCAGATGAGTGGGGACCCCCCACCTCTGTCCTGCCTGGACAGTTGTGAAGTACCCCCCAACCCAGATGAGTGGGGACCCCCCCACCTCTGTCCCGCCTGGACAGTTGCAAAGTCCCCCCGCCCAGATGAGTGGGGACCCCCCCACCTCTGTCCCGCCTGGACAGTTGCAAAGTCCCCCCGCCCAGATGAGTGGGGACCCCCCCACCTCTGTCCCGCCTGGACAGTTGCGAAGTCCCCCCCGCCCAGATGAGTGGGGACCCCCCCACCTCTGTCCCGCCTGGACAGTTGCGAAGTCCCCCCCGCCCAGATGAGTGGGGACCCCCCCACCTCTGTCCCGCCTGGACAGTTGCAAAGTCCCCCCGCCCAGATGAGTGGGGACCCCCCCACCTCTGTCCCGCCTGGACAGTTGCGAAGTCCCCCCCGCCCAGATGAGTGGGGACCCCCCCACCTCTGTCCCGCCTGGACAGTTGCAAAGTCCCCCCGCCCAGATGAGTGGGGACCCCCCCACCTCTGTCCCGCCTGGATAGTTGTGAAGTCCCTCCCTGCCCAGATGAGTGGGGACCCCCCCCCAGTCCTGGACTCTGGCAGCAAGGCTCGCTGGGGTCCCTCCGTTCTTACCAGGAATAAAATGCAACATGCAAAGCCCTGCTGTGTGCCCTGCCACTGAGCAGCAAAACAAACAGCAAGAGCAGAGCCCGGCCTGGGACGGGGCAGCTGCAGCTGCAGCCCCTGATGCCAAGCCCTCTGGGACAGGAACTCCCTGGACCCCCGGAACCTGGGGCAGTGGCTAGTTCCTGCCGCCCGCAGGCGTCTCACGGTGCCTCTTGACTTGCAGCGGCCTGGACAGCGCCTCCTGCTTCCAGGTGGTCTCGCTGATGAAAGGGCTCGCTCAAGGGGGTCGCTCCATCATTTGCACCATCCACCAGCCCAGCGCCAAACTCTTCGAGCTGTTCGACCAGGTACGCGGGCCCCGGGCCCTCCCCGCCAGATTACCACTGCACTCAGGTCAGCCTGAATGACACCAAACCCTGGGTACCCACTGCCTTCTGTTAGCTCGTGGGGCGTCTTCATGACACCAAACCCTGGGTACCCACAGCCTTCTGTTAGCTCATGGGGCATCTTCATGACACCAAACCCTGGGTACCCACAGCCTTCTGTTACCTCGTGGGATGTCTTCATGACATCAAACCCTGGGTACCCATGGCCTTCTGTTAGCTCGTGGGGTGTCTTCATTTTTGAGAGCGTTTAAGTGCCAGGTTTTGTGAGACTTGTGGAACCACAGGCAGCGAAGGGGGCTGGGGAGTGGAAGCTGGTGAGCAGAGTCCTCTCTCTGTCCTGGTGGTCGGTCATGGGATCCTGGGTGTCACCAGCATTGTAGAACTTCATCACCTCCCCTGTTAAAATGGGGGGAGGGGGGACACTTGTTTTCCAGAATTAATAACAGGTTACAGCATTTGCACAGTATCATTTGGTTTATAAATCTTAGGTTTTGGCCAGGCACAGTGGCTGTCCCCTGTAATCCCAGCACTTTGGGAGGCTGAGGTGGGCAGATCACTTAAGCTCAGGAGTTGAAGAACAACCTGAGCAACATGGTAAAACCCTGTCTCTACAAAAGAAAAAAAAATACAAAAATTATCCCGGTGTGGTGGCACACTCCTATAGTCCCAGCTACTGGGGAGGCTGATGTGGGAGGATCACCTGAGCCCAGGAGGTGGAGGCTGCACTGAGCCAAGATCGTGCCACTGCACTCCAGCCTGGGCAACAGAGCAAGACCCTGTATCAAAAAAAAAAAAAGATGAACAAACAAAAAAACTTAGGTTTTGATATTAGTCTAAGCAAAAATAGTCACAAAGGGATAAAATGTGTATAGCTCCAAAATTTTTTCTGAGCAGGGGGTTAGCATGAAAAATAAACAGCAAGCAATATAGTCAAATCATCCTGGCCGTGCGATATTCTTCCCTGGCTTATCGTGGCTTTCCCTTCAGATGTTAATAGGGCCCTTGGGGGTGATGTAAAGCTCTCAGGAGAGGAAGTGGCTGATCGCTGGGCTGACTGATTGATCGGTTGATTGATTGGTTGATTGATTGATTGAGGGCTCCGGTTGCCTTCCGAGGAAGGCAGGGCTTGATCCCTTTTTCTCCTTCCTTTTTTCCAGCTTTACGTCCTGAGTCAAGGACAATGTGTGTACCGGGGAAAAGTCTGCAATCTTGTGCCATATTTGAGGGATTTGGGTCTGAACTGCCCAACCTACCACAACCCAGCAGATTTTGGTAAGCGGAGTCCTGAGCAGCTCGGGGGACAGAAAGGGGATTTTCCTCCTCTGTGGGTCTCACTTTTAGCTGACGCCCCCAACTCAGAAACCACTTGACTACCACAAATAGCTCAAGTGTCATCCAGTTATAAAACGTTTAAAGAACAAAAAAATTAGGTTTCATTTCCTCTAGACTCTAGGTAAAATCATCTGGCCAGCCTGTCTCTGCCTCTCTCCTGTCTCCATGTCCTAATCACCTCCTCTCCTGAGGACAGCAGTCATTGGATTCAGGGCCCACCCTAAGTCCAGGATGATTCATCTCAAGATCCTAATTACCTCTGCAAAGATGCTTTTTCAAATAAGGGTGCATAGTGACAGTCCAGGTGGACTTCCCTCCTCCTTCGCCTTCCAGCCATCAGTCTTAATCTGTCGTTTTTCTTTAAAATATTTGATTCATGCAATTCCCAGGACTCCGTATTTTCTACCACACTATTTCCCAAATTGTGTTCCATGAGACATTGTTCACGGACGTGCCTCTCACTCACAAGGAGTAGGCTGTGATGGAGAGGAGACAGGGCGAGGGTTGCAGGGAGTGTGGTTTAAGGTGGGACGGGAGCCCCAGGAGGGTTGTGGTTCTGGTTTCGTGCTCGCTCACAAGGAAGAGTAACAGATCAGTAACGGGTCACTAACGGATGCTGCTGAGTGGGGCAGGGGAGGTGAGGTCTGAAGCCTGCATGGAGGTGAGAACCTGGAGGGAAGGGCGGGCAGGAAGGAGAGGAAACACGGTGCGTGGGGATGCAGAGAGGTCCTGGAGAGATGAGGGCATTCCCTTCTGGGGATTTCATTTCCTCAATGTCGTCTGACCAGAGAGCGGGAGGTGAGGGGAGTGTGGCCCACTGTTGAGGGTGTGGGTGACCAGAGGGGCCTGGAAACATTGCCTGGCAGTGCTGTAGGCTCGTTTGGAGCCCTTGAGGATGACTTTCCGGTGGGGCCAATGTGTCCTGGTTTGTGGCTTCATCTAGGAGGTGTGGTGGCCTCCGTACCAGCTGGGAGGAAGCGGGTAGCTGGCTCTGCCAGAGGGAAGTGCGGAAAAGGTAAGGGTGTTGGGGAGCTTTGGGCCTTAGCAAGAACGTTACTGGAGTGGGAGGCAAGGCATCGCACAGGGAGGACACAGAGGCAGGAGAGGGCAGAGGGGTTGGGAGAAAGCAGATGTAGGCAGAGGGAAGGAGGCCAGTCACCACGGGAGTGTGGAAGGAGTTGCAGGCTGCAGAGGAAGTCCAGGTGGAGGGAGACCTTAGGGGAGCGAGTCTGCAGGTGGAGTGGGGAGGTGACGATTGGGATGCGAGAGGCAGGAGCAGCGGGCAGGGCCGGTGCAGGAGACGCTCACTGGGATCTGAGAGGTGCAGGTTGAGGGTCCCAGGACCTCCAAGTCCCCAGGGTGCCAGCCACTCATGTGGCGATGGGCACGTCCTTCTCTGCCATCTTGTAGAACTGCCGTGGCTCTCGTCACACCCTGCCAAACCACAAGCTCCTCAAGGAGGAGTCCCTCAGGGAGGAGTCCTTCGTTCTGCTCCCTTCCCAGCTCCACCTTGGAGGCTGGCCCAGAGCAGGCATTCAGTAAGTACCGGCTGGATGAGCAGTCGGTAGATGCAGGAGCTCATTACTTCTCAGACCACTGACAGCACAGTGTGTGTTTGCGTTTCCCGTCTCCTGACATGATAAAGGGCCTTGCTGGGGGGTTTGAGAGCCGCACGCTGGTTGATAAATGATTTTGACGTCATGCCATTAGCACCGCCACGCAGCATCTATGTAATCGCTTTAAAACATTCCCACTTGAATAACGACTTTCGCATTTGGGTGGTTGGGGTGTCCTTCCTGGAGCCCGGGCTGACCCCCGTCTGTGTCTCCTGCAGTCATGGAGGTTGCATCCGGCGAGTACGGTGATCAGAACAGTCGGCTGGTGAGAGCGGTTCGGGAGGGCATGTGTGACTCAGACCACAAGAGAGACCTCGGGGGTGATGCCGAGGTGAACCCTTTTCTTTGGCACCGGCCCTCTGAAGAGGTAAAGCAGACAAAACGATTAAAGGGGTTGAGAAAGGTAATGCAAATCCCGAAGCCCCCTGGGGGAGGCTGCACGTGGCACCGTGCACTGCTGCATGAGAGCTCTTTCCGAGCAAGAAGGAGCCGTGGCTCCGGACTGGCTTTCACCCGCTCCCCTCTTGCGTGTGTCCTCAGGACTCCTCGTCCATGGAAGGCTGCCACAGCTTCTCTGCCAGCTGCCTCACGCAGTTCTGCATCCTCTTCAAGAGGACCTTCCTCAGCATCATGAGGGACTCGGTAAGGCTGCCCGCATCTTCTCCTGTAGCTGGGGAACCCGTGGGTCATTTTCTCAGACTCGTCCTGACGGAATGTGTTCGTTCATTCTCACATTGCTATAAAGAAATTCATGAGGCCAGGCATGGTGACTCATGTCTGTAACCCCAGCACTTTGGGAGGCCAAGGCAGGCAGATCATTTGAGGCCAGGAGTTCAGACCAGCCTGGCCAACGTGGGGAAACCCCATCTCTGCTAAAAATACAAAAATTAGCCAGGCCTGGTAGTGCATGCCTGTAATCCCAGCTACTCAGGAGGCTGGGGCAGGAGAACTGCTTGAACCCAGGGGGGCGGAGATTGCAGTGAGCCGAGATTGCACCACTGCACTCCAGCCTGGGTGACAGAGAGAGACTCCCATCTGAAAAAGAAAGAAAGGAAAGAAAGGAAGGGAAAGGGAAAGGGAGAAAGGAAGGGAAGGGAAGGAAAGGAAAGGAAAAAAGAAAGAAAGAAAGAAATGCCTGAGCCTGGGGAATTTATAAAGAAAAGAGGTTTAATTGGCTCATTGTTCTGCAGGCTGTGTAAGAAGCATGGCCGGGGAGCCCTCAGGAAACTTTCAATCATGGTGGAAGGCAAAGTGGGATGGAGCGCTACACACTTTTAAACATTCAGATCTCACAATAACTCACCCATTGTCATGAGCACAGACCCAAAGGAGAAGTCCACCCCCATGATCCAATCAGGCCCCATCTCCAACATTGGGGATTACAATTTGACATGAGATTTGGGCGGGGACACAGACCCAAACCATATCACTAAACTTTCAAATTACTTTTCTTCTATTTGCAATAGTCAGCGTTCACTGTAATGCTGCAGTAACAAACACTCCCATAATGTACGTGTCTCCCTCCATCAATATTTGTGTCCTGCTTGTGTTAGGGGTGGCAACGGTGGGTTGTATCATGGCTCTGTCCCATAAGTCTTCTCATCCCGGGACAGCTCCTATCTGGACATGCCTTTCTTCACCATGTCAAAGGAAAAGTGCAAGAGAGAAACCAAATGACAGCCCTTAAAACTTCCAGTTGGAAGTGGCAAATCATCACTTGCACTCACATGCCATTGGCCTAAACAAGTCACATGGCCGAGCCTGAAACCAGGGCTGTAGGCGAGTCCATTTCTCCTTCAGGAAAGCACTGTGAATCATGAGGATTGGGACGGGGGGTTGGACAATTCCTTATAGGGAAGGAGGTGGTGAATACGCGGGAACCATAATTCTACCAGAGAAGTTGACAATCTGGCCACCTACTTAGGAGCGGCTGAATGCCTGGCATGGCTTCTGGGACCTAATTTGAAAGACAGAGGGGCTCACCGCCGTCCACAGCAGAGTTCTTAGAGCCTCTGATATAGCCACTTTTCCCTCACCATTGTTTTTACCTTTCCTCTCTTCTGAGGGTAGACTTCCTTTGTTCTCCATTTTTAAATCTTTTACAAAGGATAGTAATTATGTTGGTTTTAACACAACAAAAGCCTGACATGTGTGCATATATGTGTGTGAGCAGGCGTGTATGTGTGTGTGTGAGTGTGTGTGTGTATGTGAGTCGCTTTAGGGTTTGGCTTGTTTCTCTGGAGGAGAAGACAGGATAAAGTCTAAGACGTGCTGTCACAGAGTTCAGGGTCCCATGCTTCCAAAGGCCGCATCCGGGTTGTTCTCTGAGCCGAGGACGGCTTTGCGAACGCACTGGGTAAGATGCGGGTCTGTCCCCAGGTCCTGACACACCTGCGCATCACCTCGCACATTGGGATCGGCCTCCTCATTGGCCTGCTGTACTTGGGGATCGGGAACGAAGCCAAGAAGGTCTTGAGCAACTCCGGCTTCCTCTTCTTCTCCATGCTGTTCCTCATGTTCGCGGCCCTCATGCCTACTGTTCTGACATGTGAGTGACAGACCGCTGACCCCTTCTTCCTTATTTTCAATTCCTACCCAAGCATGGGGGCCTGAAGTCACGCCTTGACCAACAGATGAGTTTTCTAAACACAATGTTTTTGTTTTTTTAAAATATCATCTTCTTTGTTGACAGATGCAAGTTGTATTGTATTTGCTGTTAGATAAGAAAATACAATACTTAAGCCAAAGGAATGAATCCCAAATGGAAGACTTTTAAGCATGATGGAAGGCTGATGGGAGGGAGATTTCTCAAAGATTCACTAATTAGGAGCCCCCCAACTCTACTACTTAAGCATTACCTAGTTCAATTGTTAAGATAGCTCTGCACAGCCCACTTCGGGAGCAGATAAGCTCTCTTAGATGGATATCCACACAATTCCAGTTTGTTCACAAGGAGACTGCCCTTGGTCACTTTGGCTGACAGTGAACACAGCGGCTGCTTCTCCAGAACTTTAGCATAAATAGCTCCTCCCTAGGTACCTCCTCCCCAAGCTTCCCCTGATTTCCAAGAGCAGCTTGCAGCCTTGCTCACAGGAAGGCACCACGTTGATGCAGAGTTTCAGAAGAGGCAGACTCAGGAAGAGTAAGGCCAGGCATGAATCCTTGCCTTCATCACTAAGATGATGCTTTGTATTCACAGACATGCTCCCCATCCTGATTCTCCACTCAATGACTCTTCAGGTTATGCAAACGGGTGGCGTTTTTCAGGCTAGCAAAACACATCCTCTGTTTGTTCAATCTCTCAGTGCCCTAGGCCAGAGCTGGGTTACCAGCCGCTCAGCTCAAGATCGCCTGTTGGGATGTTAAACGGGCTCGCTGCACATGGTCACTGACCCTTCTTTTTTGCTTTTCTATCTCCTAGTTCCCCTGGAGATGGGAGTCTTTCTTCGGGAACACCTGAACTACTGGTACAGCCTGAAGGCCTACTACCTGGCCAAGACCATGGCAGACGTGCCCTTTCAGGTGTGTTAGCCAGGGGCTGGAATTTGAAACGGGGGCAAGAGTTCTCCTGTACACCCTTTATATCGAGTAAGAGGACCTGCCAGGGATGCAGGGTGACATGGCCCGACTTCGGGAGCTCTGGTGGGAGCTGCGGGGAAGGGCCTGACTTCGGGAGCTGTGGCGGGAGCTGTGGGGAGTGGGGAAGGACCCGACTTTGGGAGCTCTGGCGGGAGCTGCGGGGAAGGGCTGGCTGCCCAGGAGCTTTGCTGTTGGCCTGCTGTGGTGGGAAGCGGCTGAGCCCGCGGCTGACGGGTCCTTGTTTCCAGATCATGTTCCCAGTGGCCTACTGCAGCATCGTGTACTGGATGACGTCGCAGCCGTCCGACGCCGTGCGCTTTGTGCTGTTTGCCGCGCTGGGCACCATGACCTCCCTGGTGGCACAGTCCCTGGGCCTGCTGATCGGAGCCGCCTCCACGTCCCTGCAGGTGCCAGCCCAGGAGGCGCTAAGTGAGGGCATGACGGCTGGGCTTCCCTGAGCTACCTTGGCCTGAGCTAGGGGGCTCTGCCACCCCTTCCCCTACTTCTGCCCTGACCCTCCTAGATGGGGTCGTTCCCACGGGAAGGGCCCGCATTGTCGAGGGTCAGGATCAGCTGGCTTCCACAGTGCGCACAGCGGGCAGCCTCACGTGTGCTGACTGCGTGCTGGGCGCTCTTCCCAGCGCTTCCCAGATCTGAGCTCCTGTAGCCCCAAGCACAGCCACGCTTAGGTGCTGTGCTGGCCCCATTTTACATAGGGGAGCACTGAGGCCCAGAGAGGCAAAGTGATTTGTCAGGGGGTCACACAGCTGACTCGGGAGCCAAGCTCCCAACACCTATGCATCACTGCCTCTGTGGGGTTCCCTCGGCCTCTCCATGGGCCCCTTCCTCCTCCCATCGCCCACCCTGCCCCCCGACCTGCCGCCCACATGCACCTGCAGGTTCTCTACCTCTGTGGCTTTAGGACGCTCGGCCTCAGCCTGTCCTTCTGGACAAAAGCAGTGTTCCTGGGTGGATTGGGAACACCCGAGGGCCCCAGGGTCCCATGCTGGGTGCAGTGTATTCCTGAGTCACCTCCAGTCCACCATAAGCAAGCTCCCTGGCCTCCAGGGCCCAGGTGCCCTCACCTTAGATGAGGACTGCCATGGAGCCCATCTCACAAGGCTGCCATGGGACCAAAGATGACACTGCAGGAAGGTGCCAGGCCCATGCCAGGTGCTGCAACCCGTGTGCCCCAAGGCCAGCCCCAGTGCACCTGCTCAGCCACCCCCAGGACCCCTGCCTAGGGCACTCAGGCTCCGCAGGGGTCACTAATCAGACCAGGGCTGGGATGCCCCTGTCTGCACGGTTGCACACGGCACACATGCACACACACACTACACACAGACCACACTACACACTACACACCACACACTACACACATACCACACTACACACACACCACACTACACACCACACACACTACACACCACACACGGTGCACACCACACACTACACACCACACTACACACTACACACCACACACTGCATACACACCACACTACACACTACACACCACACACACACCACACTACACACCATACACTATACACATACCACACTACACAGTACACACCACACACACTACACACCACACAGTACACACTGCACACCACACTACACACTACCCACCACACACTACACACACACCACACTACACACTACACACCACACATACTACACACCACACACTAAACACATACGACACTACACACTACACACCACACACTACACACACACCACACTACACAGTACACACCACACACTACACACACACCACACTACACACTACACACCACACACACTACACACATACCACACTACACACACACCACACACACTACACACCACACACGGTACACACCACACACTACACACACCACACACTACACACTACACACCACACACGGTACACACCACACACTACACACACACCACACTACACACTACACACCACACACTGCATACACACACTACACACTACACACCACACACACACCACACTACACACCATACACTACACACATACCACACTACACAGTACACACCACACACACTACACACCACACAGTACACACTACACACCACACTACACACTACCCACCACACACTACACACACACCACACTACACACTACACACCACACATACTACACACCACGCACTACACACATACCACACTACACACTACACACCACACACTACACACACACCACACTACACAGTACACACCACACCACACACTACACACACATCACACTACACACTACCCACCACACATACTACACACCACGCACTACACACATACCACACTACACACTACACACCACACACTACACACATACCACACTACACAGTACACACCACACTACACACTACACACCACACACACACCACACACACTACACACCACACACTACACACGCACCACACTACACACTACACACCACACACTACACATACACCACACTACACACTACACACAAATACTACATACACACACCACACAGTACATACCACATACCACACCCTACACACAAACACACACTACACACTACATGCTATGCACACACACCACTCACTGCGCACACAGACTACACACTAGAAACATCACACACTACACACCACACCACACACCACACACTCCACACCACACACCACACACCGCAGACACCACACACACCACACAGCAGACACCGCCCACACCACACACACACTCCACACACACACTCCACACACACACTCCACACACCCTCCTACCCCCGACACACTCACAGTGCCCCTGTTGGACCTGTGCTCACTGTGAACCCTGAGTCGCGGCGGTTGCTTCGGTCTCTGGGCTGCCCTCCCGGAGGTGCTGACAGGCAGGCGTCCATCCCGCCTGTGAAGGCTGCAGTCCTTCCACTGTGCCCCGACCGAAGGGGTGCCCGCCACACACCTGCCACAGGCCAGGCACTTAGCCCCCCCGGGGACAGCTGTGGAGGAGCAGACGGCAGTCTGTTGAGGAGGGTGTGTCCCCACCTCTCTGGCCTGGGGACATCCACTGGGTCCCAGCTCATCCTGGGCTGCAGGAGGCTCTGGGGCTGCCACGTCACAGCAGGGCAGCCGGGGGGTCCTCAGAGATGGTGACCCCACACCTCGGGAACGCTGCACCTTCTGCCACATTAAGCATCATCATTACCCTGCCCAGAAGGTGCCCTGGCCCTGCCCGGGGGAAGCTGGCGTGGGCGAGCCTCCTCTGCAGGAGGCCAGGCTGCAGGTTCTGCTACATCTGTCCTGTGTGCCCCCAACTCCAGGTGGCCACTTTCGTGGGCCCAGTGACAGCCATCCCGGTGCTCCTGTTCTCGGGGTTCTTCGTCAGCTTCGACACCATCCCCACGTACCTACAGTGGATGTCCTACATCTCCTATGTCAGGTAGCGGGCGTGGGGCACGCATGGCGTGGGGACCGAGGGTGACGGGGGAAGAACCGTCTCCAACAGCGTGAGGGGCTCACAAAAGCCACTCTGGGCTGCTGGCCAAGAGCAGATTACACATCTGAGGATCCAGGCCTTCCATCTTCCTGCTAGTTCCACCTCCTCCTACCCTCACCAACACACACACACTAAACAAGGAGGCCACACAAACCAGCGCTTCACACCCGGAGAGCCATGGCAGGACCAAGTGTTCTGGACGTTGCCGAGAGCTGCCTTCGGTGGAAGCGCTTCCATCTTTTAGGAACGTTCTTCCTCCCCGAAGTGCCGAGTGCTCCTAACAAGTGCTGATTGTAAAACCTTTATAAGAAATCTGGTGGGAGTCAGGCGTGGTGGCTCATGTCTGTAATCCCAGCACTTTGGGAGGCTGAGGCAGGCAGATCACTTGAGGTCAGGAGTTTGAGACCAGCCTGGCCAACATGGCGAAACCCCGTCTCCACTAAAAACACAAAACAATTAGGTGGGCTTGGTGGCGCGCGACTGTAATTCTAGCTACTCCGGAGGCTGAGGCGGGAGGGCGGGAAGATCCCTTGAACCTGGGAGGCAGAGGTTGCAGTGAGCTGAGATCGCGCCACTGCACTCCAGCCTAGGTGACAGAGTGAGACTCCGTCTCAATAAAAAAAAAAAAAAAAAAAAAAAAAAAAAAAAAAAAAAAAAAAAGGAAAGAAATCTGGTGGGAAACAAGTCATTTTTAAACATCTTTTTAAACATCCTAATATCTTGGAACAAGAATGCCCAGTGCCTCAGGTCCTTAGCTACAACGTTTCGTGCCCTCTGTGGAGTGCGGTGTTGGCACGCTGGCCCCACCAGGGGCAGCGCCCATCTTCCGAGCTGCAGAAGTTCCATGTGACACTAAGATCCAAAGTTGGGAACAAGCTCTTCTTCTCTAGAATGTCAGTTCAGACTTAGGTATATTGTTCAAGAAAACAAAGCACTTGTACAGAGTTTCGACAATCTGCGTGTGCTCCAACACTATGAAATCAGAAACCGACGTCTTTCTTCTCAAAATGAGTGCTTTTGTTCTGACAGGGCAGGACTGGAGCAGAGGGAGAGAGGGGGCAGGAATGTTTCATATAAATGCTCTCAAGTCCTTGCAAGTTGGCTGGCCCACGATTCCCTCCAACCGTTAGAAAGCATGTAACCTCGGAAGTGAACACAAGACTTCTCAGTGCATTTCACCAGTGAATATGTACCGCTCATTCAACTTGTTTTTTTGCTGGGGGCCCTGGAGGAAACAAAATTGGAAGAAAAACATAGTGGAGCTGTTGCACGTGTTTGTCTTAAGAAGGTGGTGGGCGGTGAGGAAGTATTCTGGGGAAGGCGGCCCTTTGGGAAGGGAGGATAGCCAAGCTGGGAATCGCAGGGAGGGTGAACGACATTGACCTTCAGCCAACGGCGTGGCTGGCTGGGAGAACGTCCTCCCTCATGCCTGGCCTTTCCTCCTAGGTATGGGTTCGAAGGGGTCATCCTCTCCATCTATGGCTTAGACCGGGAAGATCTGCACTGTGACATCGACGAGACGTGCCACTTCCAGAAGTCGGAGGCCATCCTGCGGGAGCTGGACGTGGAAAATGCCAAGCTGTACCTGGACTTCATCGTACTCGGGATTTTCTTCATCTCCCTCCGCCTCATTGCCTATTTTGTCCTCAGGTACAAAATCCGGGCAGAGAGGTAAAACACCTGAATGCCAGGAAACAGGAAGATTAGACACTGTGGCCGAGGGCACGTCTAGAATCGAGGAGGCAAGCCTGTGCCCGACCGACGACACAGAGACTCTTCTGATCCAACCCCTAGAACCGCGTTGGGTTTGTGGGTGTCTCGTGCTCAGCCACTCTGCCCAGCTGGGTTGGATCTTCTCTCCATTCCCCTTTCTAGCTTTAACTAGGAAGATGTAGGCAGATTGGTGGTTTTTTTTTTTTTAACATACAGAATTTTAAATACCACAACTGGGGCAGAATTTAAAGCTGCAACACAGCTGGTGATGAGAGGCTTCCTCAGTCCAGTCGCTCCTTAGCACCAGGCACCGTGGGTCCTGGATGGGGAACTGCAAGCAGCCTCTCAGCTGATGGCTGCACAGTCAGATGTCTGGTGGCAGAGAGTCCGAGCATGGAGCGATTCCATTTTATGACTGTTGTTTTTCACATTTTCATCTTTCTAAGGTGTGTCTCTTTTCCAATGAGAAGTCATTTTTGCAAGCCAAAAGTCGATCAATCGCATTCATTTTAAGAAATTATACCTTTTTAGTACTTGCTGAAGAATGATTCAGGGTAAATCACATACTTTGTTTAGAGAGGCGAGGGGTTTAACCGAGTCACCCAGCTGGTCTCATACATAGACAGCACTTGTGAAGGATTGAATGCAGGTTCCAGGTGGAGGGAAGACGTGGACACCATCTCCACTGAGCCATGCAGACATTTTTAAAAGCTATACAAAAAATTGTGAGAAGACATTGGCCAACTCTTTCAAAGTCTTTCTTTTTCCACGTGCTTCTTATTTTAAGCGAAATATATTGTTTGTTTCTTCCTAACTTTCTGACTACCTTTAATTTTGCCTAGGTTGATTTAAACAAACAAACAAACAGCTTCCCTTTCCTCCTGTATCACCTCAGCTGCCTCCACTGAACCTGGAAGAATGGGGCTTAGGGAAATTCAGGCACGACCTTTGAGGGTTGGCTCAGCAGGAGTGGCCAGCAGTGAAAGATGGGCTAACTGTGCAAGAGGGGAGGAGGCCAACGAGATGGCATCAGAATCCAAGGGCTTAGGACGAAGTCAGTAGACTTCAGCATGTGGAGGCATTTGAAACTTGATCAAACAACGCACTTCGAGTGGTGGGAGATTTCATCTCTGGGTTTTGCGACCTCACAGCTGCATCACCGCCTCAGTGTTAGGCCTGTGTAAACTTTGCACGTTGGAAACCGCTTCTTTCCTATGACTGAATCACATAAGTCAAATCCCGCTAGGGCAGAAACAGGTGCCTATCTGGAGGTCAAGTGGTCTTTGAATTCACAACAAGGCTGCCTGTGAGTTTGTCAGCTCTCAGAAGCAGTTTGACTACATGCAGAGAAGGTGATTCTGGCCAAAGAAGTCCACCTTTAGGAAAATGCCATTGTTTACTCCCTCTAGAATATCATTCTCCTAGAATCAGGGCTTCCGATGGAAAGGCTGTGTTTTTGCGGGAAAATCAGTGAACCTTTCTAAGCTACATTTTTCCTCATCTGTAAATAGTTACAGTACATCATGCCCAAGGCCATGCCAGCTCAAAGGTGGTGGGATTCCTTGGCGATGTCCCTGAAGCTCTTATTTCCCACTTCGAAAGAACGAAAAGGGTCTGAATTTTATTTACACATGGATTTAGTTTGCTAATTCTTAGAGATTCCTTTTTTACTGCTAGATCTTTTTTAGTAAACACAATTGAGATAGATATTAAAGTGTAATTTTAAGTGTGCTTGTTCTATACAAATATGGCATTGCCTTCCAGATTAAGTTTTTAACCAGAGTCAAACTTAGCCTTTATAAAAAGTCCTCATTTAATTTCAAAATAGATCTTCTTGTAAGACATTGCACATAGGGAAGACCTACCTAGGAATAGCCTGGTGAAATGCAGAATTGGAAAAAGGCAAAAGTCCTTGCTCATGACTCAGAACTACATCGAGTGAGGTCAGTGTTGAAAACGCCCATTCCCTCCAGGTGAGCCTTCCCCATTGTGGATTAGTGTTGTGGCTTCATGGCCCTAATAGGGGTGTGTCTGCCAGGAACTGCACTGCATGGGGCCCACAGCCCTGCCTCAGAAGCAGCTTTGGTCTCGTTTGCTGAGACCGCTTGCTGTGCCTCATCAATTTCAGGAGGAAACAGTGAGATGCCTCTAGATTTTAAATCTGGTTTCGGAGAGCACCTAAGCCCTCTGATGGAATGACTCTCGTAGGAACTTGATGGGGGTAATTCTAAGGGGGAAGAGCTTGGGAACCATGAGGGCTGTTAGGCTGCAAGAAGGGAATGGATATGTGAGACCATGTGGGTTTATTTTTTGAAGGGTGAACTGGAGTAGGTGAGGATTCTGCAGTTGACGCCCCAGGATGGCTTTGCTCAGCCCTCCCCCGTAGACTGGAGGAAAGCCTACCGCCAAGGGAGGAGAGGATGCATCTGTCCTAGGTGCAGCCGGCCTCCCTCTTCCAGGTTCAGCAAGGGTCCCTGGCTGGGCATTTTCCTCGTAACCTTTGGCAGCATTGGCTCAAATGCCATTGTTTAGATTCCCAGATATTTCCCCACTGCTTTTTGTGTTAAGGTAGTTTGGTAAAATGCCTTATTCCAATGGCCTAAGATAATATCAAGCAACTCACTGGTTTACTTTTCTAACCAGCTGTGGTTAAGACACACACGGCAATGTGCTATCTTTCACATGTTGGACGTTAAACCCAGACCAACTCCCCAAATCTAATTTGTTTCAGTAATTTCTGAATGCATTGACCAAGATATTCCTTTCATCTCTGGTTGAGTTTCTTCCATTAGAAGGAAGGATTAAACCTTGGATAAAAGATTTGCAGATGCCCCAGTGGTTAGTAGAGGTGAAAATGGAGGTTTCAGGGAAACTGCTGGGGCCTTTTGCCTTTGTCCTCATCCAAAGCATTTTGTGCCTCTCTTTCTTCTCCTCTGGCTGAATATCCACTGGAGATTGAATTCTCCGAAACTCCCTGTGTGGGTGAAGTGGGAAGCTGTGCCCAGGAAGGGGAGTAACTGTGCAAAGTTTTATGCAGTCAGTGCCAGAATTGGATTACATCACCTGGGGGAGGCGCCTTCAGGACCAGGAAATGGTACATGGAGCTTTGAGGTGAAAACTCATCTTAGAAACCCACAAAAAGTCATTCCCCCAGCCTGACATCAGGGACAGACCACACCCATGGGGCAGAAACCGGGCTTGGTTGTTGCAGTGGGAAGAGAAGGCACGACTCTGGTGCACCGAGCACCTTTCCTCGTGGCTGTTTCCAGGCACTGGGCTGGATGTCCTCAGAACCCCCTGTCCCCTGCCCACTCCTCAAACCCTTACTGACCCACCCCTCTCGCCTGGTGCTGTCCCAGGCCCTGGGGGTGAGGGGGAGGGGACTCCAACGTGGGCTTGCCCTCCAGTGTGGTGGGAGGGAACCGCGTGGCCACTTGGCTTAGCCGTGCTCATGGTGCAGACGTGGAACGCGGAGGCAGGGAGAGGCTCCGTGACGTCCCCAGGGCCCCAGAACGAGGAAGGAGCGGAGTTGGGATTCCAGCCCAGTTGGACGCTGAAGTCCCTGTTTTGTTTACTGCCTCCTGTTCATGGCGTATGAATGTATCTGAGATGCTTTGTAAGGCATAAAGTGCAATACTAGCTTAGTGGCTGTTCGTTCAGTGATTCCTTCTGTTACCAAACAGGTGGCTGAGATGAGAGGGCAACCCAAGCCTAACGCCCTTCAGTGGCCTTGCATCAGAGTACTCGTGACAGGTACCTCTCCGTGGAGAGGGGCTGTCCTCTGCCCTTGCCTGCTCCTCCTATTGCAACAGTCCTGTGGACTAGCTCAGGCTCTACAGGGGCTGGTGTGTGTGTGTGCGTGTATGGTGTATATGTGTCTACCTACACACAAGCACATGTGCACACATGCACACACATGCATGCAAGCACACGCACACACACACATGCACACACACTCACATGGACACACACATACACACACATACACACACATACATGCACACACATGCACATGGACACACATACATGCACACACATACATGCAGGTGTGCAGACTTGGCTCCAGGCGTGTGTTTGATAGTATTATTCTATGATATTTCCCTCATCTCCATAGAATACCAGCTTCTGAATCCTCAATCAGCCTTTACTGCAAGAAGAAAAGAAAAACCTCTCTCATTCCAGGTCTGTGGTGCAGATGGGAAGAGTATAGTCAAAACCCATTAAGGCCTTAGTCAAATGCCAGCCGAATTAGAACGCAATGAACGTTAGACAAAACAACCCAACTGGCCAGGCGGGGGAGGCGCAGAGCGTATAAATATAAAGTTAGATACTTATAAAGAATAAAGACTCTAATAAAATATTTTATATAAAACTTTTTACCTGTGTTCAGCGTCAGATGCTTCAAGTGATTGGCTTTGCATTCTCCTAAGTCGATGGATTCTTAGGCTGTGTCTAGAATGCGTTTGTTGTCCCTCTGGGAAGAGCACTGATTTGTCGCTCATGTTCTGGTCCAAGACGTGGCTGTAGATGAGCCCTTTCTCGATGATGTTCATGTATTATGTTGAATTGTCTTAAAGTTTTGTGTTTTCTGTTCTCCCAGAATCCTCACCCATGTCCTCCTGCCTCGTGATGTTGGCCATGACCTCGAAATGTGCCTGGAGGAGGCTCGAGGCAGGGCTAGCAGGAGGGCACTGGGCCACACCTTCCCTTTGGTCCTCTCCACCCTTGCAGGGGCTCCCTCAACCGGGGCTCTGGGGCGGTAGCTCTGGCAGGGCGACGTCGCTTCTTCCTTACTCTGCTTTGCTGGAAACCCATCTCCCAGGCTGAGCTCTGTAGAGGCAGCTGCTAGTGGGGAAGGCAGCCCCTCTAGAGGTTTTGGTCCCAAAGTTGAGGTGAGCAGGGCCTAGCAGTTGCTCAGTGTTATGTGCTGCATTAGCCCATGGTTCCCCGAGCTCCGGCCAGGCAGTGACCCTCAGAGTGAAGACTTTCCGGGACACCAGTGGCTTAGAACTGGGCTTTCAAATCCAGCTTCCCTCCCACCTCTGGGACACAGAGCAGAGAGCCGGGCTGGGTGAGGTCACAGAATCGGCCCGCAGTGGCCCCTGCACTCCTCCTATGGCGGGCAGGCACAATCGAAGGCTGCCCCAGGCGTGCACACAAGCTCGCGATGCACAGTTTTCTTCCCCCCTCGGTAACCCCAGCCTTTCTGGACGGCCCGGCCGCCCTGGGTCCCAGTAATGTTAAAGTCACGGTCCTTTCCAAGCCACTGTACTTGGGCTGTCCCGTCAGGGAGGTTCCTCCAAGATAATTGCCCCCTGCAAAGACAGGGGCTTCTGATGTCCACTTGTGGGGCTGACCTTTTTGGGGAACCTCCCTGGGACCAGAAGCAGGGAAGAAATAAGAGACCCTGCACCCCCATGGCACAGTCTAATTTTCACTTACAAGCTCAATTCAGGCTGTCCTTAAAATCCACGTGTCCTGGGCAGGAAGGAAATGTGGGGACAGGCACACACGCACATCCTTCTGCTATGCTGACCTAAAGTTCCTAATAGCTATCCTACATCCTGCCCGTTTCTTTTTTCCATATTTGAGGAAACAGAAGGGTTTAGCCTTAGCCTAGTTTTTTTATGTTATCTCTGAACAGGCCAACCTGGAATCACCCCTCACACAGACACGTGTGGCCTGCCCCAGTGTGCCTGAGGCCCACCCAGGAACCCTGCTTTGCCTGGGGTTTATGTGAATGACACACATGTGAGCAGAGGCTGGGGTTAGGACCCTGAGGCTTCCCTGTTCTCAGAAATACTCTCCTGGCATCAAAAGGAGAAAACGGTCCATGCCACTGGCTACCACATTCCAGCCTGGCAAGGGTTTACTGTTTATAGAGGCACCGTTTGGGGGCTTTTCCATGTAGAATGGCCGTTGTAAAGCTGAAGAGAAAGGAACAGAAGCACAAAAGCACCTTGATTCTTCGCAAACACAGGCAGGGGCTGCCGGCTGGACGAGGGCGCTGCATTTTGAGGGCGTGCTGGACCCGCTGGCAGAGCCCGCCCTGAGGGTTTTCTCTGCAGCTGTGGGCTAAGCTTGCCCAAGCCCCTCCCCTTTTCCAGAAAGCCACCCCCATGGCCACTTGCCTTTCAGGTCCAGGTTGAGGACACAGCCACGGGCATATATGTATTTGTTTCACTGGGGTTCATGGTTCTGGGGACAGTCTTCTAGCCCCCGAGATCTTGGGAAAGGCATGAGCTCAAGCCACATAACCAAAAAGTAGCAAAACTCAAAATTATTACTTTACTTTCAGCTGTTTTCTCTCAATAGCGCGCCACCATCGTCTGTGTGTCTGCACTGAACAAACATACGAGAGAATCTGGCTGATCACTTTGAGTGCCTTTGGCCTAAACTTTGCACATGACTTTAAACGTGGCCCTGATACTGCACACAGTAAGAAATGTTTTTTATTTTATGGTCCCTGAGGTTACGAGATCAGATCTCTGGAAATGTGTAAGCCACCTGCTGTCACCTCTGACCCATGTGGTCCATTACCATGAGGGCCGGTGAGTGGGGCAGAGATGCTGAGGCCTGGCTGGTGAGCCCCCGAGCAGTGAGGCAGGACCCTCCCTGGTGACCTGTGTGGGGGCCAGTCCTCTAGTCCCCCAGACAAATCTCCCTTTAAGGAGGCTTCTGAAGCTCTGAGTGCCGGCGCTCAGAATTAATTTGACTCTTCACTGCTCACCGCACCTGCCTATGAGCCTCTAGAAAACAGCTTGCCCAATGAGAGTGCTGCAGCTGAGGCAGCAGCAGACATGTCCGTTTCTGGGGAAGTTACTCAAACAATCGTGCCTCTTAGGGGGCCCTAATGTGCCCCTTCTGGCAGGTTGAAATGCATCTGGCCTTGAAGGGGAAGGTTAGGAAATTATGAAGTACGTGGGTTTAGGGTTGACAACCCCATATCCGTGGACTCCTGGAGATCCCTGAACGCCGTCTAATCTGAATGGTACCACAATTTGGTTTGTCTGAAAATATAGTAGTAACCACGGCAGTGATTTCATTTTTACACGTTTGCATTTTTACATGTCTGTCATTATGCATCTTGGGGTCTCTTTTCCATGACCTACCAGCTTCCCAAGCTTAATAATCAGTATCTCACTATTATGTCATTGGCCAACTGAAAACAGTAGCAAAACATCCTATCATCCAAATTGCTAATAAAATAGAACACCACACCCACACGCTGGCTTCCCATTTTTATAGTCTTATCCTCCCACCTGGAGGGTGTGAATGGGGATCAGTTTTTCAATAGAACATGTATGTTTGGTAAGTTAATATGTGTAGCTGACCCCTTTGCCTTTGTTTTTATATATTTATGTTTTTCTATTGTAGACATATTGATGCAATACCTGTTCATAGTTGAATCTGTTACAAATTGTTACCTTTTATTTGATGAAGAACTATTTAAAGATTTTCCTTTTTTATTTCTTCTAAAGCAAAAGTCAATGCAAGTAACTCTAATCAGCGTGCAAAGGCGTGCATATATATCTGCTATGTAATTATATAATGTTTTTATAATGCTGTGTGGATAACTTTTCACTGATTTAGTTACTTGACTGTAGGAAACACTGTTGCTTTGCACGCTGTGAGAGGTTTGCACTGTTACAGATGAAGGCAACATATTTACATATGTACATGTATATACATATATATATATTCAAAAATAACATCGGCTCTTTGGGGTGTCTGTTTCCTTGGTTGTCTCACGCCACTGGAACATTGAACCCAGACAGACCCTAGGATGTGAGGTTCCTGACTGCACCTTACGGACCACAGAGCCACGTGTCTATTTCTGTAGACCTATCTCCTTAGATTTGTACATGCATTTTTTGCGGACTTGAACTTTGTTTTCTGAAATTAGATGCCATTTATGATGATGTGATGTCAATCAAATAAAGCATCATTATTTTCAGATTTCTGCTTCTCTTTCCTTTTGCTTTCAACAGCCCCAGCTCTCAGACCTGCTGGGGGAGTCGCGTCTGGTAGAGCATCTCGTATTTTCTCCCTACCTGCCCTTGCTCTCAATGGAGCACTTCTCTCTTCAGTGTCAGGATGGATTCCAGTGAGGAAGACAAATAAGAGTGATGGTAAGGAAGCCTGTAGCTCCAGACTCCATGGAGCACCATGTGGTGGCACAGTACCCTACCTTTCCATGCGCAATCTCATCAAACCGTCGTCATCAGAGCTGGAGAGCCGCAACTGGCCCCATTTTTCAGGTTAAAAACACCGAGGCTCAGGGATATTACACAACTTGCCAAAGCCACAGAGCTGGTCGGTGGTGCACGCAGAAGTGAGACCCTGGCCATCCAGGCAGGGCTCCTGGCCACTCCATGGCTCTCCCTTCCTCCGGGAGAGGCATTTAGGATTTGAGACCACACAGGAGGAGAATCCACGTTGTGCAGGAAGTGGTGTGGCAGGTCTGACCCTCATGACCAGTGGAAACTTCTCCTCCCAGACACTTGGCTGAGGGGTGAGATGATGTGCCAACATCTCCAGGGATCGGCCTGGAGGTCCTTGTGCTGTCAAGACCCCTTGTGAGTCAGCACTGGGGCCTGGGTCCAGATGTCATCTGGGATCATCACCTGGGACATGGCCCTACTGGGCCCTACTTGTAGGCGAGGAGGAAGGTGTGCATGTGTGGGTAGGAACGAGACAGTGCAAAAAGCCGCTGCCTGGTGACCTGGCATGCAGACTCGGCCCTCCCACTTGCACGGTGATCCACTGAAGACAACAGCTGCCTCTGTACTCACGCTCCCCCACACTCCCCTCCTTCCTGCCCTGGTTTCTCCATCCCTAGATGCCATCCCATGCCCCAAACCATCCGCCAAGCACAATAACCTCGCCCCCACCCACCCCATGAGGTCACTCGAGTTGACAACCAGATAACAGTTTTTGTTTTGTTTTGTTTTGTTTTGTTTTGTTTGTTTTTGAGACGGGGTCTCGCTCTGTTGCCCAGGCTGGAGTGCAATGACGTTATCTCGGCTCACCACAACCTCCGCCTCCCGGGTTCAAGAGATTCTTCTGCCTCAGCTGCCTGAGTAGCTGGGACTACAGGCGCGTGCCACCATTCTCAGCTAACTTTTGTATTTTTAGTAGAGACAGGGTTTCATTATATTGGCCAGGCTGGTCTCGAACTCCTGACCTCTTGATCCGCCCACCTCAGCCTCTCAAAGTGCAGGGATTACAGGCGTGAGCCACCGCGCCCAATAGCAATTTGATGACCCATCCCCTCCACTGCTGGGAAAAGGCTGGGCACCGCCCACACTCCATGCAGCTCTCTTTCCCTGGCTCGGAATCGCTGCAGGCGCCACAGACCAGACGCGCACTGTTCCCCACTCCTGCTTATCGGCCGCGCGGCATCCCCTTGTCGCAGCACTCCAGCATCCATGCAGCCGCGCGGCACCCCGTCTTCGGAGCACTCCAGAATCCATGCAGAGCGCAGCACCCCACATCCAGAGCGCTCCAGAATCCATGAAGCACGCGGCACCCCCTCGTCAGAGTGCTCCAGAATCCATGAAGTGCGCAGCACCCCTTAATCGGAGCGCTCTAGAACCCGTGCAGCGAGCAGCACCCCACACCCGGAGCGCTCCAGAATCCATGAAGCCAGCAGCACCCCACACCCGGAGTGCTCCAGAATCCACGCAGCACGTGGCATCTCCTCGTCATAGCGTTCTAGAATCCATGCAGCGAGCAGTACCCCACACCGGGAGCGCTCCAGAATCCACGCAGCGTCTGGCACATCTTTATCAGAGCGCTCCAGAGTCCATGCAGCCACAGTCCTCCAACGGACCCTGAGATTGTTTCTGCAAAAGGCCATGCCTTCATAAATCTGAAAATTTGGAAAACATCCTTCTACTTATATCCTTACAACCCACCATTCAAGCTGTAGAAGCCTTTCTGGAACCCCAAGCAGAAGGATATCCAAAATGTAAAAACGGTGGGGCCTGCAATCCCACGGAGCACCCCCCACTCTCACGGTGCCCAGGTCGTCCCACTCAGCACGGACATTCTGCCTCCAGCCCTGGGGCCTCCAGGTTATACCCAAAAGAGGTGACTCTTGGGGACGTAAGGTGCGTGGGGTGCCATGAACCCTCCCAAGGCTGCAGCCTCTTGGGCAAGGAGTCCACAGTGCTGTTGCCAGCCAAATTGGCTGCACCCCTGCACGAGGGGGCTGATCTTCCCCACACCACCACTGTGGCTGGCATCGCAGTAGGTACCACTTGTTAACAACCTCGTTCTACAGAGAGATGGTGAAGCCAGACGCAGGTAAACCTGTGGCAGGGCACTCTTCCTGAAGAACCAACAGATCCCCTCAGGCCCGCCCCGCTGTTTTATTTCCCTTCTCTGCCCTTTCCCCGGTGCAAGCAGCTGTTGGTCTGTGCTTCCTGCTGCTCTGCTCTGCAGATACTAACGAAGCCACAACCAGGGGGCCGGGTGGTCACAGCAGGGACCACAGCTGGGCAACCTATAATCTCTGTGACGCTGGGAGCTCTGGGACCTCATTTTTCCTAATGTCCCCATCTGTAAATAGCCAGGTTGCCATGTTGAGAGCAGGTGTCAGAGGGAAATGGGATCTCGCCACACTGCAGGACTGAGACAATTCCTCTGGTTGGTGAGGGCTGGGCCTAGGATGGGAGGCTCAGAGCAGTGAATGAATGGATGTGGTGTTGGATGCTTCCTCCAGGAGGCCTGCCCGCCTGCCCCTGTGGAGGACAGAGGCCAGGGAGACAGGTCAGTGGGATGGGGGAGCAGAGGGAGTCGGTTGCACCCCACAAAACCCAAGAGGGAAAGGCTGCAGTGTTCAGGCCAACAGGGACAAAGACAGCTGCACAGCGAGAAGCAGCAAATGATTCCTGTGCCTGAGTGTGGTCTTGGAATGGCAGAGAGAACCCTTGAGCCTGGGAGCCACCTGGAAGGGAACAAGGCCGTCTGGCAGCCACCTGGCAGGACCCATGGCATTGAAGATCAGATGTGCCAGCCACACCTTGGTGCTCGGTATGCCCTTGGAAATAAACTCTCAGTTCTCAGGGCAAAAAGGCTTTGTCTAAATGGGCAAATCAACAGAGGTATCAGCACATGTACAGATGTGTGCTTAATGAAGATATTATTCCCATGCCATAGAATTCACTTTTTTAAAGTGTTCGTCTCAGGGGGTTTTAGTATTGTTTTAGTAAAGTGTACGATTTGGTGGTTTTTAGTATCTAATATTGCACAGAATTGTGCAGCCAGTATCATATGCCACTCCAGAACATTTCCATCACCCCAAAAGGAAACCCCTTCCCCATGAACAGCCACTCCCCATCCCTCCCCCTACCCAGCAACCACTGAAACACTGTCTGTCTCTGTGGGTTTCCCTATTCTGCACATTTCATATAAATGGAATCACACAACACATGGCTTTTTGTGATCGGCTTCTTTCACTTAGCATAAAACACACTTCAGTTTTGAAAACAAAATAAAACCTAAGGAAGAAAGGGAGCATGAACTCTAAATGCAGTAGAAAACTATGGCCGACCAAGGGGATGCGGCTCTGACCTCACAGGGGAATGAGCTTTCTCAGCCTGCACCTTGCTTCTGCAGCTGTCGGCAACCCTCTGATACAGCCATTATAATTGTCCCATTTTGCTGATAGGAACTTTGAAGCCCCAGGGCTCTCTAACTCTTTCCAATACATGACAGTGCCTCTCGAGCCCCCAAGAAGGAGGACTGAGGGGAGAATTTCCAGCCTCCACAGCTGTGTCACAGCCCAGGGCCCTGCAGGGCCTCAGAGCAAAAACCTAGTGAGCAGGGAGGCTTCTTGGCCACTGGAGATGCACCTACCACTCAGCTGTCCCTCAGAGACGACCTGCTGCAGGGACCCAGGTCACCGACAGCCCCGCATCCAGCATGACATCCACGCCAGGCCCACTTCCCTGAGGCTGCTCCCAACCAGGGCATTCCCACCAGACACAGGGTCCCTCGAGGGGCACTCTGCTTTGGGGACTCCCCATCAGCCTGCGGGAGGCTCTTCCTCCCCAGTCCTTCCCCCACTCATTTCGGAGGCAAGAACTCCCCAGTACGTCTGCTACTTATGGAAGCCCACATGGGTGTCTCAGCTTGAAGCCAAAATTCTCGCCATTGGAAATTATGAATCCTTGGAATACAGTGATGAATACAAGTGAATATCCAATGTATTATGGAACAATGTAGAGCTTTCTAGCAGACTCCAGAGGAACTGTGGAAAATGAGAAGTGCCACAGCCGCACCCTTCACCACCAACTCAAGAGGAGGGGGAAGGCATGGGCATGGCACGGAAAACCATCATGGGGTGTAACGGCTGCAGCGTGGGGAGAAGCCTAGCGTTTCTCTCCCCTTTCCAACAGCAGCACACGCCAGCAGCGAGGGAGCCCAGCCATGTTCTGGCTTCTTCTGGCAATCAAAGTGTTCATTCTGGAAGGCTCTGGAAACACGGACCATTTCCAAGTTAGTGATGAAGGTATTTGACATAAAAATGGTTCCTGGGTCCTATGGGTCACAATTCATTATTTGAATTCGCCGTGAGCCGCTGATGGATGTCGGTTTCAGATGTGCCCAGACCAGGAGGTGGGAAGGCCCAGCAGGTGGCGTTGAGGCCACCTGGGCTCTGGACAGCTGTTGTCAACTGATGCCCAGTGCTGGAAATTAAATATGCACGAGGCCTTATGAAAATATAAGAAATAAAAGGAGAGTAATGTTCAGTACATTCCTATTCAGTGCACCATGCTCCCCATGTCCACACCAGAGGACGGGATGAAGGAGTCCGGGGCTTGAATCCCCCTGGATGGGCCACCCGAGGAACACAGGCAGCCCTGGCACTGACATGCTTGAAATGAACGACTCAGCTAACGCTGCAAACCAAACAAATGCAGTGTCTTCTTGATTTACATGACATACCCTCCTGGAGAATTCAGGTATGTTCAAGCCATTTGAAACAACAAACAACAACCAAAACAACTGTGTTAAAATGTAACACAGAAGTAGTCTCTGGGTTTCGATCGCCGTGAATAGGTTTGCAGCCACCATGTGTGTCCAACAGGACGCCAGGACGTCTATCGGGTGGAGGCAGTGGTCTGTTCAGGACACCTGGGGACACCACAGGGTCCTGCCATGTCTGGCCTGTGTCCACTCAATGCCCCCTTTCATACGATTCATAAACGTGCCCACAGATTCCCGAACATCCCCGTGGCAGCAGCCTCCACTGGGAACCCTCGGCTTAGATCATGTGTCCTGGGTCCCAGATCCTCCTCACCAACAGGAAGCCCAGGGTCATTCTGGGGCTGCGTATCTTAATTTGTATCTAGAAGGGGCAGGGCACAGCTGTGATTGGTGGCGAGCCGCAGTGACTCCAGCAGTCAGTAGAGGGCGCTGTTCGGTCGCTTTGTGGTTTGGACCAGGTTTCCGTTCTGCCGTCGGGCTGGGGGGTGGGTGGGCTGCTTTTGGGTCCTGCTCCCCCATTGGTGTCTGTGATCTCTTATGAGAATGTCACAGCCCCCAGGTGGGTGCTGTCAGGGGCGTTGCGCTCTTTCTCATAGCATAAACCCTACCCGGGGTTCTGAGAGCCCCCCGACCATGCCTGGGGCTCGCGAGGAAGGCAGGGAGCTTCCAAGGTCCCCATAGCAACCGAAGTCGAAGCGAGGGAGAGGCAGAGACGGTCGGAGGCAGGACACGGGAGACAGAGAAAGACGGGGGTCCAGTCCAGCTCATTCCAGGACCCCAGCCCTCCTCAGCCCCTTTCCTTTCCTCACTGGGGTCTGCCCTGCACAGCTGGATTATGGGGAGTCTCTGTCCTGCCGGTTGTTGCCAGCAGATCTCTCCATCTGATGCTATTTCATTTGATGGAAGCAACCTCGATCCAGCCCACACGGGCAGCAGGAGTCAATGGTGAAGCTTCTAGAATGTGCACGAAGCATTGTCCTGTCTGAGGAAGGCACAGGCTCAGGCTGGAGACAGGGAGCAGCTCTGTGGTGGGTGAAGGAGGAGTCCCACCTGGCTCAAGTTCTGGGGGAGCCCTCCCTCTCAGGGCACAGTGGGAAGTCTGGGCCGGGGGGACCACAGTGCAGGAGGTGTCTGCAGTGACTGCAGAAGGCAATGCCAGGAACGGCGGGGTGGGGCAAGTCAAGAAATTCTTTGGAAATGTAGGTGGGCGGTGCCCATGAATGAGGCAAGGAGGCAGCAGAGCCCTGTCCCGGGGTACAGGGCACCAGGTGGGGTAGGAGGAAAACGGAGCTGGTCATCCAGCTGGTGGCAGGGTGGCCTGAGGCTGAGGCCAGGGCCTGGGGCCAACCTTTCCATCCCTCCAGCCCTCAAAGGCTGGGCATGGTCTGTGAGGGAGAGGGATGCAGAGCCCCGCCTCGGAGGATGTCCCGGCCAGAGCAGCTCTCAGTAGCAGAGCTCCAGAGCAGGGAGGCCACACTTGGCGTGTGCTCTGAGGCCCGGGATAGCCCTGGAAGTTTCCCTCCCAGGGCTGGCAGCTGATGCTTCGGGGCATTGGATGGGACACCCAGGGCTTGAGATTTAGAGACCAGGACATCCTGACAGTGTCCCCTCTCAGTAGGGGCTTTTGGACAAGCTACTTCAAGAAAGTCTCTTTCCATATCTGTAAGACAAGGGCAATACTACCTCCCTTCTAGGGATGTTATGAGCTCTAGGGACCAGGCCCCGAGTGCAAGCTCAAAAACAAAAGCTGCTATTTTAAAGGAGCAGTTGTCTCTTTTCAAAAGGGAACAGATAGCTCAGAGCAAGAACCCCACCGCTGTGACCGCACTGCAGTGGAATTGTGGATCCGGCCCTAAGAGAGCCCCGGCAGTGGGAGCAGCACAGGAGGCCCAGGCAGGCAGCGCTCACAGGAGGCCCAAGCAGGCAGCGCTCACAGGAGGCCCAGGCAGGCAGCGCTCACAGGAGGCCCAGCCAGGCAGCGCTCACTGGCCTTCGTACATCTAAAACCGTCTTGGTGGGAGCGGAGAGCTGCCGTGTCCCAAGACAGTGCGATGGGGAGAGAACCACACTCAGGTCCAGAAGTGGATAAGGCTTCATGAGGACGTGAGATGGAATCCCCACTGCCACCAGCTCATTCATTTCCTATAGCTGCATCCATTTTTTTAAAAAAAGAGAAAAGAAGGCCACCCAATGTGTCACAGATGTTTAAACTTAATTAGCAAACAAATACAAAAAAGTGCCTGTTTGTTCATAATGTTTACTGTACAAAGAAACAAAACCCAGGAATAGTACAAGTATTGAACAGTAGCGAGAGTGGTTGTGAAATAAAGGACCACTTTGGAAGACAGTTTTATTGGCTTGCTGTCTTCACCAAGAAAGACTTGTGATTTTTGAAAACTTCTACCTGAAATGTATTTTTTCTGCTTTCCCGAGGAAGCGGCACTTACAGTGTTCCTAGGCTTTCCTGTGACGTGGGTGCCAGTCTGGATTCAAAATATCCTTGCATGCACTGCAGCTCCTTAGGGAGTCTTTTCCTGCCCTTGAGGCCTGGGCAGACTCTCCCCTGACACCCTCCCGCCCTCTCCCACGACGCAGCAGAAATAAAGCACAACCTCAGAAAGTCTCAGGCACGAAGAACTGTCCTCGGGTGGAGCATGGGACCTTTATTCGTTAAGACATCAGGCTCCAGATATGAACTTTCAGCAGAAGCGCTTGCCGGGAGCAAAGGGACAGAAAAGCTGAGATGAACAGTGCCTGGCAGCAATCACAGCCGGGCAAGGGTGCTCCGAGCCTCGCATCCCCCGGCCGGGGGCAGCTGGAGGTGCCTCAGAAGGTGCATTCTGCAAACAGAGCAAAGGCTTGTGTGAGCAGTCTCTCTCCACCCACGCTGCCCAGCTTCCCAAGGTCAGGGCAGGCTCCAAGGCCAGCACCTAGTGCTGCCTCCTCCCCAGAGTCACCGGGGAGTGTTGAGTCCCCACCACATGGGGGAATAGCCAAGATTCCCACCTCGGGTTGCTAAGCAAGATAGTGGGACCCAGGGATCAGGCAGATAACAAGCGAGATGGGCCTTGGCAGGGCCATGGCTGGCACTCAGAGGAGAGTGTAGTTCCAGTGGAGCTGAAGGAACAGGACCGGCAGTGGACAGTAGCCAGACCCCTCTCTCTCCTGGCCTTCTCTGGACCCCCACCCCCACCCCTACCCTGGACTTGCTGGGGAGGGTGAAGGGAGGCCCTGGGCAGGGGCCCATCATTGATCAGGGAGCCGGGGCCAGCAGGACTCAGCCTCCCGCATTTCACCCTAGGACAAAGGGCAAGAGAGGCCCCTCTGGATGCTGGTTCCAGGAAGGTACCTCACGCAGGTGCGGCCTTCGTGGGGGCTGAGCTGGCACTTGGACATGGCAGATGGCTTATAGCCAATCGCCCCACCCACGATGTGGGGCAGCTAAGCCTGGTGGAGCCAGGGTGGCAAACCCGTGTGCAGGGCCATCTGTTACCCGCACAGCACGCAGGCTCTCCGCCCCTGGGGAGGGAACCCCCAGGGTGGTTGCCCTGCACCTGCCCTCCACCACGGCAGAGAGAGGGAGAGGAGATGACCCTTGTGGGGGGCAGAGTGGGGGAGGTGGGGTGTGGCACCGAGGCCTGACGTCTAGGGCTGGGACCGCCTGCCGTCTGTGTAGGGGATGCCACAAATGACAAGACTCTGGGGGGCCGATTTGCAAAAACAGCCCAAAAGTCGGCCCGGCTTTCCACACCTATGCGTTTCCACTTCTCTCAAGAATAGTTACTAAATCAGTTCCCTCTATGCGATGCCATCATTTTGAACACCTTTTTGAAACAATTGCTTTTATGTTTTACATAAAGGGGACAGAAGAGGACAGCCCCTGGCCATGGCTGCCCTAAGTGTGAAGCCTCTGCTCTGAGGCCTTGGAACAGGTGTGTGTGTGTGGCTTCCTGGGGTCCTTGTGCCTCCATCTCCAGCCCAGAAAGGACAGGGAGGCCCTGAGACCCCCTGCCTTATGGGGCTGGGCCCAGACCACGATGCCACTGGGGCCTTACCTGCTTCCTGCAGGGGCTTGAAACACCAAGGCACTCCAGGGATCCTGGAGTCAAAGCAGCAGCCCCGGTTGTTGCACTCCTTGGGGGTGACATGGGGGTAGCCGCAGTCCACCCTGTCCTTGGCTGGCACGGCACACTGGTTTGCAGCTGTCCCAGACAAAGCCCTGTCAGCTGCCAGAGCCCTTGCTGGGCTGCGGTGAGTGTGTTTGCTTCACTTTGCAAGTTTGCATCCTCCCGCTCCGCCCCACCCCGCCGAGTTCAACCACTGCTGAAACCCTCGCCCTTAGGAAGATGCACTTTCCCTGTGAATATTTAAAGAGAGGCAGTCTGTTAAATGCTCAGCTCGGGGACTCTGGCCATTTGCCTAAGTGTCTTTCTCCTTGGCACGCTCTTATCACCTTCTCGGGAAGTCACATACGGACCTGGGTACCTTCCAGCTGGCAGGAACCCCTGGGGAATCTGGGGTCCCTTGAACCCAGAAACAAAGTTACCCTTCATTGTTTGACCAACAAAACCTTGCCCCTTTGTTTTAAATGAAAACCGTGACAGGAGAGGCACACGCCATAGAGATCATTGCAACGCATGCTGCCTGCTTTTCACTTTTTTCTGCATCTCCCCTTCCTGAATTGTTGAGCATGTCCCACCCTCCCGGGACATCCTTCAGTCCCCAATATTTTCATGTTTCAGGCAAGCCTCTATGTCTGTATGTGCAGCAGAAGTTCACTGCGTTTCATTAACGAACTGAGTATTTCCTTAGGAAAATGGCAATCACGTGCAGTGTCTTACATTCCCTTCTCTTGCTCCCAGTCCGTAATTGCTTATCCTCCTGGCATCCAAACTTCGCTCACACTGGAATCAGCTGCAGAGCTTTAAAAATGACTGACGTTGGCTGGGCATGGTGGCTTACACCTGTAATTCCAGCACTTTGGGAGGCCAAGGCAGGAGGATCACTTGAGGCCAGGAGTTTGAGACCAGCTTGGCCAACATAGCGAAACTCCATCTCTACTAAAAATCCAAAAAATTAGCTGGGCATGGTGGTGCATGCCTGTAATCCCAGCTACTTGAAGCCGAGGCACAAGAATTGCTTGAACCCAGGAGGCGGAGGTTGCAGTGAGCTGAGATTGTGCCACTGCACTCCAGCAGTGAGTGACAAAGCAAGGCTATCTCAAAACAAAACAGCTGAGGCCTGGATCTTGCCTGGAGATGCCCTGATGTAACTGGTGTGCCCCAAGCATTAGGATTTTTAAAGCTCTCCAGGTGATTCTAATGGGCTGCAAGTTCGGGAACCACTGCCTTTGACCCTGCTCAGAAGACACCCAGATAAAAGCCATGCCCTCATTCCTTCAAACTTGGGTTAATGGAGCAGCCACACCCCATGGCAGGGTTGCTATGCAATGGCTAAATGAACCTTGTGCCTGCCGGTATTGACAGTGTTCTGAAGTCAGGGTTTTTCTCCTGCATCTTTCCTTTTTCTTTGTAAATGTGGAACAATGCATAAAGACCTATATTGTAATTTAGAAATCTCCAGCAAAGATGGCTATGGGGTCATAGGGGATGGGCTCAGGCTCAAACCCTGATTTCAACACAGACTGGGCAGGGCTGCCTTGGATAAGTTGTTAACTTTCTCTGAGCCTCGGTTTCCTTGTCTGTGAAATGGGGACAATAAAGACCCACTTCAAAGGGCTAGCGCAGGAAAAAGTGTATATGTGACAGGTGGCCATTATTAAATGAATGCAGAATCCCCCCTTATCCTGGATCCCTTCCCTTCACGCCCACCCTGCCACCGGGGCAGTCAGGGCAGTACTCACACAGGCCCACGTACTCCTCAGCAGAGCTGGAGGACAGCAAGGCCAGGACCAGCCCCAGCATGCAGAGCGCTCTGGCAGCCATGACCACCGTGGGCTCCGGGACGCAGCTCAGGACTCGCTTCATGGTCCAGGAGGCCTCATTTATGCACCGTTGTTTGCACAGCTGCTCTGGATTGTTTGCTTGGGGAAGGCTCTCCCTCCTGGCTGTGGCTGCTCCTGTTCTCTCCTGCATGCCTTTGTCAAGCTCCCAGACAGTTTTTCTCTCCCAAAGGGGAGAGGTCAGTTCAGCCCCCACTGTTTTGGCAGCAAGCGGTAAGGGCGGATTCCAGTTCTGGTTCCGGGTCCTCTACTGGGGAGCGGATGTGTGTCAATTGCCCTCCTAGCCTGGCCTGGTGTAGTGTGCAGGAGCCATGTGGGGTGGCAGGACCAGGGTGTGGTGTCCGTTCCATCTCAGCCTCCCAGCCAGAAGCCCTCAGAACACCCCTGGTCCCATGACAAGAGAGCCCCAGGCTGCTTCATCCCAGATCGGCCTCGGAGACAGGCAGCTCTGAGTGAGTCAGGACCCTGCGGCTCTCTCACAACTCCTGAAACACAGAGATTCCTTGTCTTTCCTTTTTGCTTTCTCCCCTAAAAATTAGTAACTACATTTTAATAAGTGGATGAAATGAATTGATTGAAAATATGTTAGTAAAAACATGGTACACATAATTGATTTTTAAAATCAAATAATACAAAAGAGCCTTTCCTATCCAGAGGCATCTATTGATCTATTGTGAACACTTTTTTAGGTATCCTTTCAGAATTTTTCTCTCTGGATCTAAGCACGTTTTTTTGGTTTGTTTTTGTTTGTTTGTTTGTTTTGTTTTTTTTTTGTTTTTTTTTTGTTTTTTTTTTTTGGAGACAGGGTCTTGCTCTGTTACCCAGGCTGGAGTGCAGTGGCACAATCTCAACTCACTGAGACCCCCGCCCTCGCGGGGCTCAAGTGATCCTCCCACCTCAGCCTCCTAAGTAGCTGGGCCACAGGCATGTGTCCAGCTAATATTTTGTATTTTTTTAGAGACCAGGTGTCGCCATGTTGGCCAGGCTGGTCTCAGACTCCTGGACTCAAGTGATCTGCCTTCCTTGGCCTCCCAAAGTGTCAGGATTACAGGCATGAGCCACTGCACTCGGCCACATTTTTAACACAAACAGGAACTGACTCTCCACCTTTGCCCAGCGTGCTCTTTTAAAAACTAAAGACTACATCTCAGGAATTGTTTTATAACAACATATCAGATGAGACAGCGATGATTCTATCCATTTTCCAGAGGAAGAAACTAAGACTCAACATTTCCGGTGCCTATCAGAGGTTACTCCAGTGTCCCTGGTATAGCTGGTATTTAACCCACTCCCAGGACCCTAAGCCTCCGCCCTCGGCATCCGCAGCATCCCCCAACCCCCCAACCTCCTGCAGTGGACTGGCTGGTAGTGGGCAAGAGACTAATCTCATTCCAGGAAAACGGGCCCCTAGATTTTGTGTTCTCCGTGTTTCTTTTCCAGGGAGGCATTTTGATGACCCCCACTGGCCCTTCCAGGAGCCTCTGTCTGAAGGGTGGACTTGGTTTATCACCCCGAGAAATGGGAGCGCCTGGCTGCTTGGATTTAGCCTGCAGCTGGGGTCCCCGGTGGTGTGTGCAGGGCGGCCTTGAGCCTCCAAGGGTGCATCCACAAACTGCCCTTCCCCGAGTGACCCATGGGAGCTCGATGGCGTACGTGCTGAGCACCAGGATGTGTCCTGCCCTGTGACTCCCAGGCCCCGCCCTTGCGCTCAGCACGCCCTTTGTGGATGGATTTGAGGGCCCCTGGCCTCTGATGTGCCACTCCCGCTGAGGCCAGCGAAGGAGGAAGAAGGAAAGAGCGTTGCCTGCCTTGTTTTCGGGGCACTCACTTTTTCTGGGAGACAGCGGACCCAGGTTCATCAATGGACAGCAGGATTTTCATGTTATTAAAAAGGTCATTGTAGGGGAAATCCCTGGGGGATCTGGTGAGATCTCCCTGGGGGATCTGGTGAGATCTCCCTGCCTTCCCACTGCTCCTAGTACCCAGAGGCCAGGCCAGGTCGTGGTGCAGGGCTGAGTTCCAGGAGGGTGCAAACACCCCAGGAACAGACTGCTGCCCCTCCGGCCCTCATGACCTGCTGGGGAAGGACCCCCGCAAGGAGCTTCTGCAGGTGCTGTGGTCTCCACCTGCTGCACTCAAAATTGCCTGGAGTGGGGAGAATATCAATGCCTGGGCCCCGCCCTGACAGGTGGTTCTGTCGCCTGTGATTCTTCTCTGCGGCCAGCACCGAGAACCCTGCTGGGGTTTGCTTCCGTTTAACTAGTGAATGTTGACTGAGCTCCTACTGCCTACACCCAGGGTTTAGGGCTGGGGAAGGAATAACAAAGGTGACACATTCTTGTCCTTGAAGAGTCCCCCCGCAAAGGGAGACGGGATCATGTCAGAGTTAAGATGGTGAAGCCAAGACTAGGTTCTGTGCTGCCTGACCTTGGGCAAGTCACGTCCCATCTGTACCTCAGTTTCCCTACATGTCACAGGGTGCTCACCCCACAGGACAGCATGAAGTGGTGCTGCACAGCCCAGCCAGGTGCCTGGGACACACACTGACCACCTGCCGGGTGTGCTGGATCAACCATGATGGCAGAGGAGAGGATTCCTGGTCCCGGCTCTGGTAGGAGCAAAGGCTGTGGCAAGGGGGCCAGAGCTGGGTCCTGTCAGGTGGAGACGCACAGGCTTCTCAGAGAAGGGGGATTTGGGCTGCACCTCTGGAGAGGTCAATGGGGAGGCCCGTGTGTGTCCCCTCTCTCTGTTCTAGGAGCCCCCTCCCCAGGAGCCCTGGGCTCTGTACAGGAACAGAGGATGGCATGGGAGAGCCCAACCTGCCTTCCAGAGCCTGCATTCCCACAGCCTTCCCCAGCCACCCTATTCCCCTGGGGGAGTTCCAGTTCCAGAGAAAAAGCAGAGCTGTTGTCAGAGCTGTAGGCCGTGCGGTAGTGGGCATCGGGCCCAACCCAGACAGGTGGCTCCCCTGGGCAACCCAAGACCTGGGGGTGAGCAGGACTGGCTCTAAAGGAGCCTCTCCCTTTCCTCCTTGGGAGCCGCATCCCGCATCCCTGCAGCAGCCTCGTCAGCTGTGTGCGGTGTGGCGGTGTGGGCCGTCCCAGGAGCCCTGCAAATCCCTCCCACCCTGGGCCTTGTGCAGGGGCTCCTGGATGGATCCAAGAAGAAGACAGTCTGCTCCCCCATGCCGGGGCTGCAACCTTTCACCTCCCGGATGCGTGGTCATTGTCACGTGCATATAACAAGCACAAGCTGAGCATGGGTCCCAGGTCAGGCACTCGGCCTGCAGATGTGGGAGCCCCAGAACATCAGGCAGAGCCCGTGCCCTCAGAGCTCACAGGCTGGTGAGGAGGAACAAGCCTTCAAGCATGAATTGTGGTGCAGTATGATTAGAGCTGGCAGAGTGGGGTGAAATCTGACTAGGTCTTGAGGGATGAGTACAAGTTCACCAGATGGGAGGGGTGAAGGTCAGAGGGGCACATTTCATTTTATTTTATCTTATCTTATTTTATTTTATGTTATGTTAAGTTATTTTATTTTATTTTATTTTATTTTGAGACAGGGTTTCTCTCCCATCACCCAGGCTGGAGTACAGTGGTTCAACCTCAGCTCACTACAGCCTACACCTCCCAGGCTTAAACGATCCTCCTCCCTCAGCCTCCCGAGTAGCTGGGATTACAGGTGCATGCCACCACACTTGGCTAATTTTTGTATTTTTAGTAGAGACAGGGTTTCACCATGTTGGCCAAGCTGGTCTCGAACTCCTGACTTCAGGCAACCCATCTCTCTTGGCCTCCCAAAGTGCTAGGATTACAGGTGCACGCCACCATGCCCGGCTAATTTTTGTATTTTTAGTAGAGCTGAGGTTTCACCATGTTGGCCAGGCTGGTCTCAAACTCCTAACCTCAAGTGATTTGCCTGCCTCAGCCTCCCAAAGTGCAGAGGGGCAGGTAAGGCCATAACACTGCCTACTTTGCACTAACTCACTGCCCCACAGAAAACTCAGAGTTGATGTGGCACATGCAGGTTATAGGGTCTGCATCACCGCTCAGTTTTCTGGTATTGTCACTCGATTACTCAAGCAGCAGACAGTCCGAGGGAGGAAGGAAGTAGGAAGTTGTGCTAATCAGCACCCGTGGGTGGCCCAGGGCCGCACACCTCCCAGGAGCACCCTGCTGCCCAGCTGTCTCTCGGTCTGCAGCTGCCATGGGTGCCGCCCCTCACTCTGCACAGAACTTCCTCCTGCCTCCCTGAGAGAGGCTCGAAGACCCTTCCTGAGTCATCACGACCTGAATGTAGGTGCTTTGGGGAGGCAAACGCAGTGACCCATTCAAGGATGCTTCTGTCTTGACACATAGTCCACTGAGGACAAATGGGGGTGGGGACCAGGAGCAGAGCAAATGCCACCACCACGTGTAAAACAGGAAGGTCAGAACGCAGAGCAGCCCAGTGGGCTCGGAAGGGGGCATGGGCTCCAGGGTTCCCTTGTGCAGCTCAAGGAGCACTTGGTGCTGTTTCAGCCACTCGTCTTGAGAAGCAGCCACAGAGCCCTCTAAACCCAGAGCGTCTGTGGGTTTGGGACCGTTGCATCAGCCCCACGTGCAAGGGACAGGAAAGGTTCCCAGAAAGGCATGGACTGACGGCCAGAAATAATGCAGCTGACCGCGGTGGACAGGAGCACCTCACCCGCAGCCCCACCTGCTGGGCCCAGATGGGCCCTTCCCCAGCAGCCAGACCTGCTCTACCAGGAAGCAGAGCCTGAGAGGAGGGTGCAAGGCCCTCACCCAGGCACCGGAGGCACCGTGTCACCTCACCTTCCGTGTGATGCACTCCAGTCTGCAGTCCTGCACTGAGCCAGTCCTGGGCCGACAGCTGGGAGCCCCTCTTGTACCAGACCTGGGCTGATGGCATGCAGTTCTCAGAGACAGTCCCTGAATGCATTGGTGCAGGCAGCCAAGTTCAACAGCCCCAGACAGCACAGGGGACCCCATGGGGAGCCAGGTCCTCCCACCACCAGACTGGGAAGCCGCAGCCACTCTCGGCCTTCGGACTTGGCTCATACCTGTGAGTCAAGCCTTTATCACCAAGTGATTCCCAAGTACATTGAGTTGAAGGGTGTCCTCCCCAAAATTCACGTCCCTCCTGAAACCTCGGAATGTAACCTTATTTGGAAATAAAGTTTTTGCGGTTGTAATTAAACTAAGATAAGGTCTAGATCAAGCTTGTTCAATGTGAGGTCTGTCTGCCACATGCAACCCAGGATGGCTTTGAAGACGGCCCTACACAAATCCGTAAACTTTCTTAAAATGTTATGAGATTTTTTTTGTGATTTTTTTTTTTGGCTCATCAACTATCTTTAGTGTTAGTGTATTTCACGTGTGGCCCAAGACAATTCTTCTTCTTCTGGTGTGACCCAGGGAAGCCAGAAGACTGGACACCCTCGGTCTAGATGGATCCGCTCGCCATCTGGCCTGGTCTAGATGGAGTAGGGTGGGCCCTAAATCCAATATGACTAGTGTCATTATAAGAAGAGAAGAAACACTGAGACACACACAGGGGTGCAGATGTGAGCACAGACGGGGCAGGGAGGCCACATGGCGATGGCAACTGGGGCAGAGACCGAGTGATATGCCTGCAAGCCAAGGAGGCCGGGGACTTCAGCACCCCCAGGAGCCGGAAGAGGCAGGCAGGACACTTCCCTGGAGCCCTCAGAGAGAGGAGGCCCTGTGACACCTTGACCTTGGACTTCTGACCTCCAGAGCTGAGAGAGAATAAACAAGAATAAACATCTGTTGTTTAAACCACCCAGCTTGCGGTGCTGGTTATGATGGCCCAGGACCCTCACACACAAGGGGCGCCTGGCAGCAGGGTCTTTTCAGCCTGTGCTTTCTGGTGTGAGGGAAGAGGGAAGGGAAGGACACATTGAACGATCCCAGTGGCTTGTCTCATGGTGACCTCTCCCTTCCTGCCCTGGCCTGGCTCCCTGGGGCCCTGGATGAGCTCTTCCCGGGTGCTCAGTGCCCCCTAGCCAGGACCACGGGTCCACTCGGCCGCCTGGATGCCTTTGACCCCACACATCGCCAGGCCTCGGCCTTTGTCCTTCCCGGCACCCATCCGATTGCTGGTCTCCATGAGTCCCTGGCTATCATCAATCCCCAGACATGTATTTGATCCCTTCCCAAACTCCCCTGTCACCAGAATTATCCCCAGTGGACTCTTTCATTCCCATTTCCTTGTCTCAGGGGAGGCTAAGACAACACTGGCTGGTGAGGGCTCCGGGACTCTCGCGTTCTGGTGGGGCTTGGGCTGGGCTCTGCCCGATGGAGGGCAGGGCACGCGGCAGCTCATGCCCAGGGCACAGCGGGACAGAGAGGCAGCCCTGTGAGAGGCTGTCAAAGCCAGGACACTTTTCAGACAGGTGAGTGGAGGTGCTGTGAATAATGATGCCAGGACAAGAGTTGTGGCCAGGGAGTGTGCCTGGCAAACTGGGACCAGGACCCCCTGCCAAGAGGACATTCCACAAGCCCCCCACTGGGCTGCAGTCATTTCCAGAGACTTGAACACTGTGGAACTAGGACAGAGGGAGGAACAGGCACCCCCCCCAACTTTGGAAATGGAGACACAGTCAGGTGATCCCAACACACGTGTGGCATAGCATCATGCCCTGACATATGTGGTCGTGCACAGATGGGGAAGGTACATGGATACATGTGTGTGCATCTGGCCCTGCAATGGGTCGGGGAGCTAAGGAGCCACACAGCACTCACGGGGCCAACCACAGCACTAGGTGTCTTTGTCTTTGTCTCCCATTCTGTGGGGATTGGTTCCTTCTCTTTTGGAAAGAAAAGTCAGTTAATCCTATGGTTTCTAAAGTCACAAAACATAGTTGCCATTTAGGCATAGTTGCCATTTAGGAGTTGACATGTCCAGTCCCATATGACAATCAAAATTCTGAACTTGACTTAAAATTAGATGTTTTCATTTGATGCCATAAAGGAATTAGTGGACATTTTTAGCATGGGGTGGATCTTTGAGTGTGTAGCTCTACGTATATGACACACATATGGATGTAAACGTTTACATGTATCAGTATCTCTTCAAGGTATAGACTGAAATATTATGTATAATCTGTGGAATTGTCTTCAAAATAATTCAGGAAGGATAATTAGAGGTAGTAAGTATAGATAAAACAAGATTGGCCATAAGTTGATACTTGCTGAAACTCATTGATGGGGGTTCATCATACTATTATCTCTACTTTAATATATGTTTGCAATTTGCCATAATTAATAAATTGAACCCTCTCCCTCTCCTGGCCTGCTGCTCCAGGGGTAGGAACAGTTGTTGGGGCAAGGGCAGGGTAGAGGGGAGTAAGGGGAACTGGGAATGGGGAACGGAAGCTCTTCCTATACTGGACTGATGTTTCCCAGGTTGGCTCCACATTCTCTGGGCCCATCAGGTGCTTGAAACAAACGCCTTATCTCATGTGCTGCTTCCGGGGGGTCTTCAGGGGTTCCTCATCTGCAGATCCTTGGACACTGGGGATGCACTTTCCACTAGCTCATCAATTTCTCCTCCCATCCCCGGGAACATGGTGTTGTCTTTGGTTTCTCTGAGATGATGTCTGCTCCCACCTCAAGTGTCTCTCTTGTACAAAGTCTAGGATGACGGACACAGTTCTCTTGAGCTCCATGGCTTACCTGTGGTTCACCGGACACATTTGTGCCTCCTTCACCCCAACACACTCTGGGATGCAGGCAGATCCTAACGGTTCGTCCTGTTCCTCACTAGATATTAGAGTCCCCAAGAGTCAGAAACCGGTGTCCTGTAGCCTCCAACCATGGAGGACATGCACCACGCTCTCTTGGTGGACCCACTAAGACCTCATTCCTAAGACCTGAGACTAGAGACAGGCACACCCCACCCTTACCCCCTGTGGCAAGATGACAGTGAGAGAGACTCACAGCATATCAGCAACTCCTTAAAAATTCTCACACTTAGCATTTTCTACAAAATTCCCTTCCCTTAAACCTTTTGTAGCATCAGTAGAGGCAAAATACTGAAGAATCATCTAACAATTCTCAGCCAAATTGTTTTTGATGTTTCATGGTCTATTGTCTCACTTTGAAATATGACATCTACTGTTTCTTGATGTCTCAGCTAAATCTCCTCTCCAACACCCACAACACCAAGAGTTCCAACTATATTTATTCATTGTGTTACGGGAAAGGCGTCCTGATCCAAACCCCAAGAGAGGGTTCTTGGATCTTGGGCAAGAAAGAATTCAGGGCGAGTTCACAGTGCAAAGAGAAAGCAAGTTTATTAAGAAAGTAAAGGAATAAAAGAACGGCTACTCCATAGACAGAGCAGCCCTGAGGGCTGCTGGTTGCCCATTTTTATGGTTATTCTTGACGATATGGCAAACAAGGGGTGGATTATTCATGCCTCCCCTTTTTAGATCATCTAAGGTAACTTTCTGACGTTGCCATGGCATTTGTAAACTGTCATGGCGCGGGTGGGAGTGTAAAAATGAGGACGACCACAGGTCACTCTCGTGGCCATTTTGGTTTCAGTGGGTTTTGGCCGGCTCCTTCACTGCAACCTGTTTTATCAGCAAGGTCTTTATGACCTGTATTTTGTGCTGACCGCCTATCTCATCCTGTGACTTAGAATGTCTTAACCGTCTGGGAATGCAGCTCTGTAGGTTTCAGCCTCATTTACCCAGCTCCTATTTAAGATGGAGTTGCTCTGGTTCATATGCCTCTGACAATTGGATTCTGTATTTAGATATAAAACCCAAAGACAGAGGTCTAAATGTGTTTCTTGAGGGCTCCTACTGGGCAGATAACTGTGACAGACTTTGGTGAGAGAGAACAAAGGCAAAAAATGTGTAGCTCCTTCCCATGAGAGACTTTGGAGTATAAGGGAAGACTAGATGTGCAGACAAATTATGGACTTTACCGAAGGGCCTGAAAGAAGAATTGAGGAAGCAGAGACGTGCCTATTCAAGGATGAGAAGACCATGGATTCTAAAGGTGGTAATTTTCTCAAAATAAACTATATATTCAACTTATTTTCTATCAAAGTCTCAAAGGAAGATTGTAATTAAATGTCACAAACTGACTTCAGGATTTAAATGAAAAGATAAAGCACCAAAAATACCTAGTAAAAGTTTAAAGAACGGTTCCCAGGAAGAGGAAAAGAAGAATCAGAAGATATCTATCCTATCAGACATTAAGACTGATTACAAAACTACTGTGTTTAAAGCAGGGAAGTACGGGTGCGGGGATAAAATCAGACAACTGGAGCAGAACAGAAAGGTCAGAAATAGATCCATACACATAAGAAAATGTGGATAATATATTTGATATCAATGGGGAAACAGGACAATTGAATAAATGGTACCATGACAATCAGTTATCTGTATTTTAAAAAGACAAATTCAGATCCCCACCTAATGACGCTAAGCTATTTTTAATTATCTACATTGAAAAAGGTAAATTTAGAACCACAATTTAACAACCCATTAACAAGTTTTCCTCTCTGCCCTGGCTGGCTTCCTGGGGAGCTGGACGAGCTCTGCCTGGGTGCTCAGTGCCCCTGAGCCAGGACACTTAGTACTGCGGTCCGTCCCGTTTATGCTGTGTGGCTCCTCAGCTTCCTGACCCATTGCAGGGCCAGATGCACACACATGCATCCATGTACCTTCCCCGTCTGTGCATGACCATGTATGTCAGAGCATGACAATATGCCACATTTGTGTTGGGATTGCTTGTCTGTGTCTCCGTGCCCAAAACTGGGGGAGTGCCTGTTCCTCCCTCTGTCCAAGTCCCACAGTGTTCAAAGTGAATTACAGGCCCAAAGTGAAAAGTAAAACTTTAAGTCACTAAAAGTAGAGATAGTCAACCAGCTCATACTAGACCCTGCCCTTCTTGATATAACAATGAAAACTCTGGAAAAAGCACAAAGCAATGGCCTGATGGCACTGGAAAGTGAGAAAAACAAACCAAGCACAGCTGTCTGAGATCCTGGAGGGGAGCTGACCCTGGAAGAAGGAGAGGGAATGCTGCGAATTTATTTCTGTATGGGATTTTGCCTGAGGGTAGGTCACAGTGGGTGTTGTATAGTTGCGGCTAAAACACCAGTGGAAACCTGTGGTCCTTCAGGCTGGAGAATCACTGTACTGAGAAAAGGGCAAACCCAGCTGCAGGAAAGCGAAAGAGGAATCCCAGAAAGGAGAGAGCTAGAGAGGAGAAGCTCCAAATTCTGTGTGAAAACCCTTCCCAAGTCTCTCTCTGACCCATGGACCATCCACATACAGGACAGACTCTGGCTAAAGATGAAGAAACTGAAGTTTGAATGACACCCAAGAAGCAGAGTTTGACGTTTGAATCCAATGGAGATGATTGCCTGTCAAAACAAACATACAAAATAAATAAACAGGCAAACACAACTATCTTCAGAGGAATAGAACAGAATCTGCATTCCCCACAACGTAGCAACACAATGTCCTGGCCACAATCGGAAATTACTAAACACACAACCAACAGGAATGTCTCATGCGTTCTGAAGAGAAAAAAAGCCATCAACCTGAGATGACCCAGACATTGCAATGACCAGATAAAGATTTTAAAACAATTAGTATAAGTATGCTTGAGGAAATAAAGAAATATTGCTTATAATGTATGTAAAAATAGAAAATCCCAGAAAAAGAAAATTTAAAAACTGTGTAAAAATAACCAAGTAGAAAGTATAGAACTGAGGGGAGTCAGGTGTGGTGGCTCATGCCTGTAATCCCAGCACTTTGGGAGGCTGAGGCGGGTGGATTACGGGAGGTCAGGATTTCAAGACCAGCCTGGCCAACATGGCAAAACCCCGTCTCTACTAAAAAATACAAAAAACAAAAAATTAGCTGGGTGTAGTGGTGCACACCTGTAGTCTGAGCTACTTGGAAGGCTCAGGCAGGAGAATCACTTGAACCCAGGAGATGGAGGTTGCAGTAAGCCAAGATCACACCACTGCACTCCAGCCTGGGCAACAGAGCAAGACTCTGTCTCAAGAAAAAAACAAAAAGAACTGAGAAGTATATGTGTGAATAATAAATCTACAGTGAATATAAACTAAATAAATAAGTAAATGAAAGAATAGTAAATATGTACATGAAAGTAAAACGTATTGAAGTCTTAGAGTAAAGTGAAGATGACAGAGGAAAGTCAATTAACGTAAAAGATAGCACACTTTAAATTATCCAGTTTGAAGAATAGAAAGAAAAAAAAGGTTGAAGAAATGAACAAAGCCCCAACTACCTGTGGGACAATATCATAAAGTCTGACAGCGTGAAATCAGAAAAAAAAAAAAAAAAAAGTGGCCAGACATGGTGGCTCATGACTATAATCCCAGAACTTTGGGAGGCTGAGGTGGGAGGATCACTTGAGGCCAGGAGTTCGAGACCAGCCTGGCCAACAAAACGAAACCCTGTCTCTACTAAAAATACAAAAAAATTAGCTGGACATTGGGATGCACACCTACAATCCCAGCTAGTCAAGAGGCTGAGGCACGAGAATCTCTTGAACCTGGGAGGCGGAGACTGCAGTGAGCCGAGATTATGCCACTGCACTCCAGCCTGGGTGACAGTGAAACTCTTTCAAAAAAAAGAAAAAAAAAAAAGCCAGAGAAAAAATTAAGAATGCTGAATCTTTGAGAAGATATTTCTTTTTAAAAGATAAACCTCTAACGAGACTGGTCAGGAGAAAAAATAAAGAAAACACAAGCTACCAACATCAGGAATGAAAGATAGGCTATTACTATCATGGTACAGACATTAAAAGGATAACTAGATAATATTTAGAGTAACTTAATACCAACAAATTTGGTAACTTAAATATGAAATGAACAAATTCCCTGTAAAACACAATTTACCAAAATGGACACAGACAAAAAATAGGAAACCTAAATAGTCTTATGTCTATTAAAAATTTTGAAGTTGCTATCAAAAACCTTCCTACAAAGAAAATCGCAGGCTTGAGTGGTTTCACTGTTGCATTCTACCAAACACAAATGAAGACCTTTAATCCATACAAACCTAGGAAAAAGATGAGCTGGGCATATTTTCCGACTCACTTTATGAGGCCATCATAAGCCTAATATGAAAACTTGACAAATATATTATGAATAATGAAAGAGCAACATCAACACAGATTGAAAAATACTTATAAAAATATTAGCAAATTCAACCCAGCAAGATATAAAAACAATATGTCAAGATGTAGATTTTTTTTTCTAAGAAAAACAAGGTAGAGTTTAACATCAAATAATCAATGCAGTTTAACAGAAAAAAATTTTAAAACATGTAATCATTTCAATGAATGTGTAAAAAGCGTTTAACAAAATTAACACTGATACATGATAAAAATTCCCAGAAAACTCGGAATAAAGAGATCATTCTTAAGCTAATAAAGGAAATCTACAAAAAATACAACATTATACTAACTGGTGAAATATTGAATATTCTCCTCCTAAAATCTAGGCCAAAGCAAGAATTCCCACTCTCATCACTTTTATTTAACATTGTAATGGTGCTTCTAGCAATGGTATAAAGCAAGGAATAAAAGGCATAAAGATCAGAAAGGAAGAAGGAAAACTGTCTTTATTCAAGGAAGATCATTTGATTTTCAATTGCCTGTTGCTAATATATGAACACCATTGATTTTTGTATATTAACTTTGTTTCCTGTAACCTTGTTTTAAAGAATTTTTTAAATAGATTTTTTAAAGGATGCTCTAAAATAGCACAAATCATGAAGGTGCAGTTGATAAATCTGACTCAATTACAATTAAGGATATCTATTCATCAAGACATGATAGAGGAGTAAAAAAAAAAGTCTAGTCATGAACTAGGAAAAGATATTTGAAACCCATGTAACTGACAAAGGATTGCTATAAAGGATAGGTAAAGAACTCCTTCAAACCAGTGAGAAAAAGACAAATAACATGATTTTTTAAATATACAAATAGGATTGCCACTGAAAAGAAAAGCTAGGTAGTCAATAAGGATATGGAAAGAAGCTCAACCTCACAAAAAGTCAAGGAATTACAAATAAACCAATGTTAAAATATCACTTTACTTAACATCAGATTGCACTGATTACCAAATGTCGACAAGTTGTGGAGAAATAGAAACTCTTATGCAAATCTGGCAAAAAGGTAATTGACACACCCTCTTTGGCAAGCATTTTGACAACAGCCAGTAAATTGAAGAAGTCCGTATTGTTCTGATAGAAAGAAACTGGAAACATTATACCTAGTTGCCTATCAATTGGGGATTGAATCCTGTGGAATATTATACACATGTTAAAATGAATGAAGCAAATATATTTTTATTAATGCAAATACATTTCAAAAGTTAAAAATAAGATATAAGTTGAAAAGGCTGCATACTAGGATACCATTTCTGATTATTTTAAAAAACAACAAAATAATACCATGTATTGTTTATGGGTATCATGGGAATAATGCCCACTGACTCAGGAAGAGTGGTTAATTCTGGGGAGGGAGGAAAAAGGATGGATTAAAGGAGTACTTTTATGATTTTATTTCTTTTTAAAATGAGAGGCATTTTTAAAGTGAGAGGCATCAAGGCATAAGTAACTGACAAGTTGATGAATCTGGGTAGCACATATATAGATGACACTACATTAGATACCATTCAAGGAAAGGCATTTGACATATGGCTATTTAAAATTTTTATTTAAAGAAATCCAAATAACGCAGGTGGTGTGGGCAGCAAGTCCCAGCTGCTGGGTGTGAGAGAGGCTGGGAGAAGCCAGCCCTGAGGCTGGGAGTGGCACATGGGTCCTGGTTTGGGGGCCATTCTCATGCTTCATCCCGGTTGCCTGGCCAATACCCCAGGGGTTTATCTGGTGAGGGATGGGGAAGGGACCACTGACAGAGTAGGAGCATTGCCATCTTGGACAAGCACCGCCATTTTAAAGTTCACCTTGATCAAAAACTGCCTAAATCCAAAGGGCATCAGCCTAATGGCTAAGGTCAGCAGGACCATAAACCACAAATGACATCTCTGACCAGAAACTTTCCAACCATAAGAAATAAACTCCTCCCCGACCAGAGGCATGCCAGGCCCAAGATAACCTCCCCTCCAGCCAGAGACATTCCAACCCCACCATAAAGTTCTCCCCAACACGGAAACATTCCAAGCTTGTGATAAGCTCTCACCCTAAAACCAATAAATACTCTTAGTCTGTAAGAGAGAGTGCTCCTGACCAAAGTGACCAGAAGCCCCTCTCAGGTTTATTCTCCAAAATCAACCTGTCTTTGACTGTTGAGCCACTTTTTGCATTTCTTTCCTCTTTCTTTAACTCTTACAACCACTTTTAAATCCCAGAAGCATCCAGCTTGATGGCAAATAAAAGTCTTAAGTCCTTTCACATTTTAAAATTTTAATTCCCAGGTCTTTGGGCCCCTGCAGTGCAATCTCAACTTTCTCTCTATATTAGCAGAGTCGACAGATCCACCTGAGGATGAGTGCCTGACTGTGTCCTGGACAAGCAAGGAGCTTGAACTAGAGAGGGAATTAACATCCCAGTGGAGAAGCACTAGAAAGAGTCAATGTTTAATACAAGTAATCTCTGGATCAAATGCACCATGGGTGTGTCACCCATGCTGTGCCCCAGGTCATCCCTCCCCTCGAAGTCTGTCAGAGAACATAAACTAAAGATTATTTTTCTGACTTCTTGAAAATGACCATTACTTTGTTCAAAGAGAAGAAGGGTCATTGGTGGCTGCTCACCACTAGAGGAGAAGAAACGGTCTCTTTGATTTTTCATGGGAATCTAGAAATAGAATGGTCAGAATTGAAAGTACCTTACATCTCATAAAATGCAACCATAGCTGGTGCCTAATCCCACCACATTCTCTGCAATTGTTAGCCTAGATGACTAGAGAGTAGTTTTTAGGGAATTCAAAAGAAATTGAAAGCAGGGCCCACCCTTAAGAAATATGTTGTCTACCAAAACAAAAACATGGTGGGACTATCAGAACTGCAAAGTGACTGTATGAGATGGCCCAGATGGAAACCACACATGACCTCTGGAGCCTTACCCTGGGGCTTCCCTGTTTGTGCAGAGAAAAGGGTGATTTCCCTGTGTGGAGGAGGAGCCCCTTACAGTCGGCTACCTTTCCAGGGCTGGTGTCCACAGGACTCTGGGTGGTTTGTGCTAAAGGTGCCCTGTGGACATTTCTTAGGTTTGAGGCAGGCATGCCTCTCACTTGACTCTTCCTACTCACCATCAGCTCCATGTTTCAAAGGATGCTTTTTCCCTGCTGTAATGTATTCATCTCATTCACTGTTTACTCCATCCAGGAACTGAAAGCAAAGTGTGAGATCACAAAATATGGCAACATCTTCAGGCAAGAGCCTACCTTAATTGCCAATGCCTCCTGGTGGCTCTTCATTATAGAGGCAGCCCATGTTCTCAAGACTTATAATAGCCCTGTTTTACATATCAAATGGCAAGAAGCTAAATACCAACTCTCCTTAATACATTATTCATACTTCCGTGGCACTCATATGATATCTTGTTTTTCAATGTCTTAAGGAGTTTTACCAAAGAGTTAAGATTTGTTGAGTTCCTATGGACAGAAGTATTATTGAACAAAGAATATCAGTCAATATTTATTTAACATCCACTGTGTGCACAGCCTTCAGTCCAGGTGCTGTGGGAGGTTACAAAAGAAGAAGATGATATGGTCAGTGTTGATAAGAAAGCTGCAGTCATGGAGGCATCATAAACTCCAACTCAGCCCCCAGCATTATGAAATCCATGCAGCATTCATATCGATATGTCGTGTCCTCTAGCAGCTCAACATATTAAGAGGGGTTGAGAAGGTAAATATGGTCATTTAAAAAATCAATTCACAGATACACATACAGTCAACAGGGAGGAAAAATATGTGGTTTTAGGCCTCAATGTTAGCACAACACTCCTAATAGAGGAAGTCTTAAAGGGAAAGAAGACTCTGAATTGGCTCTGCCAGGCAGAGGTGATCTGACTGAGTCAATGGAGATGTGTTACTTGAGAGGTGAGAAAGAGGATAGTAAATGGAGATGCAACAAGAAAATACCTTTCTCCAGGGCAGCAGGGCAGGGCCAGACAGTCCTGAGACTCAGAGTAGAAATGGTGGATGATGCCCTGGACAGCCCTTGGGCAGAAGAGTACTTGACTTCCAGATGGCAGCTGCTCAAGAACCCAAGGTGCAGTGGCCATGACCTGGGCTCTTCACTCTCCTCTACCCTCTTAGGTTCTTCAGCTCTCTGCAAATTAAACTTGTTAAAAAGGAAGATTAACAGGAGAAAAAGAAAACAAACTTGATGTTGATATTTTAATTTTTAAGTGCATAGAGACCTTCATAGAAAAGAAATGAAGATCCCAAGAAGTGGTTACACCTAGGGGCTTATATACCACTTTAACAATAGGTAATAAATTATGGAGAAGTGATAAGGGGAAGGGAAAGAAATTTGGAGTCCTAGAGGTGGGAAATTGTGGGAAGGTAAATATCTGAGGGAAACTAATGGAAGATGAGGGTTATTTTAGTAAAGTTCATTTGTGCAGACCCATCTCAGTGCCAACTTTCAGTCCCCTGGTAGGGGAGAGAGGAAGAAATACCTTCACAAAGGAAAATTTATGTCCTGCTTTGAGGCAGATTAAGGAGGCCAAAGTGCTCTTTCTGCATTTGATGCTTCTTCATTGCCTTCATCTCAAAATAATTCCTATTCCAAAGCGGCATATCTCGGGGATAGCAATTCTGATCTCCTTCACTTTCATCTCTGCTGAGGTACAGGAAGACTGACAGGTGATGCCCCATAGGGTCTAGAGACAGAAAAGTGGAATTCAAGTTTTGTGGGTGTCATTGGACATCCAGCCATAGTTTCCTGCTGGATAATAATGATGCCTTCCTTGCCCACCCTCGCAAGGTAGGTGTGAGGCTCAAGCAATGGTAGGCAGTGCAACCTGAAGGGTGAAGCACTGTCCACCTGCTGTTAGCAGATGTCATTGCTGTTATAAGAAGTAAACACACAATGACTACTCTATAGTGGTTGTGACTGTCTCAAGATGCAAACTCTGTAGACATACTCAATCAGTCCCTCATGATTCTGTTCAGTTTGACTTGACCTAACTCACCGGCCAGCCTCCTGGGCTGTCTCCCCCTCGAGGTTTCATGCCCAGAGTGACTGTTCACTCCTGGAGCAGATCCTTGCCTTCACCATCCCTTCTAGCTCTTCTCCTGAGCCTCCTCTGCTTGGGTGGGAGTGGCTCTCAGCTCAGCTCCCTGCCACCCCAGCTGCAGGAGGATGGAAGTCATTGATTGCAGTAGGGTGTGTGTGAAAGTGGGATGGGTAAATGAAGACAATAAACCATCTTGACCTGGCCCGAAGCTCACAGGTTTGGAGCCTTGCAGTGCAGTGCTGACCTCTGAGCCCAGAAGTCAGTTTTCCAGCAAATGGCATGGCTCTGGTGGCTGAATGATTAAAAACCTTCAGCAAAGGAGGCTGAATGCCTGCTGATCATCAGACTTTTATAGATTCCAGGTAAAGCAAAGGCAGGAAGAGAGGCAGGGACCCTGGGCTTGTTTATTTGACATAATGAGGGTTATTTGGTCATAATTCAATACACTCAATGTGCCAAGGTACAGTTTGCAAAAGAACACAGCCATAAAGCAGGTGAGTTCAGAGAAATCCAGAGATAATACAAAGCTCATGGGGTTATTGTGAGTGACAAGGAATGCAGAAGCAAGCACTGGGATCGCATTTCCCAACCCCCACCCCACTCCTTTTTTTTCTGAGACAGAGTCTCACTCTGTCACCCAGACTGGAGTGCAGTGGCATGATCTTGGCTCGCTGCAACCTCCAACTCCAGGGTTCAAGTGATTCTCCTGCCTCAGCCTCCTGAGTAGCTGGGAATACAGGTGTGCACCACCACGCTCAGCTAATTTTTGTGTCTTTAGTAGAGACGGGGTTTTGCCATGTTGGCCAGGCTGGTCTTGAACTTGCGACCTCAAGTGATTCGCCCACCTCAGCCTCCCAAAGTGCTGGGATTACAGGCATGAGCCACCGCGCCCGGCCCCCAAACCTTTTTGACTTGTGAACACATTTCACAGGGAAAAGAAACCCATCTTACCCATCTTGTTTGGAATTTTACAAAAACTTATTTGCAGTAACCTTGTCTGGCATAAGATAAGATGAACTGATATAAAACTATTTTATTTTAGATAAGCGTTTCATCAAAAATGCAATAATTCAGATTATGGTCATTTGTTTTCCTTTTTAACCTTATTTTTAATTCTAGAGAAATTTTGATGTGCTCTATGAGACTTTTAAGCCAATCCATCAGATAACTTACCTATTGAAAAGCATAAGATGAATTGGCACTATTGTCATTTTTATTATTATTGTCTTATCCTCTTCCTCATTAGCACCTTTCTTCTCTTCTCTCTTCCTTCCTTCATTCCTCCCTCCCTCTCTCTCTTTCTTTCTTTCTCTCTCTTTCTTTCTTTCTCTCTCTCTTTCTCTCTCTCTCTTTCTTTCTTTCTTTCTTTCTTTCTTTCTTTCTTTCTTTCTTTCTTTCTTTCTTTCTTTCTTTCTTTCTTTCTTTCTTTCTTTCTTTCTTTCTTTCTCCTTTTTTGACAGTTTCACTCTTGCCCCTAGGCTGGAGTCCAATGGCACGATCTCAGCTCACTGCAACCTCTGCTTCCCAGGGTCAAGTGATCCTCCTGCCTCAGCCTCCCGAGTAGCTGGGATTACAGGCACACACCACCATGCCTGGCTAATTTTTGTATTTTTAGTAGAGACAGGGCTTCACCATGTTGGCCAGGCTGGTCTCAAACTCCAGACCTCAAGTGATCCATCCACCTTAGCCTCCCTAAGTGCTAGGATTACAGGTGTGAGCCACCTCGCCCGGCCCCCTACATTTCTTGACTGGTATTTCTTTTCCTTTCTGCTGTTAACCAACAGCTATTCTGATGAAAAATTAATCAATATATTGCTAAAATCATAGAGCTTTGAAGCACTTGATGACCAAAACTGATGTAACTACTAGGACCTTGAGCTGAGCAGGGGCTGCAATCTCAACATCAGACAAAATAGAATTCAGGCCAGCAGGCATCAGACATGATGAAGACAGACGCTTGGCAGGTCACAGTTCACAATGGAGCAATAACAGTTATAAATATTTTTGCACCAAGAAAGGGATAGGAAAAGTATATTTATTTTATAAGCCAGAAACAGTGAGATACAAGCAGAAATAGACAAAACCCATAACTGGTCATGAGAACATCATTCTGAAGATAAGACAAGTCAAGTGAACAAAGAAAAAAGTAAGTAAAAAAATAGAACTCAAGGAATATAATTAATAAGGCAGATCTGATGAATAGACATATACACTGTGTATGTATGTATACATATGGATATGTCAAAGTTTAATTCCCAATATTAATACAACTTCTTCTCAAGCACACATGAAATATTCACAAAATTTAATGGTACATTTGCACACAAAAAAGCAATAAGTTCCATAAAGTAAAAGTTTTGGCTGGGTGCAGTGGCTCAGGCCTGTAATTTCAGCACTTTGGGAGGCCAAGGAGGGATGATAACTTGAGGCCAGGGGTTCAAGACTAGCCTGGGGCAACATGGCAAAGCCCTGTCTCTACTAAAAATACACACACACAAAATTAGCCAGGTGTGGTGGTGCACGCCTTTAATCCCAGCTACTTGGGAGACTGAGGCATGAGAATCGTTTGAACCTGGAAGACAGAGGTTGCAGTGAGCCAAGATCATGCCACTGCACTCCAGCCTGGGTAACAGAGAGAGACTCTGTCTCAAAAAAAGAAAAGTAAAAATGTTATAATCACTCTATGATCAAGTGCAACAAAACCAAAAAATATTAACATTATTGCACATGGAAATGGAAATATCTTCTATTAAATACTTGTGGCTAAAAGATAAATTACTAACCAAAATTATAGAATATTTTAGAAATTATGATAATAAAAACACCACATTTCTGAATCTATGGGCAATATTTAAAATGGTAATTAGTGGAAAGTGCATAGATTTAAACACATGCCATTAATCCATAAATTGAATTCCCAAACCAGAAAACTAGGAAAAGAATAGCTTGTTGAAAAAAGGCTGAAAGAAAGCAAAGGGAAAGAAATCAATGAAGTACAGAAGAGAAAAAGAGTGGAATTCTTTTTCACAAATTCAATCCCAGTTATTTTTAAAAATTAAACAAAATATGCAAACCACTGGCTAACCCAATAAAAAAAATGAAAAAAGGATCCACAAATATCCAGAATAAGAATTGACAATGAAGGAAACAACTATTGAAACAGAAGAGTCTTTAAAAACGGTAAGAGGCTACCCTGAATAACTTTATGCAACTAATTTTTAATATCTAGATGAAACGCGTAAGTTCCTAGGAAAATAACAGTTTAACAAAATGGGTCCAATAGAGACATAGGGCTGAAATAAACCGTAGAAGAAATGGAAAACGTTATCAAGGAGCTGTCAACAAAATCATTAAACAGGATTTTGCTTATTTTTTTAAAAAAGAAAGAGACTTTATTCCAGTAAACATTTTGCAAACCAGGGAGACACCCCCTTCGGTACAAAACAAAGGTGCAATCTGAGACAACAAAGAGAGGGGTTGTCTTTTAAAGAGAAAGCTCCCTCTGGGTTCCCACTCTCGTCTGCTATGCAAATAGGGGATGCAAACTTGCTTAGCTGTGGTTAGTTGACGCTTGTTTAGTTCTGATTGGTAGATGTGGGCCACATTCTCCTGGTGAGCTCCAGGGGCCGAGGGGAGGCTTTCCAGTAGCCGTTGATACAGGAGTGAACAGGAGCAGCTATGAATGTCCCAGAACGAAGCAAACATGTGGGTTTCCAGGAATGCAGAGTACGTGTGTGACGTCTAGTCAGCAAATGGCCACACGGCTCTATTTTGAATTTAGCCCCAGTTGGCTCCCCGGGATCCACCTTGAAGGGCTGGTTCTTTCGGGATTCCCAGAAAAAAAAGCCGTAAGAATCTCCATGTCCAGATAATCTCACAGGGAAATTCTAGCCAAGCTTCAAGTACCTAACAGTCCCAATGCTGCAAAAATTGTTTCAGACACTTAAAAACAAAGGAAAATGCACAAATTTATACAAAAATGTGAACTGAAAATGTGTCATAGACAAAAGTATAAGCACCAAAGTTATAAAACTCCTAGAAGAGAATATAATAGAACACGTCCGTGGCCTTGAATTAGGCAGAGATTTCTAGGTAGGAAACATAAAGTTTGAATCATAAAAGAAAAATGAGAAAAACTAGATTTCATCAAAATTAAAGATATTTTCTCTTTGAAAAATATTCTTAAGGAAATGAACGAAAAGGTAAGTCACAGACTAGGAGAAAATATTTGCACAAAATATATCTAGTAAAGGACTTGTATGCAGAATATATAAAGAATTTTACAACTCATTACAAAGAAGAAAAAGACACCTGAGTTAAAAAGTGTTGAAGATTTAGACAGATACTTTACCTGAGAAGATGTGTGAAAAATAAGCTCATGAAAAGATGTTCAACATCCTTAGTTACTAGTGAAATGTAAATTAAAATGAAAACAGGATATCACATTCCACACACCACAATGGCTAAAATGTAAAAGACTAGTAAACCAAGGATGTAGTAAGCATTTGCAAATCTCCTCCATTGTGGCTGGGGAGACAAAATGGCTCAATCCTTGGAAAACAATTTTTTCAGATTCTTATGAAGTTAAACATAACACCGTACTATCCAGAAATCCACTCATAGCTACACTTCCAAGAAAAAAGGCATTTCCTCAAGCATTTACCCAAATCCCTTCACATACATGTGCATAATTGTTCATAGTAACTTTACCCATAATAGTAAAAAGCTGGGAATAATCCAGATGTCATCACCTGGTAAATAGGTAAGCATATTGCAGTGTATCCTGCTGTGGAATACTACTCAGCAATGAAAAGGAACGAACCACCCTTCTGTGCAACAACCTGGAAGAATCTCAAAGAAAGCTGTGTGCTGTGTGAAAGAAAACAGACTTCAAAGACTGTGCACTGTCTGCACTGTGTGATTAAACTTACTTGAAATTCTAGAAGAAATGAAACTAAAGCAAAAAAACACAGATTCTTGGTTTTCTGGCGCTAGGGAGAGGCTATTGACAGCAAAGGGCACGACGGGATTTTCTTGGAGGGAATGAATGTTCTACATCTTGATTGTGGTAGTGTTTACACAGTTGTATACATTTGTCAAAACTCAATGAACTGATTCATTTAAAATGGGTGAGTTTTATTGTATGTGAATTATACCTCCGAGAAACTAATTTTTAAAAAAATCTCAAGGCATGAGCATTGCCATCATCAGCGTTACTAATGTGAACACAGTGAACTGATGAAATGACGGGGCAATTTGCAACGTGTGATAGGCACTGAGATCTCTCTCTGGACATCAGGAAGCTGCGTGTTGTCAGATGCCGAAGCCGAACCCACTTGCCCATTGGGCTGCAGGAAGGCTGAGAGTCTGTCCCCAGCATGGATAGCAGAGGGCGCTGTGGAGCATCATTAGCCTGTAGGGTTCTTTAGGGGAAAACACCTTAATGAGCCCTGTGCGCTCGGAAGGTTGAATAGAGGGCCCTTCCTTCCTCTAAGCCACATTTCTGGTTGCGCCACATTAAGTCAAACAATTATTAAGTGCTGAGCAGTCTTTGGATCACAGAAAACAAACACAGAGGCTGCAGCCACTGGGCCCTGTGGAAAACTGGCGGCCGTCCTGCGATGGTGTCAGCTCATCCGTGTCCGCGCTGCTGGAGGCCTGGCAGGAGCTGAGATCAGAGCCCTTCAGCGGGAGTGGGGCTACTCCTCCCTCCCCTGGTTTCCCTGGAAGCTGAGAAAGTTCCCAGGAAAGTGCTGAAAACCTCCCACCACTCTTTACACAGACCTGAGAGGGGGCTGAGGTGGGGGAAGCTCTGTTGCAGAGATGGGCTGACTCGGGGAATAGGCCGGTGGGGCGGGACAGATGCTGGAGGGACAGATGGGGCGTCAGAGGAGACAGAGGCTGTCAGGGAGCTGTGGTCCTGCACATGGGAACCAGTCCTTGCCCAGCCTGTCTGGAGGCCCCTGGGCTGCTGCTAGTTACTGAGAGGGCGCAGTGGCCAGGCTGCACCTCCCTGTGGCCTGGTCCCTCCACTAGCTGGAGGAAGGTGGGGCTGCTCCCTCCCAGCCAGTGCCGAGTGGCTGCAGACCCAGAAGACACACGCTGTATATATTCCTGCATGCATGGCCCTGAAATGGTGGCCTCATGGGTTGCAGTGTCCACGCTGCTTCCACAAGGAAGAAACGGCTGCTTGCTCCACGCCTGGGGGCCCCAAGGCTCAGGCATCCTTGCCGTGGCCCACCCAGCAAAGTGCAGCAAGAGGGAAGGCAACACGCCTGCCTATTTCACTGGCAAGGGCAGGCCCCCAGGGGTTTCTGGGAGAGGTACAATAGCAGAGTTCCAGCTTGGGGTGGGGATAGCTATGTGTCAGGACCACAGCATTAGCCAGGGCCACAGGCAGGTGAGGCAGAGGTAGGCAACCATGGAAGAGCCCCTGGGAGAGGAACCCCGATGTGCTTATGGAGGGGCTTGGTAGGCATTGGCCCTCCTGTGTGAGCAGGTGGAATGCTGAGGGTCTGATGGCCGGGTGCCCGCCACTGGGACAGTCACTGTGAGACAACCAGGACCACGTGTGTCTTCCCGGAAGAATGGGCCTAGGATATGAGGATGTGCATGTATGAACAATCATAGCAAGAACAGCTCTAAGCACATCCTAATTCAACTCATGAAGCCTCACCACAAACCCAGAAGGGAAGATGTTATGAATATCTGTACTTAGCATATGAGTAAAACTAGGGTCAAAAAGTCTACGTAACTTGTCCAAGGTCACACAGTGACCCTGAGAGAGAAATCGCTGTAGAGCCGAAGTGCGATAGATATTTTTGAGATCTGATTCACACACCCTCATTGCAGCCCCCTGACTCCAGTTAACTGCCCAGCATCCCATGGTGGGGGTCAGATTGGGCTTCTAAGGCAGGGTGGGTTGAGGGGGACATCACACTGGGGCTGGCCCCTGAAGCAATAGCTAGAGATATTCATGCGTGTACCACAACTCCAAACTATAGATAATGAATATAAAATGCATGTAATGAATATGCAGTCTATTCCCATTACATATTCTCTATTTGCAAATTCGCCTACTCACTAAAATTTATTGGTGACCCTAAATCAATACTTGGGGTGCTTTCAAGGTCGTTTGCAGAAACGTACAAAGTGGTGACAAATTTGAGTCACAGACATGCATATTCCCAACTGAAGTCACACAAGGCCTTTTTTATTTTTGAGATGGAGTCTTGCTCTTTTCGCCCAGGCTGGAGCGCAAATGTGCGCTCGCAGCTCACCACAACCTCTACCTCCACCACCCAGGTTCAAGCAATTCTCCTGGCTTGGCCTCCAGAGTAGCTGGGATTACAGGTGCCTGCCACCACACCTGGCTAACTTTTGTATTTTTAGTAAAGACAGGGTTTCATCGTGTTAGCCAGGATGGTCTCGATCTCCTGGCCTTGTGATCCGCCCGCCCCAGCCTCCCAAAGTGCTGGGATTACTGGCATGAGCCACCATGCCCAGCCACACAAGGCCTTCTTGCCTCAACCCATACTGTGAACTAATGTCCTTTTCTTGGTCTATGTAGTGCCACGTTTTTATGCCTGTTGTTGGTGATTTCCCATTTAAGATGCCCCCATGTGCCATAGTGAGGAGCTGTCTGGTGTCCTGGGTGTGAGGTGATATGCCTCTGGGGAAAACACCAGGGGCAGGGCAGCCTCACTGGGGCTGGGAGACAGGGTGCCGGCCTGGAGTTCAGCATTAATGTAACCACCGTGTGCACTCCACAAGGTGTCTACAGGAAACACCCTCGAGCCTGGCTACATATGGCTGGTTAATGAAATGCTCCCAGAAGCTTGCAGAAACCTGACCCTGTACTTCCCCAGGAGCGAGGGTTCCAGATTCACTAAGTCAGGGCTGGCAGCGACTTCATAGAGCTTAACTACATGAATGCCAGAACGTACTGTATAGATACCCACTATAAATCAGCACTAAAGTGCCTGTGCACATACAGCTGTGCAGCACTTAACGACAGGGAAATGTTGTGAGAAACGCGTCATGAGGGGTTTTGTCGTTGTGTGAACACCGTAGAATGTGCTTAATGCATAGCTAGAGGGCAGCGCCTGCTGCACACCCAGGCTGCACGGTTGGCTCCCAGGCTGCAAACCCGTGCAGCGAGTGACTGGACTGAACACTGGAAGCAACCGTAACGCAGTGGTAAGCATTTGTGTATCTAAACATAGAAAAGGTACAGCCAAGGCCGGGCATGGTGACTTATGCCTGTATCCCCAGCACTTTGGGAGGCCGAGGTGGGCAGATCCTGAGGTCAGGAGTTCGAGACCAGTCTGACCAACACGGTGAAACCCCGTCTCAACTAAAAGTACAAAAATTAGCTGGGTGTGGTGGCGAGTGCCTGTAATCCCAGCTACTTGGGAAGTTGAGGCAGGAGAATCACTTGAACCCAGGAGGCGGAGGTTGCAGTGAGCCGAGATTGGTGCCATTGCACTCTGGCCTGGGCAACAGGGTGAGACTCCTTTTCAAAAAAAAAAAGAAAAAAGAAAAGATACAGTCAAAACATGGTGTGAAAGATAAAGAATGGGACGGTATGTAGGCACTTACCATGAACGGAGCTTGCAGGACCGGACAAGACAGGGAGGGAGTGGGGAGTGAATTCGAAGGCCCAGGACACGACTGTCCTACCATAGACTTCATAAACACACGACATTTATAAAAAATACTATTCTTTCTTCAATAATAAAATTAACCTCAACTTACTGTAACATTTTTACTTTATATTTTTTTTAATTTTTAAAAATTCTTTTTTTTCTTTTTCTTTTTTTTTTTTTTTTGAGATGGAGTTTCATTCTGTGGCCCAGGCTGGAGTGCAATGGTGTGATCTCAGCTCACTGCAGCCTCTTTCTCCCGGGTTCAAGTAATTCTCCTGCCTCAGCCTCCTGAATAGCTGGCATTACAGGCACCTGCCAACTCACCTGGCTAATTTTTGTACTTTTAGTAGAGATGGGGTTTTACCATGTTGGTCAGGCTGGTCTTGAACTCCTGACCTCATGATCTCCTGCCTCGGCCTCCCAAAGTGCTGGGATTACAGGCGTGAGCCACCACACCTGGCCAAAATTCTGACTCTTTTTAATAATACTTGCTTAAAACACAAATGCATTGTGCAACTGTACAAAAATATTTTCTTTCTTTATATCCTTATTCTATAAACTTTTTAGTAATTTTAATATTTTTTAACTTTTTTAGACTTTTTGTTAAAAGCTAAAACAAACACACATTAGCCGAGGCCCTCGCAGGGTTAGGATTCTCACTGCCACCGTCGTCCACCTCCACATCTCGTCCCACTGGAAGGTCTTCAGGGCCAGTAACACGCAGGAAGCTGTCATCTCCTATGATAACAATACCTGACTCTGGAACCTCCTGAAGGGCCCGCCTGAGGCTGTTCACAGTTAACTGTTTTTATATAAGTAGAAGGAGTACACTCTAAAATAACAATAAAAAGTGTAGTATGTACATAAGCCAGTCACACTGCCATTTATAATCATAGCCAGTATTAGGTGGTGTACATGATTTTATGTGCTGTACTTTCATACAACTGGCAGTGCAGTAGGTGTGTTGACTCCAGCCTTCCCACAAACAGCTTAGTAACGCGTCATGCTGTGACGTTACAATGGCCCTGATGTCACCAGGTGATGGAAATTTTTCAGCTTCATTGTAACCTTATGGGATCACAGTCATATACGAGGCCCACTGTTGACCAAAACATTGTCATGCGTGGTGCATGACTGTGTATGCGGCGAGCGCTAGGTATAGTGAATATATAAAGAATAAGTGTGTGTTATCCAGGATTACCACATTCTGGAGGCAGAGCTGGCTGTCCTACATGGTACTTGGAAGAAGTTTGTTTATTTTTTTGATACGGAGTCTCGCTCTGTCACCAGGCTGGAGCGCAGTGGCGTGATCTCAGCTCACTGCAACCTCCGCCTCCCAGGTTCAAGCCATTCTCCTTGGAAGATGCTTTTTTATAGGAGGCCACAGGACAAGACCACAAGGCCACCGGCGGCCTCTGGCAGGAGCTCCATGTAGTGGGGGCCTGCTGTGTGCACCAGGCAGCTCACAAACATTATTATTATTATTATTATTATTATTATTATTATTATTATTATTATTATTTGAGACAGGATCTCACTCTGTCACCCAGGCTGGAGTGCAGTGGTGTGATCACGGCTCACTGCAGCCTTCACTTCCCCGGGTTCAAGCAATCCTCCCACCTCAGCCTCCTGAGTAGCTGGGACTAAAGGTGTGCCCAGCTACTTTTTGTATTTTTTGTAGAGATGGGGTCTCAGCATGTTGCCTAGGCTGGTCTTGAACTCCTGGGCTCAAGCAATCCTCCTCTCTTGGCTTCCCAAAGTGCTGGGATTACAGGACTGAGCCACCATGCCCAGCCACAAACGTTATTTTTAATTTTCGCCAGAACCCTGCTAGGGAAGTAATCATTACTCATATTTTACAAACAGAAAGCCTGAGAATCTGAGAGATTTTTAAAAACCTCCCCACGGTGACCCACCTGGGCCATCAACCTGCACACATGGTGACAGCTCCTGCTGTTCCCACCCCCAGCGAGCTGACCGACCCCGTCTCCTATAATTGCTTCTCAAGCCATCTCTGTTACCTGGACCAGCCAGGCAGGGACCTGGAGGAGCGCAGGGAGCCAGGAGGGCAGGCAGTTGACTTGAGGGCCGCAGCGGCTGTCCTGGTTAGGTCGATGGCCACTGGGCCCTCCCGCCAAGCCTCACCGGCTCTGCCATCCATGAGGTCCCTGCCTGCACTGGATAGGGATTATTGGAGCCTCTGCAGGGAAAGGGAACAGAAGGGAAGGGAACCAGGGGCAAGCAGAGGAGACGAGAAGCAGCAGGAGACCCCAGGAGGAAGGGGCAGGGAGGCAATGATTGGGGGAGAAAATGGAAAAGAGGGCGAAGGGAAAAGGAAGCCTTGTTTTACTCAAGGGGTGGGTTCAAATGTCACCAGCTGTTGCTCCAGGGCCCCTGGGGGGACCCCCCAAAGGAGGAGGAAGGGGGTGGCCCACTCTGAGCTATCTTGTGGTGGCACGTGGTTAATTAACTCACTCATAGTGCTGGAGCCAGCAGGAGCTGTACTATCGGTAACAGATCAGAGTGGCCCACGGACCCCCAAGCCCAGGCCCATGGCAAACACAACGGAAGTTGCTTCAGAATGCCTGCTCAAGGATCCGAAGGGCAATGTAGGAACTGGTTCAGAAACTGGGGCCTTCATGGATCAGAGAATTTCTGAAGGAGGAAATGGGATTGGAGTACCAGCATGAGAAGAAAGTTCCCAGAAAGACACCATGGGAAACACAAGTGCCCACATATTAAAGACGTTCCTGCACCTAGAGCCTCATGCCAAGTGGCCTGCAGACAACTGCCTGAGAACAAAAGTCTGCAGACCAGAAACTGCCCGAAGAGGCATGAAACCAGAAGCTTTCACCTCATCCGGCACCCAAGAAGGCCCCAGTGCCAACTCCGGGAGCAGAACCTCCACACTCTTCACCCGGGAGGCACAGAAAATTCACATGCCCCTGGAGAGCATGCCAACCACCCTTTCCAGGAATCCACTGGCCTGATTTGGCTTTTCCGCCAGTGTGGCCAGGGCTGGCTGACCCTGGAACCCATAAACTAAGTGTACTGGGGGGGACAAACGAGAGAGGACACGGCAGTCTGGGAAGGATAAATTCACAAACATGAGCATCCGTCTCCGCCACCTGATTATCTTGAGTGTTTCTGAGACCCCGTGTTGCTAACAAGGGCCACTGTTCATTGAGCTGATGATATGTTGTAGGTAAGACTGAGACACAGCTGAGACCCAAGGCAGCATGTGGCCTCCTCGCAAAGCAGGCATCCGGAGAGTTGATGTAAGGCCACATCCGTTCCTTGAAGAAGCACTTCCTAATACTCCCATCTTCCAATAGGAAGCTAGTGGCACTGGCCCCAACCCACCCTGGAGGGCAGAGGCCTTGGATTTTCTGGGGTGACAGGAGTGGGCTATTGGGTGACACATTTGCTAAGGCAATTGGCTTCGGGTAGGAGAGGGATGTTGGGGGAAGCAACAGAAAGACTGGCCTAGCGTCATCCACTCTGCACTCCCACCACCGAGCTGAATGACACCAGGACCTCTTAAAGGAGACACAAAAGAATCTTTCAACTAAACACAGAGCTGCTATTCAATGCAGCAGTCCCCACTGAGTATCTATCCAAAGGAAATGAAATCATTCTATCAAAAAGATACCTGTACTTGTACATTTATCGCAGCACTATTCACAATAGCAAAGATATGGAATCAACCTAAGTGTCCATCAACAGGCAAATGGATTTAAAAAGTGGTATGTATACACAATGAAATAATATTCAGCCATAAAAAGAATTAAATCATGTCTTTTGCAGCAACATGGATGGAACTGGAGGTCATTATCTTAAGTGAAATGAACTAGACACAGAAAGTCAAATATCACCTGTTCTCACTCGTAAGTGGATGCTAAAAATGTGTCCACGTGCACATAGAGAGGAATGGTGGGCAATGGACATGTGGATGGCTGACGGGGGTAGGGGGCAGATGATGAGAAGTTAGTTAATGGGTACAGTGTACGTGATTCAGGTGGTGGACACCCTAAAAGCTCTGACTTGACTACTATGCAAACTACACATGTAACAAAATTGCACACGTACCCTGTCAATTGGTACGATAATAATAATAATAATGAATAAATAAGAATATTTCACACAGTGATCTCCGCACGGCTGGCATTGCCTTAATGAAATGCTGTCAACTTCCTCCCTTGAATATCCTCAACTGTTAGCAGATTACCAAAGCTACCCTCAGGCAGAGGCCAGAAAACACAGAAGCAAAGAGTTGGGAGAGAATTTTTGGCCTACCTGGTCAAGGCCCCTCCCTGCTTGCCTTAGAAATAGGAGACGACCGGCTGCCGCACAATCGTCTCAAAATCGAGGGGTCTGCGATGCATTCGGTCAAAGAGAAAGGATTTTGCAATTGCAATCTGAAGTCACGTATCACTCCAAGAGGTTTTTAGGGCTAGTCATTTGAGTTTTTATAAAAAGGACTGAGAATGGGAGTTACAAAGTGATTGTGAATTCTGAAATGTTCTTACATGCAATACTTTTTTATTGCTTTTAGAGAAACCTGAATGTATTTGATGAATTTTTTCTCTTAGAAAAATGGAAGGGACATTAAAACTGCCAGGCATGGTGGCTCACGCCTGTAATCCCAGCACTTTGGGATGCCAAAGTCATCCACTTTGGGAGGACCACTTGATGTCAGGAGTTCGAGACCAGCCTGGCCAACATGGTGAAACCCCATCTCTACTAAAAACACAAAAATTAGCCAGTGTGATGGTGGGCACCTGTAATCCCAGCTACTCGGGAGGCTGAGGCAGGAGGATAGCTTGAACCTGGGAGGAGGAGGTTGCAGTGAGCCAAGATTGCACCATTGCACTCTAGCCTGGGTGACAGAGCAAGACTCTGTCTCAAAACACACACAAAAAAACCCTGCATATACACTCACACATATGCACATTCGCACATATACACACACCCATACATGGGTACACACACCCATACATGGGTACACACACCCATACATGTGTACACACGCACACCACCATTACCACCTCTGTGTTAATGAAACCAAAAAGAAATTTAGCAGATTTTAAGGGTTTTATTTAAAGAAATTATATGTTAAACCATTGAAAATGAGGAAAAGATGGTTAAGAAAACCCAGGATTTCATGAAGTATGAAGCTGATAAGGCGAAGTTTCTTCTTTGGTTTCGGAACACCCGGTGAGCCAGATGCATCCTCTGGAACCAGCCTCTCTTAGTAATGGCAGTCTAGAAGTTTAAATGCAAGATGGTTGGTAAGGGAACCCCAGAAATGGGAGTGCCTAGGCTGCGAAGCTGGGGTGGGCGTGCATCACTTTGCCCAGGAGCTTCCTACTGAAGAAGGAGCTCCTTTCCCGGGGAGGGGGTGTAAAGGGACCAAATCTTCCCACCCCAGGCCAGAGTTTCCTCTGTGGGGCGCATTCTCCCCAGACAAGTGAACATTTTCTAGGTGGACCTTTAGGTCACATAAAAAAAATCACTCGGAAAATCCTGAACATGAAATATTTCGCTCTTTGGAGTGCTTTGATATCCTAACAAAAGGAAAAGAAAAGGCATCCTTCAAGGGCCAGTAGCTCTTTCCCCATTTTCCTGGATCTGCTTGGTCTTTTTTTACCTCGCCACACTCCGAGTCAGGAACACACTATCACTAAGCGGGTGGGAGAAGTGGACCCGTTCACCTCTGCCGGCGGGACCCTCCCGGGACTGCCCGGAGCAGGACGTTGTGGATGAGGTTTGTCATTCGGGGTCATGTGGGGGAGAACGGGGAAGCCACGGGAGAAGGGGCCAGGTCTGCTTGAGTTGGGCCCTCTCTGGTACCCAGCACAGTGCAAGACACTCAGTAGCCTCCAAATGCAGATGGGCTTGCAATAAAACAGGCAACGCCTCTGAACGTTGCAACACCTGGGGAGGCAACAGGGATGAGCCGCTGTTTCTAGAGCCATCACAGATGACGCAGTGGCAATGCTGGAGGCTATAAACTTATTGAAAAGACGCTGTCTTTGCCAAGAACATTCTGGAATTGCCTTCAGAATCCCATAGGAGGCAGGGGCCCTGGCCTCGATGGCACTGAGGCTGCGAGGCAGCTCCCCTCCCTGCACCCCACCTCTACGGACGGAGGAGGAATCATGGTGTCCGGGAACCAGACAGAGAGTCCCACAGCGACGTTACCTTCCACAGACTTCGGGAAGAAGCACCAGGGCACTTCAAAGATGAAGTTGGAGAAGCAGCACTTCCGAGAGGCGCATTCCTCGGGGCTGATGCCCGGGTAGCCACAGTTTCTTCGGTCTGAGACCTCCATGACGCACTGATCCGACTCTGCCATGGGACAGGCACAGCACCGAGACCCAGTCAGGCCTGCTGTGCCCTGGAAAGCTCCACCCCTTCCTCCTCTGAGAGCAGCGCTGATTTGCAGCCTCCGTGGATCATGAGGTGCTGCCTGGGGCAGCATCCCCCGGGACGGCCTCCCCCGGGGACTGTGGAAGTGTCGGCCCCTGGGACCGCCTCCCCCGGGGACTGTGGAAGTGTCGGCCCCAGCGACGCTTGGCTGGCCTGTCCTCCGCGAAGGTGGGGCCCATGTGGGGTGGTCACAGTCAGAAGCTCTGGAGTCCCCCGCCTTGGGGAAATCATTTTGCCTCTCGGGACTCAGTGTTCTCAGTAAATGGGGTGGTCCCCCGGGCCAAGATGAGAAAAGGTTTGTGGGCACCTTGGTAAGATGGAAAGCGTTTGGACATGGTATTGATTCCCAAAGACACTGCCATTCAGTGGGCGCTCGTGAACAATCCACCATCTGCCTGGTTTCCCTGCGGGGCCCAGCAAGCCTCCCAGCAACAATCTTGGGGATGAATCCTCCTTCTCCAGAGGACGTGCCTGGTTCCACGCACACAGGTGCACGACACACACACAACCTTCCTTTGAGCACTCGTCGGCGTTACAACTTGGGTCCTGATCCCGTGCACTAACATAAAACTCACTCCCAAAGAACCCTAGAAGGCTTCACTTCCTTCCCTAACATTTGAGGGCTGTCAGCCCTTATGTTACTGCTGTCCTATTAAATACCTTCATTTCCCCATGGAAGCTTCTTCAGAAGTCACACTTCAAAAACTAGAGGAGACCTACTATATATATATATATTTTTTTCTCAACTAAAGTAAAACTGATGGCTCCACACACACATGTCTGTTGAAAGAACTAACAGTGTAGAAACAGGGTAGGTGGGAAATTTTCATCTCACTGTTGGCTGACCTGGGTTACCTCTAGACTAACAGTCCAGGCTGGCCCCAGGCTAACCAACCTGGGCTACCTCTAGACTAGCAGTCCAGACTAGTCCCAGACTAACCAATCTGGGCTACCTCTAGACTAACAGTCCAGGCTAGTCCCAGACTAACCAACCTGGGCTACCTCTAGACTAACAGTCCAGACTAGTCCCAGACTAACCAACCTAACCAACCTGGGCTACCTCTAGACTAACAGTCCAGGCTAGTACCAGACTAAACAACCTGGGCTACCTCTAGACTAGCAGTCCAGGCTAGTCTAAGACTAACCAACATGGGCTAGCCCCAGACTAACCAACCTGGGCTAGCCCTAGACTACCTCTAGACTAGCAGTCCTCTAGGCTACCTCTAGACTAGCAGTCCAGGCTAGTCCCAGACTAACCAACCTGGGCTAGCTCCAGACTAAACAACCTGGGCTAGCTCCAGACTAACAAACCTGGGCTAGCCCCAGACTAACCAACCTGGGCTACTAGCCTCAGACTAACCAACCTGGGCTAGCTCCAGACTAACCAACCTGGGCTAGCTCCGATTAACCAACCTGGGCTAGCCCTAGACTAACCAGCCTACGCTAGCCCTAGACTAACCAACCTGGGCTAGCTCCAGACTAACAAACCTAGGCTACTAGCCCCAGACTAACCAGCCTATGCTAGCCCTAGACTAACCAACTTGGGCTAGCTCCAGACTAACCAACCTAGGCTACTAGCCCCAGACTAATCAACCTGTGCTAGCTCCAAACTAACTAACCTGGGCTAGCCCTAGACTAACTAGCCTACACTAGCCCTAGACTAACCAACCTGGGCTAGCCCCAGACTAACCAACCTGGGCTACTAGCCCCAGACTAACCAACCTGGGCTAGCTCCAGACTAACCAACCTGGGCTAGCCCCAGACTAACCAGCCTACGCTAGCCCTAGACTAACCAACCTGGGCTAGCTCCAGGCTAACCAACCTGGGCTACTAGCCCCAGACTAACCAACCTGCGCTAGCTCCAAACTAACCAACCTGGGCTAGCCTTAGACTAACTAGCCTACACTAGCCCTAGACTAACCAACCTGGGCTAGCCCCAGACTAACCAACCTGGGCTAGCCCCAGACTAACCAACCTGGGCTAGCTCTAGACTAACCAACCTGGGCTAGCCCCAGACTAACCAACCGGGGCTAGCTCGAGACTAACCCACCCAGGCTAACCCTAGACTAGCAACTGGGCCTCCTCCGGCCCCTGCTCTGGGCTCCGCCTGTGAAGCTGGGTCCTGGGTTGCCAGCTGCTGGCCCAGGAAGATTCCCTGGAAGATTACCTTGCTTTGGGAGGGGGTGGAAACACCAGGGGACCCCAGTGACACTGGAGTCGAAACAGCATCCATTGTCAAAACACTGGTCACTGGTGATTCCAGGGAAGCCGCAGTTCGTCCTGTTATGGGGGCTCAGCCTGGAGCACTGGCAGGGGGCTGTGGAAAGACCCTCAGTCGGCCCCACCCTGGTACCCCAGACCACACTGCTCCTTCTCTCAGAGGTTCTAGGGGATGCCTCTACTGTCTTGTTGCCACATAGAGAAACACAAAGTCTTATCTTGCCCATATTTAAGCAATGCGGTTTCCTCCTGAGAAGCCGATAGGGCTTTGCTGAAATTGTTATATTAGTTTAAAAGGAAAAAAAAAAAAAAGCCAGGCATGGTGGCTCATACCTATAATCCCAGCACTTTAGGAAGCCGAGGCGGGCAGATTGCTTGAGCTCAGGAGTTCAAGACCATCCTGGGCAACATGTCGAAACCCCATCTCTACAAACAATACAAAAAAAAAAATTGGCCGGGCATGATGGTCCACAACTGTGGTTTCAGCTACTCAGGCGGCTGAGGTGGGAGGATCACTTGAGCCTGGGAGGCAGAGGTTGCAGTGAGCCAAGATCACACCACTGCACTCCTGCCTGGGCGGCAAAGCCAGATCCTGTCTCGGAAAAAAACAAAAACAAAACCCTCCTAGAGGAGGGTGAACAGATGGACCCAAGGCCAAGATCCAGGCGAGAGGTGAGTGCTCTGGGACTCCAAGGACCCTTGGTGGGAATGCCCTCCTGGCCCGACACGGGGCCCGCTGACACCTGCCGTCACTCAGCCTTTCCCTAGGAGGGAGGCCCTTCTTGGAGCCACCCTCCTGAGCAGTGGCAAATCCCATGTGAACAACACACATTGCCAGATGCCTTTATAGCCATTCCCCCTCTCAAGTTAATTTATGGTTGTGCTTTTTTTTTTTCTTTAAGAGAAATAAAGAAAGCACATAAAAAGACCCTCTCCTTCACTTACAGGGTTTCTCACTCCCCGCCAGGGCACATAGCCCCAGGACGAGGAGCGCTGCCAGGAGCTGGGCGTCTCGCCGTCCCATGTCTAGCTCAGCTGCACCCCAGGGTGGCTTGCAGAATGCATGGTGTCCACTGCCGGGTATGTTTTATAATCTCCCCTCTGTTTGTCCAACAAGCAGAGATAACCTTTCTTCTCTGCCCCGTGGCCCCAGCCCTTCCACCGTGGAGGCGAAGAGGAGGCAAGAGGCAGCTGTGCCCTGTGCAGGCGAGGCTTCCGGGCCAGGGTGACTCTCTCCCTGCTCGGTGATACCTCTTCCTGCCCTGGACAGAGAGTTGGGTCATGCCAGGCTGCCAGCGTGGAAAACCGGCCACGTGCAGGTCTGGGGCTGGGCACACACAGGGTCACACCCAGGAAGGGATAAGCTATGCATTTCTATTGATAGAGTGGGCAGGGACCACAGGAATTTAGAAAATATTAGGGCCAAGTTTACTGGGGAAAATGTACAGGCCAGCAGATAGCATGGAAAAGTCCCCTCCCTGAGGAAGGGAAGCATCTCAGAGGAGGTAAGAGACTGCTCCCAGGGCTGTGGTTAGAGCCTCCCCAACCGCAGCACGATGCCCTTTGTCCCATCTTCAGCAGGAGGGGCTGCTCTCCATGGAGATGAGGCTGACAGGGTCAGCGGAGTAGCCTGTGACAGGCAGGTTTTAATAAGTTCATTTTCAGCCAACCCCTGAAATGGGTTATTTTTGTTCCATGGGAATGCTCTACATCTTCTGAAAGATGGCACCTGGGACCCAGCCCATGGCCTTCCTGGGGTAGGATGTGCTGGAGAAGGATTCTGTGGACCTGACAGAGAAGACAGAAGCCAGAGAGTAGACACCCGGAAAGAAAGAGGGAAAAGTGTGGTGGGAAGGACAGAGGGGACCCGAAGTTCCCCACGCCAGGGAAATGACAGGGGGTTGCCAGTCTGTTTCTGATGGTTGAGCAGTCAGGGGCCCAGAGACGCAGGAAACCCAAAATCCTTGGTCCACCACGGGGCTGTCCTCAGGGTCTGGAGAGCAGGCCCCATACTCCAGGCCCCCATCCTCCAGGCCCTCGTCCCCCAGGCTCCATCCTCCAGGCCCCCATTCTCCAGGGCTCCATCCTCTAGGCCCCTGTCCTCCAGGCCCCCATCCTCTAGGCCCTCATCCTCCAGGCTCCATCCTCCAGGCTCCATCCTCCAGGTTTCATCCTTCAGGCCATCATCCTCCAGGCCCCCGTCCTCCAGGCCCCCATCCTCCAGGCCCCATCCTCCAGGCCCCCATCTTTCAGGCCCCTGTCCTCCAGGCTCTTGTCCTCCAGGCCCTCATCCTCCAGGCCCCTGCTCCTCCAGACCCTCATCCTCCAGACCCTCATCCTCCAGGCCCCCATCTTTCAGGCCCCTGTCCTCCAGGCCCTCTTCCTCCAGACCCTCGTCCTCCAGGCCCCTGTTCCTCCAGACCCTCGTCCTCCAGACCCTCATTCTCCAGGCCCCCGTCCTCCAGGCTCCATCCTCCAGGGCTCCTCTGGGTCCGGGTCAAGTACCTCCAGGCTCTCTGCTGACTGTTCACCACTGGGCAACCACAGGGACTCGATCCATGAAAACTCTGGCAAGGTCAGTTTCCTTGTTCTACATCCCTGTCACTTTAGTCACCATCATGATATAAGTGACTGAGTCATTGTTTTCTCTCATATTCCCACCCACCTCTCCTCTCTGCTTCCTCCCCATCAACTCGACTTCCCACCGCTCACTGCAGCCCCTTCAGGATTCCTGCTGCGACCACCTGACCCATGCAAAAGAGACCACTTCTCAGCCTCTCTCACTCTCCTGGCCCTGGCGGAAGCCTGTGTTGTCATAGGCATGCTTCCCTGGAATCCTGCTCAGGCCCCCACGCAGGGACACTGAGTGCCCACAGAGTTGGGAAACCATTACACGAGATGGGACGTCTGCAATAGAGTGGCATCGCTAGTTGAAAGTGGAGCTGTTCACAACCTCCACAACTGTACTTGGTGGCCACGTCCCCATCACATGGGCTCAGACTGGGGGCTGGACATTGACTTTGAGCCCCAAGTCTTCACCCTCATGCAAAAACCATCCTCCTTGGAGATGCAGGCTGGGAAGGGCGCCATGTCCGGAGTCCCTGCCCTGCTGTCATCTGCCGACCTTTGTGCAGCCTGTCCCTTTCGTTAAGAATTTCAGCACTGAGTTCACTGTGTTCCTTGTCATGCTAAGACTTGGCCACATCCCAGCCATCTTCAACATGGCGGTCGATGTTTCATCAAAATTCACAGTCGCTCAGATTTTATTTTTCCTCATCTCTAGGAACTTCCATCTCCACTCCACTTCTGCCACTTCTGCCACCCTCCCATGACCACACTCAGAACTTGAGCTCCACCTCTGAAAGAGGGTATGCAAATGTCCTTTCTGCCCAGGATGTCCTAAGCTCCTAACATTCTCCCTTTGTCTGAATCCTAAAGCCCTCCAATCCCCTATTCCCCTGTGAGCCCCCTCCTGTCTATCCTTCCTTCCTGCTTCTCCAGCCTGATTTCCACAGTGCTCACTTCACCCACCGTCTTCCTCACTGCTGTTTCCCACTGTCTCTGTGCCTATGCCATCTGCCTAGCATGGCCGACACCTACCTTGAATTGTTGCCACTCTCAACGCATGATCTCAGCGCCATCCAGGCACTCAGGGCTGGCGCCCTCCTCTTTCTGTTTATCCTTCTCCACCCCTGCTCACTTCCATTTTGCACACTTTGGGGATGATACTTTCCATCAGTTCACATAGAAAGTCAACAAATGGGAACCACCTCAGCTATCACCCATGTGGACTTCCGCTTTTGACTATGGAGTCACTGGTACCAGGCTAGCCTCCCACCATGAGTAACTCTAAAACTACATAAGTAACAGTCTGCAGATGCTGAGCAGCAGGCAGTGCCAGACAGCGATCCCTGAGAGAAGGGAAACAATAGGGGGAGTCCCATGGCTGCCTTGGTTTCCTGGAGACGCTCTCCAGACTACAGCACAGGGAGGGGAACCCAAATAGCACTGAAGTCCCATCGGGCTGAGGAGACAGAGGTCAGAATTGGAAGCTTCTGAGGCAGGCGGGTTATCAAGGTAAGAGAAGGAAGCTCCAGAAATATAAAAGTGTGTCCTTTGAGCTTTTCATCAAATACTATGCTGTTCGTGCCCACAAGGCCAGGCTAAGTAGCCCCTGGGGACAGAACAATCACTGGGGAGGCTAAACTGAACAACTAGTGTAGGGTTCGTGGGGCTGGAAAGCATTTGAGCTCAGAGCAGCCAGAGGTGTTGACCACTTCAAGCATTCAATAAAGGCCATGCCGTAAAAAGAAGGCTGATCTTTCTAGAGGAAAGCTACTCAAAATCCATTCGAACAAAACTTTAAAACAAGTCTTGCAGGAATCAAGTTAACCTGCAAGTAAATTAACTGCTTGTATTAGTTCACTCAGGTTGCTGTAACAAAATACTACACATTGTGTAGCTTAACCAACAGAAGTGTACTTTCTCACAATTCTGGTGCCCAGAAGTCCAAGATAGGGTGTCAGCACATCTGGTTTCTACTGAGGCCTCTTTCTGCTTGCAGATGGCTTTTTTTCCCCATATCTCACATGGTCTTTCCTCTGTGCACGCACATCTCTGGCGACTCTTTTCTTATAAGGACACCAGTCAAATTGAACCAGGGCCCACCCTAAGAGCCTCATTTTAACCTGATTACCCCTTTTAAGACACTGTCTCCAAATGTAGTCACATTCTTAGGTAATGGAATTTAAGGCTTCATATATGAATTTGGGGGAAATAATTCAACCGATAACACTACCTGAGAGAGCAAAGCATTCAACACTTTACTAATGAAGACAGCAAAACCTAAATACACAACATAACATCCCTAACGTCTAACAGAAAATCAGAAGTTACTAGATGTGTGGAGAGAACTAGGAAATATGGCCCATAATCATTAGAAAAATCAGTGAACAAAAACAGACTTAGACATGGCATAAAATGTTCAAAGATTGAAAGAAAAACATAATATAATAAAGGAACAAAAAGGAATCTCAGTAGATAAATGGAAACTAAAAATTAACCAGGTACAAATTTTAGAAATAAAAAATACAACATCTGAAATGAAAAATACACTGTATGGGTTTTTGATTAGATACTATTAGATGCTGCAGAGGAATGGTCAGTTTACTTGAAGTGAAGCCAGTGCAAGATAAACTATGCGAACTAGAGCATAAAGTGAAAAAGGGCTAAACAAATAAACAAGATTCCAATGACCGGTGAGACAATGTCAAGCAATCTAACATACATGTAATTGATGTACCAGTAGGAGAGGAGAGAAAAAAATCTTTTAAAGAAATACTTGATCAAGAATGAGTATTGAGTAAATATTCATTAGATTTTTCTGAAGTTGGTGAAAAGTATAAACCTACAAATCTTAGAGGCTCAAAGAACTTCAAGGAAGATAAATACCAAAAATATCACATCAAGGCACAGCATGATTCGTCTGTTGAAAATCCGGTGATTTAAAAAACTCTTAAAGCAGCTGGAGGAAAAGACTTCTATAATTTGAATGTCCCTCCAAACTCATGTCGAAACTTAATCCCCAATGTGGCCGTATTGAGAGGTGGGGCCTTTAACAGGTGATTGGATCGTGAGAGCTCTGCTCTCATGAATGAATTAATCCACTCATGAATTAATGGATTCATGGGATGATGGATTCATGGGTTATTGTGGAAGGGGACCTGGTGGCTTTATAAGAAGAGAGACCTGTGCTAGGACATGAACACACTCAGCGCCCTCACCATGGAATACCCTGGGCTGCCTTGGGACACATCTGAGAGTCCCCACCAGCAAGAAGGCGCTCAAGAGATACAACCCCTCAACCTTGGACATCCCAGTCTCCAGAACTGTAAGAGATGAAGTTCATTTCTTATAAATGACCAGTTTCAACTTAGCAACAGAAAATAGGCTAAGACAAAGACATACAGCATGGAGGAGAACATAATAACAATAATGACTGATAACACAGTATTATTTACTCAACACTCATTCTTGATCAAGTATTTCTTTTTATCTGATAATGCAAACCAGAAGACAATGGGATAACATGTGTAAGTGCTAGGGAAAAGTTCTATACTCTGAAAATATGCTTTCAGAACAATTGCAGAGTTGATTCATTGTGACAAAGACTGTAAGGCCTCCAAAACCTACAATATTTACTATCTAGCCGTTTAAAAAAATCCAGGCTGGTTGCAGTGGCTCACGCCACAATCCCAGCACTTAGGGAGGCCTAGGTGGGCAGATCACCTGAGGTCAGGAACAGCCTGGCCAACATGGTGAAATTCCATCTCTACTAAAAATACAATAATTAGTCAGGCATGGTAGCTCATGCTTGCAATCCCAGCTACTTAGGAGGCTGAAGCAGAAGAATCACTTGAACTCAGGAGAGGTTGCACATACCCCTATATTGTAGCCTTAAGCTGTCTAAAAATAAAATTTAAAAATAACAATGGAGGGAAATATTTGTATTCTATTTTTCTTAAGAAAATGTTACAGAAATGAGCCTTGTGAGCCTTAATCCTTTTTCCTCCCTCTATAATCTTGTCCTGAAATTAAGATATTTAGTATACTGGTTGTTGGGAGACAGTTCTCCATAAAGTTCTCACATTTCTGCACATCCTGTGAATAAGAAACTAACTATCCTTATGGCATAAGACCTAAACTTAAGGCACAATATTAAGTACTGCCTTGACATCTGGTGAAACAGAGAGGGCCTCAAGCAGCCTCACCGAAAGTTCCCCTCCCATCTCTACTCGTGGATAAGGTCCCCTAGCCAAACAACCCTCCCTGTCAAGGGATCAGGCACCGTGCTTGCTTATCCGTGAGTAGCAGATTTCAGTTTTCTGCCAGCCCACAGAATTATTTAAACAAGCCAATTGCATCCTCCTGGGAGAACCACTAGCCACTACGCCCTCTTGATACTACAAAGCCTGCTTTCCGCAGCCTTTGCTTATTCACTCTGCTCCTGAATGCCACCTCTGTGTGGCTCCACATGGCACAGTGTCCTCAGCCCCTGAGCTATAAGGATATGGGACTCACAAACTGCTATTGTTCTCACCTATGTTGTGTTGGGGATGGCGTGTTCAGTCATCCCATCATCCTAGGGTGAAATCCCTCCCTCACTAACGAAATGCATGGGAGGCAATTAAAACAGTTCTTTCTTCCAGACTATCTCTCCAAGGATGTTTGGGTCACAAACAATCTTGGAAAGTGGATAAAGTGTCTCCCTCTGAAGCAAAGAGCAGGCAAGCTCACTGTCCCTTATAAAACACTTGGATCCCTAAGTCCAGGGCTTCTCTCCTATAAGGCAACCCACTGTGTGTGCAGGCACCCATCTGAGCCCATTCCTGGTCCCAGTCCCTTGGGGGTCTTGGAGGCAAAGAGAACCAACACAAGTAACCTTTCTTCATGCTGCTTGCTGTAGCATGAGTAATAAAGTCATTTATCTTTGAACCAGGAATCTCCTGTCTTCTGCTAGCAAACAGGAAACTGGCAGACTCACCTGCTGGCTTGCACGTAGGATATAATAAGCTCAGCCCTTCCCACTTCTCGACACTGATAGACTAGATCAGATGAAATGTAGAAAATCCTTCCAATACTTGCCTTTAGCTTCACTGAGTCCCCTTGTAGCACGTGCATGTGTGGGCATGTATGGTTTGGTCTAATTTAGTCTGTTTGCTACCTCAAAAATGTCCAGCTCAGGGCACTGTTAAGAGCTGAAAAGAACAAGTCAGAAATCCTTTAAAAATAATACTATTTATTCTTGTGTTACCAACTGGTGTCTTCTGTCTACTTGGACCTTTAAGTCAGGGAACCCCTTCTTCCTAATGGCCATCCCTTCCTTCTGGTAAGTTACAAGGACTGGGATTTGCCAGGTGTGTGTCTCTTTCTTATGAGCTGATGTTTCCTATCAGACTCATAAAAATTAAATATTGCAACAAACCACCCCTCCCTCTACTTGCAAAGAAAGGTGAGGGAGTTTTCTTAAGTTAACGATATCTTTCCCAGTGACCCTACAAATATGAACTTAAGCCACAGCTTGCCTTCGAGAATTAGTTCCTGGTCTGACCTTTAGTTCAATAAATGCCCTGAACAGAACCCTGTTGTGTAGGAAATTATCTAGAAGCAACTGTGGCCTCCGAGTACATAGCCAGTGGCAGAACAGAGGTGTGCATAGACCAAATTAAGGTGTGAAACCTGCTATTTATTAAATCGATTGACAGCACGTAGTGAAAAATGAAGGGAAAGAGAAGGTGAACACCTCATACAGGTGTGGGAGGGTAGAAGGACCACATGCCTGAATTCTGGCCACGAGGAACTCACGCATCCTCTCCGTCTCTCCACCTTCTCCACCAGGGTCATAGTAATGGACATCTCAGCTGGGGACCAGGAGGTGGAGGGAGCCTGGGGCTAACACATGCTCTTGCTTTGTCTAAGAGATTCTGGGGGAGGGCTTGTGAGCTCAGCTGCAGCCCCGCACGATCCACAGAGCAGCCCATGTTTACTGCGCATTTCCGGGGCCAAGCGCAGGGTGGGTGGTCACCGTGAGCTGCTGGTTCAGGGCTGAAGGAGTTGTCAGCCTAGAGCACACCATCGGTTCCCTGTGATGCGGCCTTCTCATCCTTTTCTCTCCCTAATGACGTTCTTGTTGGTTCCATCCTTCTCATCACACAGCATATCTCACAGAAGACCACTCTTTCACTGTCCACCTTGAATACTCCTTATGAATGTGTGCCCCCATATGCACCTGACATACCTCCAGTTTCCCAAAATCCACTTTGTTTTCTTGCCTCCCACAGCAGAATTGCCTTATCTCACACAGTGGTGACAGCACTCTGTAATAATCTGCATGGGCCAGGGCTCCTTGGTTGCAGGTAACAGATACCACTGTTACGGCCCAACTCTGTTCTTCTATGTTGAAGCCGGAACCCCCAGCGCCTCAGAATGGGATCACATCTGGAGAAGGCGCCTTTAAAGAGGTGATTAAAATTGTGAAATCAAGTTTAGCCTAAAGCTTCCCCCTTACATATTTTAAATTTGGACTAAAGGTTTCTCTGTACATCGTGAACTGTAACAGGTGGAGGCGTAAACCGACCGTAGCCTACACTTGTGCCAATCACCGAGTTCTGACCAATCAAATGCAGCCAACTGTCCGAACTGAGGTGCCAGTCACCGAGTTCTGACCAATCAAATGCAGCCAACAGTCCGAACTGCGTTCAAGTGAGGCAAAGGCGGAGCTGTAACCAGTCGGGCTGTTTTTGTGCCTCATATCCATTTTCTGTGCCTCACTTTCCTGTCTCTGTCCATAAATCTGCTTCCACCCCGTGACTGTGCTGGAGTCTAAGCCTACTCTGACTCAGCAGGCTACCCGATTCGTGAATAGTTCTTTGCTCAATTAAACTTCTTTAAATGTAATTCAGCTGAAGTTTTTCTTTTCTTTTCTTTTCTTTTCTTTTCTTTTTTTTTCTTTTCTTTTCTTTTCTTTTTTTTTTTGAGAGGGAGTTTCACTCTTGTTGCCCAGGCTGGAGTGCAGTGGCACAATCTCAGCTCACGACAACCTCCGCTTCCCGGGTTCAAGCAATTCTCCTGCCTCAGTCTCCGAGTAGCTGGGATTATGGGAATGTGCCACCACACGCGGGAAATTTTGTATTTTTAGTAGATGGGGTTTCTCCATGTTGGTCAGGCAGGTCTCGAACTCCTGACCTCAGGTGATCTGCCCGCCTCAGCCTCCCAAAGTGCTGGGATTACAGGCATGAGCCACCACGTCTGCCCAAGTTTTTCTTTTATCAAGTTAAAATGGGGTTGTTAGGGTGGGCCCTAATCCGACCTGACTGGTGTCCTTATGAGAAGAGGACATTTGGACACACAGACCCCAGACACACAGACAGACAAGCATGGGAAGAGGCAGCACAAGGGTGCTGCTTGCAAGCCAAGGAGCAGCTTACAAGAAAAGTGTAAACTGACATGTAACTCCATTGAGCAGATCTGAAGTGGAAGGGTGCTTTTTATTTTTTTTTTTAAGACAGTGTCTCACTCTGTCGCCCAGGCTGGAGTGCAGTAGCACAGTCTCGACTCACTGCAGCCTCCACCTCCTGGGCTCAAGAAATCCTTCCACTTCAGCCTCCCTAGTAACTGGGACTACAGGCATGTACCACACACTCAGCGAGTTTTTGTATTTTTAGTAGAAACAGAGTTTTGCCCTGTTGCCCAGGCTCCACTGAGTGGAGGCCCAGGGAAACCACAGGAAGGCAGTGACCCACCTTGTTAACTGGCTCTGCCTACAGTCCTTGGTGAGAGCGGTTGTTCCTGGCCATCGTGGCTGGGCCATAGGCTCACTGCTCTGTGGTAGATGGAAGATATGGGCCTTGGTAATATACTGAAATGCCACAGGAAACCAAACCAGAAGTGATTTAACCCACAAGCACACTTAGGTTTATTTAACATGATGTCTCAAGGTGGGTGGGGGGCTCAAATCAGTAGCTCAGGGTTATTAAGGCTCTAGGTCTTGGGCCTTACCTCATTATTACATAATGGCTGCCTGCAACACCACATCACACCCACCTTCCACAACACCCAAAGGCAGGCTGCAAGGGCTGGCCTAGGAAGCCAGAGGGCGCTCTTCATTCATCAAGGGAGAAGCCTGCCCCACCTTCAAGGAGATGCCCCCTATGTCTCATGGGCCACATAGAATTGCACGGCCACTTCTGGCTAAAAGAGGGGCTGGGAAAGTGAATTCTTTCTCCCCCTTCCTTCGTAGAGTGCAAGTTAGGTAAGAAAGAACGGATGGTGGACAGCCAGGAAACAGTCAGCTACGAGATGTTGTGTGGAAAGCCCACCTTTCTGACACTGGAGAACTGTGGGAAGAACGGACAGGCCACACACCAGCTGGGCTCTGAGAACCCCCAGCTTCTGCTCCACAGTGAGCCAGCAGGAATCCAAAGGGCATGGGCAGACCCCAGGGGCTCCTTCACCCCACCCAGGGGTAGAGAGGGCAAGACGGAGTAGAGCGAGGTAAGAGACTGAGCAATGCGTTCCCAAAGACTGTGACTGACAGAAGCTGTGCAAATTATTATGACAAACTGAATTTTAAGAGGAATTGGACTAAATAAAGTTAGCTCATTTTTACCTGTAATTAGCAGACAGAGAGTGTAAGATCAGACATACCATAGATGGAAAAGAAAAGCTAAAACTTCCTTGCACATCTGAGAGGTAAGAGGAGGTGTCTGTGGCCCCCCTGACACATACGTGACATATGTATTATTACGGCTCATGTGTGTGCTGCTGTGTGCAGGGGGCAGGGGGCTTCCCGTTCCTGATGGTTCTTCTTGGTGGGTGTCTCCCGGCCTCTCAGGCCTCTTTATCTGCTGAACGTGGTAGCCAAGGGTTTGGGAATGATTTGCCAGACTGGTTAATGTGGAAAGAGCTGGCCCCGCTCAGTTCTGCACCTCCCTCTTCCTCCCTGGAACCGTCTGGCTGCAGAGAGCAGGAGCTTTCCAGAGCTCCCGGGGGATCCCATCTCCAGTATAACTGTGCAACGTGTGCCCAGCACAAGAGCACCAGATGGAGGGACAGGTGGGAGGAGGAGGAACCCAGGGTGCATTTAGCTTGGGGCTTGCTGAGCTGAGGTCCCCAGAGCAAGGACGACTAGGTTGGGGGGACACCCTCTCCCAATCCTTGCCAAGCTACAGAGGGGCCAGTGGGAATAAAGTGACATTTTGGCTTCTGTATCCCTCCTCTGCTGTTCTATTTTCTAGTTCGTTCAGATCTGAGGTTGGGGAGGGGTTTTCCTGGAGGGGTCAGTCCATGCCACCCTCTGCAATTTTTATTACACATGCTTTCAGACATTCTGCTACAGGTTTCATCTCCTACGCCAATTTCTATTTGGGAAAGCAAATAAACGGAAAGCTAACTTGTGTCACTTGGTCGCTGGGGCATCCGCAGTGAGTAGTTAAGAAATGCCAGGGGAGTCGGTGTCCATTTTCATGCCTGGACAAGAGTGCGTCTTGGACTTGCGTCCTGCTGCACACCCCACCGTCCCGCTGCACACCCCACCGTCCTACTGCACACCCCACTGTCCTACTGTACACCCCACCGTCCTACTGCACACCCCACTGTCCTACTGCACACCCCACTGTCCTACTGTACACCCCACCATCCCTGCTTTCTGCACTCAGCTGCCCACTTGTATCCCAGCTCAGGAAGCCCAGAAGATGCAGAACCTCTGCGAGAGCCCAGGGTGAAACGCTGCGCTTCACTTTCAAAGAAAGGAAAATCATTCATATTCTTTAAAAGAATGAACAGCACAGATTAATATCGATCTCTTTTAATTTTTAGGCCAATTTTGAGTAGTCAAAGTCAGAGCAGTCAATCTGTGTTGTGAGCCGAGGCACAGCTGCAGAAGCGTGTCTGAGGTGTCCGGTGGAGGTGGCAGCCGAGCTCTGGGACTAATCACCGTGCTGGGGACGGCACCGCGTCAGGATGCAGGCAGATCCCTGCAGAAGTGTCTAAAATTCACACTCCTCTACAGGGGTGAGGGGGAGGGAGAAAGAGATGCTTTAGTGAGGATAAACATTTTCTTTCACATTTAAACAATTACAGAGTTTTTACTTTAAAGTATCCATAGGCACATTCTTTAGAAAACATGAACTGTCAGCCGGGCACGGTGGCTCACGCCTGTAATCCCAGCTCTCTGGGAGGCTGAGGCGGGCAGATCACCTGAGGTCAAGAGTTCAAGACCGGTCTGGCCAACATGGTGAAACCCCGTCTATACTAAAAATACAAAAAAAATTTAGCTGGGCGTAGTGGCACACACCTGTAATCTCAGCTACTAGGAAGCTGAGGTTGAACTCAGGAGGCAGAGATTGCAGTGAGCCAAGATCGCACCATTGCACTCCAGCTCAGGGGCAACGGAGCGAGACTCCATTTCAAAAAAAAAAAAAAAAAAAGAATACATGAAATGTCTTCAGATTTCGTCATGCCTTCCCCCTCTATCCTAGGCAAGCTAGAAAGCGTTACCAACAGTGGCTCTTCCCAGGCTTTTGGTTAGAGATGTGAAGAGAAGCCGGGGGGAAATCAGGTTTCTTCCCAAGTCCCTTAGCCCTGCCTTTCTATTCCTGGACCTGAATGCAGCCTGACTCAGGCTACCCCATTGCACCACCACTGGCGGCCGTGACTCTGTGTAAAGGCATAGCTGGTGATGCTGATCAGAGCCTCTGTAGTCTTAAATGACTTTTCTAACTAATTCTAAATCTTCAGAACCCATCGTATAAAAAGGCCATACCTTCTGGAGGGACGTCGATGGTATTAGGATAGAAGCACCAGGGGACCCCACGAACGGTGTCGTCGAAACAGCAGCCCTTATTTGCACACTGGGAGGGCGTGACACCAGGAAAACCACAATTCTGTCTTTCACGGGGGGCCACTGTACACGTCTCTGAAAGTGCACAGGTAAGAAGCAAAGTAAGTTGTGGGCTGAATTCCTTGATGTTATCATGCACACACCCATCCAGCTTCCTTCTCCAATGACATCAGCAACTGTCCAGTGAGGCGGATATAAAACCCTCAGGACATGAGAGGGAGACGTGGTCCTCACATCCTGATGTGCAAACATTACGCTCAGGGAAAATGCAAGGTGCCCCAGGTTTGTGGACTTTGCATCTTTCTAGGTAACTTATTTATTCACTTTTTAATTTCAACAAATGATTATTAAATTTTACTCAATACATAAATATTTACTGAGCACCATTTGTGTGCATGAGAAGTGGGAGCTAGCATGGCAAAAGCCAGGCACTGTGCCAGGTGAGAGAGACCCAGAAATTAAAACCAGAGAAGTCATTAATAAGAGTCTAAATATCTGGGCCCAGGCTCATGCCTGTAATCCCAGCACTTTGGGAGGCTGAAGGAGGTGAATCACTTGAGGTCAGGAGTTCAAGACCAGCCTGACCAAAATGGTGAAGCCCCATCTCTACTAAAAATACAAAAAATTAGGCGGGCATTGTGGCACACGTCTGTAATCCCAGCTACTTGGGAGGCTGAGGCAGGAGAATCACTTGAACCCAGGAGGCAGAGGTTGTAGTGAGCCAAGATCGCACCATTGCACTCCAGCCTGAGTGACAGAGCAAGACTCCATCTCAAAAAAAAAAAAAAAAGAGTCTAAGGATCTGATGGAGGAGAAAGGCAAGAACATGTGCGAGACAACGCAAGGCCATCGTCCCAGGGTGCCCAGGGTAACCACGGGGGTAGGGCACTCCCCGGAGAGGCCAATGACAAGCAGGTTGAACAAAGCAGGGGGGCTCCCTGCAGGAGGAGGTTCACCAGGTGAAGATGGAGCCGCATGGGCAAAGGCCATTCCAGAGACCCAGGTGTGTTCAGGAGGTGGAAACCCATTGCAGGTAAGGTGAGAGGACCGGGTGGGGTGGTCTAGGAGGAGCCGACAGAGGGTACAAGCTGTGAAACAGCTTGAAGCAGGGCAGTGAGGAAAGGGATCTAGAGGAGGAAGACACGTGGACAGATGGGGCTGGCTGGGGGCTGCCGCAGGATCTTATGCAAGAGGTTCTAACACCAGAGCTTCAGGCTCTGAGCTCCGCGGAATCAAAGGTCTCAGAAAGCAACCTATTAGGATCTGGTGGTTGACAGCCTGCAGCAGGGGGTGAAAGAGGAGCCCAGAGCACCCTCCGGTCCCTGTCCCTGCCTTGGGGCATAGGAGGGGAGGAACTCAGTCTGGCCACACTGGCTCAGGTGAGGGCGCCCCAGGGGAGGCCGAGAGGGGCTGTTCTCTTGTCTGCTTTGCTATCAGGGACTGCCTCGAGATGTCTTTGGAGAAAGTGTTCCTGGCTTGCTGGGAAGGATCCGTGTTCAGCTCCCGCTGCCCAGCAGCTTCCATGGGAACCTTGCCCTCCTGGGGTCTGGATCCATCGCGACGTGAAGGTGATCATCGCCCACCCCCGGGACACTGTGGGGGTCAAGAGAGGCCCCGTGGTGAGGGAGGATCATCATCCTGGGGGTCGGGGGGGTTTCCTCCTCAGGGAGGAAGATTTCCAGCCCCGGTGCTCTGCCTCCGGCAGACTCTGTCTTGCCCACCCGCTTTGTCTTTGTCGCATGATGGAAATAAATGGAAATGGTTTCCACACACGAATGCACTAAACTGTAATCACAATTTTCTAGATTTCAGTTGTAACAGGATCATGGACCTGAGTGACCCGCAAAGACGCTCTGAGCCTTGAGCCAGAGGGTGTGTGGGGTGGGGAGGGGAGTTTGCCACGGCCTCTGTGATCCCACAGCACAGGGGGCAGAGCTGGGGGCTGGGGTGGGGGCAAGGGCGCAGGCAGATGGGCCTGGGGGTGGCCAGCACGGGGACCCACCCAGTTCGTTCTGTACACCGAGGCCACTTCCTCTCTCGGGTTCCAAAGCTCCCCCGCTCCCTGCCATGGGCTTGGGGGTCTTCCCACTGCAGCCCAATGCTGGCTGCTCTTCTACGCTGCCCAAGCCCACCCCTCAGGCCCGGTACCCCACAGCAGAGATCAAGAGGTGGCTGGAGGGCAGTGGGGGCACGGACAGCACCACTGGGCGCTCCCTCTTCAGGCCTCTCTGGAAACCCTTGCTTTGGAAACGTAGAAAGCCCTTTCTCCTGCCCCCACCTTGAAACTGTACCTAATAACGGCAAATAAGTTATTCAGCTCCCCACAGCTGGCAAAGTGCAAGTCGCAGATGCTGCCACACAGCATTTCCTGACAGCCCTAGGGCAGACCGTTGATCCATTCTGCAGGTAAAGGAGTTGAGATGCAAACACTTCCCAAGGAAGCAAGAATGGCCTCCTCCTCCACTCCCTAGAAGGACCCAGGGCAACCGATCCACTTGACAACACCAGGGAATATGGGTTGCCAGCCACGCACTCATGAGAGAGGTGGCTTTGACTCCCAGAGCATGGATCCCAGGGGAGCCCAGGAACCTGTAGGAGAGGGTCTCCCAGTTGGCCACCACTGGGACGGGCATTCGGGCCTGTGGGAGAGGGTCTCCCAGGTGGCCATCACTGGGACCGGCATTTGGGCCTATCTGGATGGGCCTTGGGAGGGTCTGCCCCTGGGGGAGATGTTGGCATGAACAGTCAAAAGCACTATTCTGAGACCCCACGCCAACACTTCCTCTTTGAAACATGACACTTGGGAGGATTGTATAGTCTTCCTAACACAGGAAAACAGCCCCGACTGAAGGCAGCCCCCTCCTCGTCGCACTTCTCGAAGGTCTCCGGGGGCCCTGCCACCCTGAGTTACTCTCCACCTGCTTTTGCCGATCCTGTAAATTGGATATACTTTTAAGGGCCTAGAACAGCACCTGGCACAAAACAGGTGCTCAAAAATATGTATGTAAAACAGTGGCTCCTGGCGGAGGCTGCCAGAGCTGGCTGTGGCCCCACAGAGCAGGAAGAAGCACGCCTTACCTGTCTGGGCCTCGGCCAGGGTGCCGAGGGCCAGCATGGACACCAGGACCAGGGCGCAGATCACCTTGTTCTCCATGGTGGCCATTGCCTCCTCTCTGCTCCAAAGGCGACCCCGAGTCAGGGATGAGAGGCCGCCCGAGCCCCGGATTTTATAGGGCAGGCTCTGTTTGCTTAAAGAGCGTTAGATAACATTTGCCTAAGGAGGCCCGGGGATCCTCTGAGACAATAATCTCCACTGATTTTTATCAAAGGTGTTTCCTAGACATGGTCAAGCTACATGGAAGGATTTGCTGATAGACAGAGACGACATGTGGTGAGGTCATCTTGGCTGAGGGATCTGAGATTCAGAAAGTCCCTCTTTCCCATGGGAGTCTCCTCCAACCTGACCTTAATCCAGGTCCTACTCATATCTGAGAGGCCCTCCCGCCAGGGTAAATACTGTACTCACTGCAGAAGTGATTCATAGTGAGAGATGGCCGGAAAAAGGCTTGGCCGTGACAACAGTGGCTCACGGGGTGGCCACCGTGACCTTGCAGGGGGAAGGGAAGGAGCTCATGAAGCCCATTCCGTCTAGGCCTAAGCTAATTCTTTTACAGTGGAATTGTTTTAATAATGAAATTGTAGGCCTGGCGCAGTGGCTCACGCCTGTAATCCCAACACTTTGGGAGGCCAAAGCAGGCGGATCACTTAAAGTCAGGAGTTTGAGACTAGCCTGGCCAACATGGCGAAACCCCGTCTCTACAAAAAAAAAAAATACAAAAATTAGCCAGGCATGGTGGCGGGTGCCTGTAATCCTAGCTACTCTGGAGGTTAAGTCAGGAGAATCACTTGAACCTGGGAGGCGGAGGTTGCAGTGAGTCGAGATCACCCTACTGCACTCCAGCCTGAGCGACAGATTAAGTCTCCTTCTGGGAGGGGCTGGGGGCAGGAGGGAGAAAAAAATAGTATATACGAGCTGCCATCAAAAACTGACAAAGTGAACGTGGTTCACTCCCCTGTGTCTATGGGGCTCCCTCCCTCCCCCTCCCACACCTTCCCAGTTGGTCCCCTGGACTCCTGTATTTTAGAGGACAGCCTCCTGCTCTCCTGTACCATGCCTCACTCCCCTCCCCTGCTCGGAGCTTTCTCTTTCATAGCTCTTATTACCTCCTGGTGGATAAAACAAGTGACTGACACATTATGTTGGTTATTTATTCATTGCACTCCTCCCTGCAGCAGACGGGAGGGCGCATGGGAGCAGAAGTCCTCATCTCCTAGTGCCTTGAGGTGGCCCCAGACCCTAGAACAGTGGCTTTGATTGGCATTCGAGAAACAGCTGTTGAAGAGCTGCATGAAGAAATGGACAACAGGAGAAATCTTTTCTTCTTCAGTGAGAAATTAGGCCCTGAGGAAAATGCATGCTAGCCTAACAAAGGTACTATCTTTTCTTGGGTGACCTAGTCAGTACATTTCTGCAGCCCCTCTGGGAGGGGAGCCTGGGCCAGAATGGGGGCGGCCATGTTCCTCTTCGCTCCATCCCAGGACCCAGCCCCTCCTCCAGGGCTGCCACTCCTGCACCGGGGTCTCCACTCCTGGGCCAGGGTCTCCAGGAGGGGCCTGACCGCAGGACCCAGGGAGGGGCCGAGGCCTGGTGTCCTCTGTGGTCAGCTTAAGTTTATTGAAAACAGGACGGGGGCACCAGGCCCAGGGTGGTGCTCATAGTGACGGTGGTTTTCGCTGCTCTAATTTCTCGGATCAAAATGGGGGCTCTTGGAAATGGGATGTAAATTGCACAATCATTTGGAGAAAAGGTGGGCAGTGTTCGGTGAGGTTTAAGCCATACAGATTTTACAGCTCAGCAAATTCTTCTGTTTCCAGGCCTGGTCTCTTAATCCCAGAAACATGTTCATACTTGGGCAGAAGAAAACACAGGCAAAGATATTCTTTTTAGCATTGTTTGTAACAGCTGGAAACAGGGAAAGAAGGAAGGAAGGAAAGGAGGGAAAGAAAAGCAAAATAAATATTCATTAACCAGGGAAAGGGAAAATGAACTTAAAATACAATGCAGTCGTCCCTTAGTACCCCTGGGGGACTGGTTTCAGGACCCCCCACCCAGGGATGCCAAAATCCACAAATGCTCAAGTCCCTGGTATAAAATGACATAGTGCGCAGAAACCACGTGCATCCTCTCCTACACTTTAACCATCTCTAGGTTAGTTATAATACCTGATGCAATACCTACACCTCATTTCATTCTGCAGATTCTACATAGTACTTGACTTGCGGCACACCCAAGTTTTGATCTTTAAGATGTTGTAAATAAGATTTTAAAATACTTTTTTTTTTTGAGACAGAGTCTTGCTCTGTCGCCCAGGCTGGAGTGCGGTGGCATGATCTCAGCTTACTGCAACCTCCACCTCCCAGGTTTAAGTGATTCTCCTGCCTCAGCCTCCTGAGTAGCTGGGATTACAGGCATGTGCCACCACGCCCAGCTAATTTTTGTGTTTTTAGTAGAGACAGGGCTTCACCATGTTGGCCAGGCTGGTCTCGAACTCCTGACCTCAGGTGATGCACCCGCCTCAGCCTCCCAAAGTGCTGGGATTACAAGTGTGAGCCACTGTGCCCAGCTGGATTTTAAAACAGTTTTGATCTGACATTACTGGAATCCATGGATGTAGAACCCATGAATATAGAGAACTAATTGCATACATGTATTATACTTTACATATATTATATATGTATGTATGTGAGTATCTTTCAGAAGATGAAAATGAATAAATAATGAGAAATATTGAAAACAAAGCGAAGTGAAAAAATCCGTTAAAATGGTTTGTAAAGTAGGATATCATTTATAATGTAGATTTCCAAACTATGTGAAACAATGTGATATACTGTTGGAACTGCATCCAGATGAACAAAATGATGACAGTGTAGACAGGAACGAGACACTGACTTCAGCATGATGGGTCTGTCTAGGAAGGAGGAAGCAGGAAAAGGTGGCGGGGTAGGGCGCAAAGGGGCCTTCGATGTCTCCGTAATGTTTTCTTTTGTTGAAGAAAATCTGAGGGAAATAAGGTAAAAAGGTTAGCATCCATTAATGAGGGGCAGCGTAGATTCACGGATGTTGTTCTAGCATTCTGTACATGTTTGCAATTGCTTTCTTGGAAAGCCCAGCTCCTATCTCCTTGGGAGAGCTGTGAGATAACTACCAAGTGCCGGAGTTTGGCCTCCCACATTAGGGTTGGAGCGGCTGGAGCTGCCCCCGGGACTCTCCGTTTCTCGGGACAAGAGCTTTATCCCTGTGAGAGTGGGCGGAACCCAAGACCACACCATACATAACCTTATCCATAAAAACTTGTTGAAGACAATTCCAGTGTGGCGAGGGAGAGAATGCAGAGGCAAGCGCCAGTCCATCATCAGTGGGGGACCCTGTGCCAGCATTTTCACAGCTCTGGGTCTTAGTTTTCTTATCTGAAAGACGCAGTGGCTGGGCCACAGGACATCTGAAGACTCCGCACCTCAGACCCTCTCCGGCAGGCATCTATGGCCGTGGGGGCGTCTGTGGCTGTGCAGGCATTGCTTGTTTCCTGCGCCCAGCCGACCTCCCTGCGGTCTGGCGAGAGCCCCTCATTTTCAGTGGGGGGCCCCGCAGCCGCCCAGATTCCCCACAAGGGGGACGCGCAGTTGGGGAGTCAGTCTCCTCCTGACGCTCCCCACCTGCCCGCTGCCCCTGACCTGTGCCTTGGCAGGAGGGGGTTCTGTAGGTGGCCCTGGAGGGAGGGAGGAGTTTGGGAGGAAGTGGATCCGGGCTCTCCTCCAGGATCCCTCCTGGGATCACCTGGGACAGGCCACGTCCCCCTCTCAGCCACAGCCCAGGTGGGCGTCCTCTCCACACACCATCTTCCCCAGGCCCCAGAGCAGACCCCTCACCCCCCTGCCCCAGCCTGGGGGGTTTACCAGCCGCAAGGAGACTTTTACAGTCTTCACTCTCCTCGCATTGCCCAGATCCGCTGTGGTGAAGCCCGTTTCCTGCCAGGCCTCTGGTCAAAAAAGCAACTGCCACCCCAGGGACCCTTTACAAGGACACCCAGCTGAGGCCCTGGGGTTGGGGTCCTCAGGTATTGGAGGAGGCAGGTACTTTCCTGGCCAGGGAACTTGAGGCACAGACCCACAGCATGGAGCGGGACCACATTCCTCAAATTAACCCAGAAGGAGAGGGGAATGATTGGAGTGTGAGGCCAGGCTCCTCCAGGGAGAGTGGCTGAGGCGCTATGCTTCCATGGTGACAGTAGGGCGGTAACCTCGTCAGGTTAGCCAGCTTCTTCCAGAGCCACACACACCCAGAAAGGGAAGAGGAGATCCAGGACTGAGCATGGACGCAGGACGATCAGAAAGGCGTCCTTGGTGGTACACCCTCCAGACACCATCCACTCCCTCCGGACACCGCTCACACCCTCCAGCCACCGCCAACTCCTTCTGGCCACCAATCACACCCTCCGGTCACTGCTCAGTCCCTCCAGTCAGGGATCACTCCCTCCAACGACCACTCACACCCTCCAGCCACTGCTCACACACTACAGCCACCACTCCAACCCTCCGTTCAGGTCTTACATCCTGTGGCCACTGCTCATTCCCTCCAGTCACCACCCACACCCTCCAGCCACTGCCCACACCCTCCAGCCACCGCTCAAACCCTCCGTCCAGGTCCCATATCTGATCACTGCTCACTCCCTCCGGCCACAGCCCACACCCTTCAGCCACCACTCACACCCTCTGGCCACCACTCACTCCCTCAAGCCACCGCTTACTCCCTCTGACCACCCCTCACACCATCTGGCCATTGCTCACACCTTCCTGCCACTGGCCACTCCCTCCAGCCAGAGCTCACTCCCTCCGGCCACACCCTTCGGGTGCCACTCAAAACCTCCGGCCATGGCTCACACCGTCCAGCCACCGCTCATACCATCCAGTCACCACTTATGCTCTCTGGCCACCGTGCACTCCCTCTGACCACCACTCACACTCTCCGGCCACTGCTCACACACTACTGCCACCACTGAGACCCTCCATCCAGGTCTCACACCCTCCAGCCACCACTCACTTCCTCCGGACACCACTCACACACTGTGGCCACCACTCAGACCCTCCATCCAGGTCTCACACCCTCCGGCCACTGCTAACTCCCTCTGTACAGGGCTCACTCCCTCCGGCCACCACTCACACCCTCTGGCCACCACTCACTCCCTCCGGCCACCGCTCACTCCCTCCGGCCACTGCTCACTCCCTCCGGCCACCGCTCACACCCACTACTTTGCCTGGCCTTGCTCTACTTTTGAGTTCTGTGTATGACACGAGCTGATGCTGATCTGCTGAGCAACCTGTTCCGACAGAAGAATGCCAAGTCCACAACGCACACAGGAGAGATGACAGTAATGGAGCCCCTGGAATTCAGTGGATGATTTTGATTCACGTCACCAGTCCACGCAGACACGCCAGACAATGAGGGAAGGAAACATATTATTTGGAATCAAAGGACAATAATACGTCAAGCACCAAATGCTACAAAGAAATCATGAAAATAGGCCTTAAACGAGTCATTCCTAGATTAACCTCCCCACATGTGAAAATAAGTCTTGGAAGTAGAAAGGGTGGGTTTGGTTCTGGTCCCTAGAGATGAAAACGTGCAGTGACTGCAGTTCTGCACTTCTGGGCTGGTGCGTCTTTTCTGAGTGGCTGTTGGTGGCTTTGCACGTGAGGTCACATAACTGCTTATCTCGTCAGGAATTTTGCAAGACCCCTGGAGAGAAAACCAGATGGACCAGTGGGAAAGGCCGCCCTTGCAAGTTGCTGCTTCTTTTGTTCTTAGTGAAGATCAGAAAGGAGCGTGAGGCTAGGCGTGGTGGCCCATGCCTGTAATCCCAGCACTGTGGGAGGCTGAAGCAGGCACATCATTTGAGGTCAGGGGTTTGAGAGCAGCCTGGCCAACATGGTGAAACCCTGTCTCTACTAAAAATACAAAAATTAGTTGGGTGTGGTGGCGGGCACCTGTGGTCCCAGCTACTGGGGAAGCTGAGGCAAGAGAATCGCTTGAACCAGGGAAGCGGAGGCTGCAGTGAGCAGGGATTTCGCCACTGCACTCCAGCCTGGGCAACAGAGCGAGACTCCATCTCAAAAAAACAAAAAACAAAAAGCAGCTTGAAGGTTGTGCTGGAATCAGATGGAAGGGTGCCTCTTTCGGGCCTGCTACTGGTGCCGGAACTCAGAGCTCCAAGGGTGTCTGCTCGTGTGCAGGTTCCTACACGGGAGTCCAGGGGAGGATCGGGCTGTCTTCATCACCTCAGGAACTCAGGTGGCTACTTGTCCCCTTCCTCTTCAGGTTTTTAGGTCTCTCTATAAATGAAAACAAAGGCGTTATTGTTTTTAGCACTTCCAGCCATCCGTCCAACATGATGACGGAGCGGGCACCTGCATTTTGCCCTGTGGGAATTGTGGGGCTGTTCTCCACGATGAAGACAAGGTTGGCCTCCCCCTGGGGCTGCCAGCTCTGAGTGGATCCCAGGCAGGCATGAAAAGCTCCAACCAGCAATGCATCCGCAGGTCCCATCTCCGCCCTGCGACAGTTCCGTCACTTCCGTAGGAAACTTCCAGGTCTCGGCACTATGTTCCTGAGTTCTGGTTTGAGTCACAACAATTTTGTTTTAAACCCCCAACTAGATAGAGAAAAGTGCTGGATGAAAATGAAGATGAGGCCATGGGCATGCCACCAACTAGCACACGGGACACTTCCCCGCAAGACAGTGAGTCTTCCAAAGGCCCTCACGTTGACTTTCCTCACAATGGACAACTGAAACGCACAGCGGGCCTGCTGGAAAGCCTCCCAGGAAAGGAAGTCTCTTCTGGGTCTCCCCTAGGACGTCTGAAGAGGGACTTGGGAAAGGGCGTGTCTGAGGCTGCGCATCTCTCGCATGCACTGGTGGGTTGGAGGCAGCGGATGACTAAGGCGTTGTGCAGGGAGCAGGGGCCCCAGGCATCGCCGGAGCCAGCGTCACAGACGAGCTCCTCCACCACAGCTTCACCACAACAGGGGAAACTGCCTCCAAGACCCTCCCAGGGTTTCTCAGTGTGCCCTGAAGCCCCCATGCAACACATTCACCAGGGTCTTCACCCCAGACCTCCCAATCAGACTCCAGATAAACGCCCTGCAATCTTCACATTTAACAAACATCCTGAGAGAGGCTTCTGCACCCCTAAGTTTGAGATCTGTTGATTCTGCTGTGCAGTCACACTGGGGCCACGTCGGGGATCTGATGTGAGGCACACTCTGCCCTTGTTAGCTGGGGGGGCCTCATGCAGGTCGTCTCCGCTGTAGTACAGGGAGGGTCACAGGCTCTGTGGCCCAGGACGGTGCTGACATGGGAGGGGCTGAGGTGGCCCCGTCATGGAACCGTTGTGAGCGGGCTCCCCAGACTGATTTTGAACGTTTGTCTCCAGCTCACCCACGACAGCTGGAAGACACGGCGGTGGGCTTCTCTGCCTTGCGCCTTCAGTGTCTTAAGGGGGACTTTTAGGATCACCAGCTCAGTGCTCAGCCCCTGGGGATCTGTGTCCCGTGAAGGCCTCCATGTACTGCAGACCCGTGTGGAGGACCGGCTTCTCCTTTCCTGCCCTTTGCCCTCTGTGCCCACGCGACCCTTCTGTGCCCCCCAGGCTCCCACAGCACCCTGAACAGTGAGGAGGTCTCCCATTCAGTTGTCCATCCTGGTCCTTTCTACAGTGCGGGCGGGCTGGGCTGAGCTTTATACTGAAGAGCATAGCAGGCCACTCAGTGCCTAGTATGGGGCCAGGCTGCCTCTCCCAGCAAGGTGAGCAGGAGCAAGCACTTTCCACCCAGCCCGAGCACAGCCCTCACCACGCCCCGAGGGGGTGCTCAGGGCTGCAGGGCGGCAGTGCTGGAGGTGAAGCTAGCCCAGGTCTCAGTCCCAGGCCTCACCCTGTGCCCGTGGGCACCATTCTTTAGTTTCTCATTTAAAGCACAAAATCAGTGAGAGCAAAACGGGAATTAACGCCTGAGGCACATTCAGCATTTGATGTCCTTTCTTGGCCAATTGTTTCAAATTAAATGAGCTTTTTAAAAAGGTCTTTGAGCCTTGGAGACAGAAAGCTGACTGGTGGGTGCCAGAGGCTGGGGAGAAAAGTGGAGTGGGGAGTAACTGCGTGCTTCTAGGGTGCCGCGTGTCTTTTGGGAGATGAGAATGCTGGGAACTGACAAAGGTGGTGTCTGCACAGCCCTGTGAATGTGCTGATGCTACAGGGTTGTTCACTTTAAAATGGTGAATTGTATGTTATATAAATTTCACTTGAATTAGGGAAAAAAAACGTACTTACTTTGACGTCATTGTTAGTTCTTGGAAACTACGACTTTAAGCAAAATGATATATAATGAAACCAATTTTTTTTTTCTCATCGACTTTATAACAAAATTACATTGCAAGCAAGGACGTTGCTGGAGGGCCTGTGCGCACTGTTTCTCCTAAAGCTGCAGTTTCTAAGATCCCATCAACCGTATTAAGTGAGGACCTCCTGTGTTTGAAACCATCCCAAGGAGAGACTTCATCTGAGATCAAGCCAGCAAATGTTTCCCCGGCGCCCACATGAGAAAGGCGCCGTGTTCACCTGCCAGCACGCAGCTGCCAGGGTCCCAGCGAAGCCCTAAGCCTCCTTCTTCCTCCTCCACCGTCTCAGGTTTCCCCTCCATGCCCGGGTCCTGCCAAGCCAGCCTCGCTGTTGGGTGCCCCCCTGCAGGCCCCTCCCACTTCCACGCCTCCCCCTCCGGGACCCCCCACCCCCCCACACCACCAATGCAGAGCTCCCCAAGCCTCTCCTGACTGCTGCCTCTCATCCCTGGCTCCCAGCGAGGTTCCAGCCCCTCAGCAGGCAGGCAAGGTCCTCTCCCGCACTGTCTCAGCCCCCCGCCCCCTCCCACTTTCTCCCTGCTCCTGGCACACGGGGCACGCCCGACCCATCCCCATCCCAGCAGGGGCTCCTCCTCGCTGCCTCCTCCTTTCCCATGTCGTGAGGCTCCTTCTTCCTCCCGGGCCCCAGCTCCTCTGCCTGCCAGGCTGCACCCACCCAGAGCTGCCCAGGACTAGCTGTGATCTCTGTTTTCAGCACAAGCGTCTGACACCCTGGAGCCACCAAGTCACTGCTGCTGAATTGACAACCACTGGGTCACGCCCTGGTTTTTATAGCAAGACCAGGGTTGCATTTAAGGGACCTTAGGGTCAAAAGCCAGGGACAACGTGAGCTGGGGAGGGCGCCGCACCCACCTCCATCTGCTCGTGGATCCAGTCCAGGAAGGAGGTGACACGGGTGTACACCCCAGGCTTGTTCACCTCTGCGCAGCCGATGCCAAAGCTGGTCGCTCCCACTAACTTCCACAGCCTCCTCTCTTGACACACCAGGGGCCCCCCGCTGTCCCCCTGGGTGACAGGAAAGAAGCAAAGATTGGGGGACAGTCACCGCCATGCGAGATTGCTTTCTGTGGACAGTCTGCCGTGTGAGGCTGCTTGCTATGGAGTTGGGACCCCCCTTCATGATGTCCCAATGGATGACCCAGGTTACAGAAGGGAACCCACCAGCCCTTCCAGACACAGCATCCCCAAGGGAGGATGTCCCTCGGCCCCTTTGGGGTGCTGCCTCCAGCTGTGTGTCCCTTCCAGAATGCAGACCCTGACCCTCTGAAGCTCAAGGGCAGCTGGTGAGAGGGAGGGTCCACCTGGCCAGGGCCCTCAGGTGACCTGTGATCCACCTAGTAGAACTGGAGTCCCAGCCACTGCAGCTTTCGGAGGGCCAGATTCACTGGTTCCCCGCCACCTGCCTCCCCACCACCTGCCTCCCCTGTGGTCCCCCACAAAGTCAGAATTGGAGGGGAGCAGCATGAGTCCCCTCCCACCACCCAGCACCCACGCAGAGCCAGATCACTGGGTAAACACAGGGCTGGCAGCCAGGAAAAGGAGTGATATCTTGAGCAAATTTCTTCTCCACGCCCTGTAAATTTACTTTTTGTCCTGTCACAGGGAAACGCTGGCAACGACCTGTCCCAAGGGCTGGGTCACCCTGCCACGGCCTCGCCCACCGCTGCGGCCCCGTACCTGGCAGCTGTCCACGCCACCCGTCAGGTAGCCCGCGCAGAGCATGGAGGGGGAGATGATGCCACCGTACACGTCCCTGTGGTTGCAGATCTTGTTGGAAATCAAAGGGACGGCCGCGTGGTTCAGGACAGGGGAGGCGTCACCTGCTTCAAAGTGAGTGAGGGGATGTGTGTGAGAAGGAAGCCCGGCCCAAAACACAGAAGGCGCATGCTGAGACCAGGGGGGTGAGGGAACGAGGGACGAGGGGGATGCTCTCTGGTGTGTCGCAACAGCGGAAAAGGACAGGGCCCTGCGGGTGGGACGAGCAGACTCCCACTGTCTCGAAGCACCTCAAGCCCGAGCTTGCCCTCCTACGAGTGGCCGCAAGGGGCCAGTCTGCTTCAAGGCAGGGCCACCGACTCCCCTAAGGTGTCCAAAGAGGAGGAGGAGTAGGGGCAACAGTGGCCAAGACACCTCCCCAGGGCACCAGCCCAATCAGCCATCAGAACACCCCAGGTTATGGGAGGGAAACTGAGGCTCAGGAGGGTCACTCACTCAGCGTCTTTGTGAACTCTGGGATGGTCAGCAGAAAAATGACCCCAAAGACATTCTCACCCCAATCCCCAGAACCTGTGACTGTGTCACCTTACAGGGCAAATGGGACATTGCAGGTGCATTGAGGGACAGGCCTTGAGTGGGGAGATGATCCCAAGTAAGAGGGTGGACCTGACGAAGTCACAGGGGTCTTTGGAGGAGCCGGAGGAGAAGCTGTGACGACAGAGCAGGGACCAGAGTCAGAGAGTCAGAGAGAGATTCGAAGATGCGGCATTGCTGCCCCGGAAGACCAAGGAGGGGCACGAGCCAAGCAGTGTGGGCAGAGTGCAGACGCTGGGAAAGGCAGGAGACAGATTCCCCAAGGGCCTCCAGGAGGAGCCAGCACAGCCCACACTTGACGCCAGCGCCCTGAGACTGAGTTTGGACCTGTGACCTTCCTAACTATGAGATGATACCTTTCTGTCATTTTAAGCCACGAATTTGGGGTCGTTTGTTGCAACAGTCACAGGAGACTTAATCCACGTGCAGTGGGCCAAGCACGCCCCCGACACCGAGGGATGGACCCCTCCAACTCAGCTGGTTTGTGACCCAGGCATCTTGGTGTTTTAAAGACTCCATAGATTCCATGGAGACAACAAAATCACACAATGACAGGACCCTGAGGGGCTGCTCTGAGGAGCACATGGTATCACAAGACACTCAGCTTCCTGCCCGGAACGTGGCGAAACAGCTCAATGCATTATGGGAGAAGATTCCAGGACAGGCTGGAGCTGAAGCTACATCAGGACAGGGGCTCGTCGGACCTTTTGCACTGGACAGAGCAGATTGACAGCGAGAAGAAAATCGGCAGCGGGATGGAGAATCTCCTGGGAGGATGAAGCTGTTGCACAGCCTCCTCTTCAGAGCCCAGTGTCATCAGAATGACTCTGGTGGGCTGGTTGGTCCGGAATGAGAGCCCACCATGAGAGGAAGGGGAGCGTAGATTGGTGTCCCAGCTCCCACCACACACCAGGGGTGCTGGTTCTGATGAAGCTAGAAAGGCCCTGGACCAGCCACACTGGCACAGAACTGGGCCTGGGCCATGTGGGTGGGTTGGAAACTACAGAGAGCTGTGAGTGCCCTCGGCCAGGTGGGCAGCACTGCCAGTGGGTGGGGGGTAAGTAGGCCCACAGACTCGAAGCATCCGGGTTAGCTCCTGGGTGCCTTCAGCTGGGGGTGGGCTCAAGTAATTGGTGTTGAGTGGAAAACACTGAAATTCCTGTGTTAGGTTGAACTGTGGGCCCCTCCAAAATATGCCTACCTGCCACTATGGAGCCCAACCTTATTTGGAACAGGGTCTTTGCAGATGTAATTAAGGTAAGAATCTCAACATAAGATCTCCCAGCGTTTAGGGTGGACCCTAAATCCAACGACTTGCTGTCCTTATAAGACACAGGAGAGGGAAGTTTGAGATACAGAGACACAGGGGGCAAAGCCACGGGAGGAAGGAGGCTGAGGCTGGAGATCCAGCTACAAGCCCAGGAATGCCAGTGCAGCTGCAGCCGCCGCCACCAGAACCCAAAGGAAAGGGGTCAGAGCCTCCAGGAAAACCACCCTACAGACACCTCAACTGCGTGTGGAAATAAATCTCCACTTTTTTTTTGTTTTGTTTTGTTTTTTTAAACGCAAAGTCTCACTCTGTCACCCAGGATGGAGTATGATGGCATGATCACGGCTCACTGCAGCTTAGAATTCCTGGGCTCAAGCAATCCCACCCCAGCCTCCTGAGTAGCTGGGACCACCATGTCAGGCTAATTTTTGTTTGTTTGTTTGTTTGTTTGTTTGTTTTGAGATGGAGCCTTGCTCTGTCACCCAAGCTGGAGTGGAGTGGCATGATCTCGGCTCACTGCAACCTCCGCCTCCTAGGTTCAAGTGATTCTACAGCCTCAGTCTCCTGAATAGCTGGGATTACAGGTGTGCGCCACCATGCCTGGCTAATTTTTGTATTTTTAGTAGAGACAGGGTCTCACCACATTGGCCAAGCTGGTCTCAAACTCCTGAACCTCAAATGGTCCACTTGCCTCGGCCTCCCAAAGTGCTGGGATTACAGGCATGAACCACTGCACCCGGCCCAGGCTAATTTTTTTAATTTTTTGTAGAGACAGGGTCTTGCCATGTTGCCCAGGCTGGTCTCAAACTCCTGGGCTCAAGCAATCCTCCTGCCTTGGCCTCCCAAAGTGCTGGGATTACAGGTGCATGCCACCATGCCTGGCTAATTTTTGTATTTTTTGTAGAGACGGTGTCTCTCTATGTTGCCCAGGCTGGTCTCAAACTAATGGCCTCAAGGGATCCCATAGACTCGGCCTCCCAAAATGCTGGGACTACAGGTGTGAGGGAACACACCTGGCCAATTTCCATCGTTTTAAGCCACGCAGACTGTGATAATTTGTCACGGCAGCCACGGAAAATGAATCCTCTTCCTACTAACAAAGAAAGTGATTGATGGAAAAACCTAAGACTCATGACCAGCTCTGTACCCACACTAAGGAAAGGGTGGCCCGGGCTTCATTTGCATGGACTATGGTTACTGCCACTCCTACTTCCCTTATTATTACAGCGATCTCATCTGCTGCTGCTTCCACTTGCTCTTTGTAGGATGAAAGAACACATCTTCCAAAGTCCCACAAGACAAAGAGTCTTCACAAATACGAATCTTTGAGTTCTGAATGAAGCCTGGGAGGGTTGTCTAGGTGGGCTCTGTATGTCCTCAGTTAACAAGGCCGGGGGTCCGGGCAGGGAAAGGGAAACACCTGCTGTGTTCGAGAAGGTCTAACTCTCTCCTGAGAAGGTCTGCAGGGTCATGTTGTCCCCATAACAATGGAACCGTGACTCCTGACCCACAGTTCCTTGGCTGACTGTGTCCCGAGCAGCTGACATGCACTCCCTGGCCGGGGTATCTGGGCAGCCCATGGGAACATCACAATGGGACATTGGGGGAGCCCCCTCCGCAGCCCTCTGGGTTCTGAGCCCCTGGACTCCGAATCTTGGCTTCAGCCCACTGACCTCCATCCTCTGTGGCCCCCCATCCTGACGTCCAGCACACTTTTCCATCGGGGAAGTTCTCTTCAGAGTTGGGCAGGCACACAGGCTGGATCATTTCTGCTTGAAGGGAAACAATAGTTCACAACTCAATTGAAGCAGGAGTCCGAGAAAACAATCTCATCTATGCTTCTGCCTCTGAGGAGCCCAAACTATCTCCCAAGGGAAGGAAGGTCAAGCCCTTGGTTACTTGAAAACGATCAGCTCACAGCAGGAGCCCCTTACCCCATCCACCACACCCAGAGCACTTAAAACTGTAAAAGAGCCCTCCACCGTCGCAGCGTGAGGGAACCTAGACCAGGGTCAGCACACCTTTTGTGGAAAGGGCTGAATAGTCAATGTTGTAGGCTTCGTGGGCTGTGCGGTCTCTGGCTGCCATTGGAGCATGAAGACAGCCCCAGGTAACAGGTACCCACATAGGTGTGGCTGTGTCCAGTAAAATGTCTATTTACCAAAACACGATGGGGCAGACCAGGCTCTCAGGCCAACGCGTGCCCACTCCTGGCTAGATCACAGTGTGGGTGTTGCCTATAGAACACGGCTCCATGAATATTGCTATGGTTCCTGGGATATCTGGAGGCGACGAGTTTGCCTGTGTGTAGGGCTGGATCCTGTGGGCCTCCCCCAAAGCCAGAGTGCCCTGCACATACCTCGGGCTTTCGTGTGAACACACCCTGAGGTTCCCCGAGCTTTTCTGTGCAGAACAGTAATGGAGAGGTAGAGAAGGAATAAAAGAACTCACTTGAAACTTTGGCAAAGTACAAGTGCTGGCACCTCATTTCCTATAACCAATATCATTAATAATAGTTGGCAGACTGGCACCACCATAATCATTTTCCTGCTTCTCTGGAAATATTTGTTTCTGGGCATTACGTGTCCATGTGATGGATGCAGTAATGACTCTGCCAGGTAGAGCCTGCAGCTGGTCTCAGGTCAGGATTCTGCTTCAATAAGAGGGAATTAACCTATTTATTATGCTTTCCCTGCTTTCTTAAGAAGGAAAGAGGGCTTTAATTTAATTGGGAGTAGTCTCCTAGTACTTTGTTTGCATCTACGAGATGTTTGAAAGTTTTATCAGGTGTGGCTCTTCTGGCATTTTCGTAATGTCCAGAGGGCAGGGCTTGACTTTTTCAAGAAACAGGGTCTTTAGGAGCTGCTGGTTGGGAGAGAACTTTTCTGTACTTCCAGGGAGCTGAGGGTGCCCAGCATCTTTCAGCTTGTAAAGAAATGAGAGGACTCCACCACACCACCTGGCCAGCCTGGGAGGTTCTGTTTCTCAACCAAGATGGCCCCTCTACCTGGAGAAACCAGGCAGGTGGGAGGCACTGGCTGAGTGACCCCTCCACAATAGGCTCCTGGACAGGAAAGTGCTCTTTGTCCCTACAGATGGATGACTCTCTTCCACCACCTAGAGGCCCCAGCTGGTCTGGCCTCAAGAAGCTCTTTCTGCCTCCAGGTGGCACCAACAGGGAGAAGGTGGCACCAACAGGGAGAAGGTGGCACCAGACAAAGCACACAGCCCACGAAGGCTCTAAAATTATTGTTGGAACTACAGCCCACCAATCTACCTGGCAGAGTCATCAGTGCATTCATTCTGTAGGCCAGGATCTACAAACTACATTTAAACAGGGTAACATTGAAAATGTAGGTAGGACTCAAGTCTGCAAACATGAGAGCCACATTGTCCAGGATACAATTGAAAATCACTTGTCATACCAAGAGCTAGGAGCATCACAATTTTAATGAGAAAAGATAATCAACTGATGCCAACACCAACATGAATCAGGAGTTGGAATTATTAATATCTGACAAGGATTATAAAGCAGCCATCATAAGAATGCTTCAATGAGCAATTGCAAATCCTCTTGAAACAAAGGAAGAGCTGCAGAACCACATAGAGACCCAGATGTACCATTGAACGTGAGTGGCCCGGCCAGCTTCATAAGGGCGATGTCATTGCCCAGCCTCTTTGGCTTGTACTTGCTGTGGTAGACAATCTTCTCCACCAAGTGGGATGGGGCTGGATTGTCCAACAGGGAAACTAGACCCACCTGGATGGTCCATGACTTGGGGAGGTACAAGCTGAAATGAGAAGAGCAAGAGGTGAAGCACAGGAAAAGTCCAACCACTGAACTCATTGACCTCAGGTATCCTGAAAACCTAGGAAGATGGTGGGAGAGGTTATCAGGCAAGATGTGGTCCCATCACCCTGCTTGTTTATGCTGTATATGCAACTGCACTGCCACGCCCTACAGAAACACAGACCCACACCCCATGTGTTTCCCAGACCTCACTCTCAGCACCTCTGAGGTCGTCTTGGCATTTGAGGGCTGAACTCAACATTGGTCACTGCAAGGAGTCTATCAGGCACTACTGTTCATCAAACAGCAACAAAATAGGGGGTAAAAATATCAGGGAGAACCATTGTGTTTGGAAGTCTTTTCTGTAGTTTTCTTGCACTCTAAACTCCTGAGATTTTAAGAAGAGACCCAGTACCTGGCCCCCAACATATTCCCTCTAGCCTCCCGCACCACCGTCTCACCCTGTCTCTGCCATAACATGGTCCACTGGAATTAGCTATGGGAAGGTCTAGGTCCTTTCATTTTTGTGGGTTTCCTCCAGCACAGGAGCTTCCTTCCTCTTCTGTCTGCCCTTTCTCTAGGAGCTACAATCCTTAAAACAAGCTCAGGGTCACAAGTTACCCCCAGCTGATGATGATGGGTCCACAGTGAGGCTGGAGACTCCTCTCCAACTGTACATTACTTGGAGGTTAGTCTCTCTGTCTTCCCTCTGGACCCGCTTCTCACCACCCAAAGCAGCCCCACCCTGACATGACCCAGGAGTGAACAGGGGTCTGGGAAGATGGTCAGCAGCACTCACTCATAAACACAGTGTGCAGCAGTGATGATCCACAGGGGCGTGATGACAGAGCCCCCGCACAGGTGGTAGCCCTGGAACTGAAGGCTGGCCTGCCAGGGCCACTGCGAGAGCAAGGACATGTTTCCACCCACGATGCGTGAGCTGTAGCCCCTTCTATGACCACAGGCTATGGAGGGGAACAAAGGCTTGTGGGTCCACCCTGCAGACTTCTTTGGGGGACATGGTGTCACCACCATGCACCTGCTCCTCTCTCCCCACCCTCACTGCCCCTGCTCCCAGAGCTCACAGCAGCTCTAAGACAAGTGCTGCAAGGGGGAGCTCAGCAGGGGAGGTGGTCAGGCTCTTGGGGAGACCTGAGGATGGTGGGTGCTGTGGAGGATGCGGTGGGAAAAGCACCTGCCCTGCTTGGTCAGTGCCCAGCATTGGCAGCACCACTCCCCATCCTATTCCCCCAGTGATGACAACACCCTGGGATGTCAGGAGCAGGCAGGAACCTTCTGCAGCCCCCTCCTCACTGCCGCTGGTGCACGCACCTCCCTGACTGCTCCAGACCCCACCCTTGTGGTGTGAACACTCCCCTCTGCCAGGAACGAGGGGCACTGCCCGAGGCCTGGAGTGGGCACTGTGCACGTGTAAGGAGGAAGTGGGAACTGAGTCAGGGACTCAAGGCTCTTCAGAGTGATGGGACATCATGGGCCTTGGTCCTGTCCGCTGCTAATGAGTTGCTCTGGCTGTCTCCCCCACCTGACAGGTGAGGCCGACAGGTGAGGATGACACTGCTCCCCTCCTCCAGCAGGTAGGGGTACACAGAGTTCCCGCCTGGCACCCAGGAGGAAGGGATACAGAGCCCCATGGGGGGAGAGGACTCTGAGGGCAAGGAGATAGGACTTAGCATGTGCTTGCTCCCCCTGGACCCCTGCCTTTCTGGAACTCTTACCTGTGCACTGCAAGGTAACCACGTGGCCAGAGGCACATCCCTCCCTAAAGCGGAGAAAAAGTAGGCTCTGTGAAAAATGCCCCAGATCTGTGAAAGGAACACTCTTAAAAACTCAATCTTAGGGTAACAGAAAAATAAATTCTATTTCCCCCTCTTTGAATATAGATTACAATTTTAGTCTATGTTCAAAAAAAAAAAAAACCATGAGGATGAGGTCACACAATTCATTGTAAAACACTCAACTAACAGTGAAGTATTGTGTACACAACAGGCCGTTCTGTATTTCTAAGCTTTAGATAGCTAGTGATAAAGGATGTGTAAGGAGATATATTCTATCAACATGTCACGCTGTCATTGCATGGCGATTCAGCCCAATGTTCTCCACCTCCTGGCCCCTAGGGACACAAGAGTGCCCAAGGGACAGCGTGGCAAGCTCTCTAGGACTCCTTGTAGCCTGGGTTCACACATCTGGCAGAGGACTCCTTCCCCAGAGCAATAAAGTGTGATTGCCCCAAAATTGACACTCCTACCCCCACCCCCACACACAGGTGGAGACCAGGGTGTGTGCTTTTCTCATAGTGAAGGGAAAGGGATCCCAAAATCTTTGTAATGTTTTCTGCCTTTTGAGCCCCAGCTCATCATGCAAGAGAAAGCTAGTGTCACCAGACTGTGGATTTAGCACCCAACACATGAGCTGTCCCTCCAGACTGCAGGTGGGTCCCGGGGTGCTTATTCATCCCCGACGGACAGACCAACAAGCCTACTGTTCCCAGAGCAGAAAATGCACATCTTAGGGTTTGGGCCTAGATGTCAGGGAGAGAATATGGAATTGGATTCAGAACTCTTGGCTGTATCTGCTACACACCGTCTAACCTGGGGCAAGGCATGTGGTCCCTGTAAGTTTCAGTTACCTGGTGGTTATTTAAGAACACCTGGTTTTACCTTCCCCATGAGTTGTTGGGGAAAACATGTAAAATAAATAATGAATGCTAAAATACTTCGTAAACAAAGAAGGATAAATTTCTATCTTAATTTCTGTTTTTCTTCCTTTTACCCTCCCTCTCTTCCTCCCTCCCTCCCTTCCTTCCTCCCTCCCTCCCTCCCTTCCTCTTTTCCTCCCCACCCCCCTTCTTGCTTGCCTGCTTTCATTCCCCAGACACACCCAGAGTGCCTGTCACATGACAGTACATTGGTCACACTCACAGCATTGTTACCCTTCTACTCTATTTCCTTCCCTTTCTTTATTGGGCCATACTCCCTCAGGTTCTCACACCCCCAGCCTGGCGCATCCACCAGTCTCATCAAGGTGGCCAACTCCCACCTTCCATCTGAGATAACACATGCATGCCTCTTAAGTCCTTGTGGAGTTGTGCATAGCATCACAAATCCAGCAGGTGACTCGATACCTGTGCAGACAACAGCATCGCCTGACCACCTACCTCACATATACTGAGTGGTGTAATGCAGTCACCTTGTCATCTGGCAAGAGGTGATCGATGGACACAAACTCCTCCCGGAACTGCCCCTCCAGCGAGCTCACTCTGAGGTTATCTGAACTCACATAGCTGCAAGCACATTGGAAAGACAGACCCGACGTGGTAACTTTACACTTTGAAGCATTCAACCGATGTGCGAGTCACAATATTACAGGGATTGTACATGGGGGATGTCATTTTGTCCCCCCAAACCCATCAAAGGCTTCCTTTGCCAAGAGAATGAAGTTCACTCACCCTGGCAAGGCATTCAGTCCAGGCCTGCTGTGTTCTGGGATGACCCCCGCTTCTGGCCTGTACCTGACAGCCCCGTCCACCCACCCTGGGCTGCAGCCACACAGTGAGTGACCATCTCCTATGTCCTTGGTTGAGTCACTCTTTGCGCATTCCAGTGAAATGCCTTTTGCTTGGCCTGAAGCAAGTCCAGAGGGGAGGTGAGCACAAAACTAGGTGCAGTATTGTCGGGGGGCACCCAAGCAGGGACACCAAGTTCTCCAAGAACAGTGAGTTGGAGGAACAGGAGAGACATCCCTCACCTGCCCAGGACCAGCGCAGAGCCCCACTGGAAAGAGATGAACACAAACAAGAAAGCGATTCCACGAACACCAGAGCCCAGCTCATTTTTACAGTGCCAGGACACAGGTCTTCTGGAGAACAGTGGTGAAAGTGATGCAACTTTTTAAAGAAGAATCACATGTTTGGAGAGTCACAAGATGGAAGATGGTGAATAAACAGCCATGTTCTCCTTCCCTTGTGAAATGAACAAAACACAGTACAGTAGGCTTGTTTTCATAGTGAACACACCAGCTTATCAACAGGATTTCTTCAGCTTACTGTAAATGCTATGGGGGTGTGTATGTAGAATACAAAGTTCAGTCAACTTTGAGTTTTGAGGAAAATGTAATCAAGGCGGCGGGCACGACCTTCGCAGCCCTTCCAGGGATTGCTCAATGCACGGATTCCGCTGGCACTGGCATGAAAGAGCCGATGGTTGCTGGGATGGCTTGGCCCCAGTGCAGGTGGCGGGGCTTGTGCCAGGCAAGGGGACCCCAGTGCTGCAACTGGAGCCCCATGAACTGTCCAAGTCTCAAAATGGTAACAATGACAGCCACAACCACACACTCGCCCAGTGTGCTCTTGCCCACCAAGCCCTTCCACACTCACAGCGTCAGCGGAACTTCAGTTCCCCTCCAAGTACGTGCTATTATCATCCCTCTTTTCTAAGAAAGGAAACTGAGGCATGAACTGTGTGTGGAACTTGCCTGAGTCTACACTGGGATTTGAACCCAAGCAATCTAGCTTGACCGTCCTTTGGTTATTTATTTATTTATTTATTTATTTATTTTTGAATCACAGATCTCTGACATAGGATGTAGTAGAGCAGAGAAGATTAAAGAAGGATTTTAAGGAGAATTTAAGAAAATAGAACAAAATGCAGAAATAAATCTTAGAAACTGAAGCAATGGATAGAGAACAAAAGAACAAGCCTATAGAGAAGAAAGTAGGCAATATTGGGGTGAGAGATGGGGGACATCGCATTCCCTGGATTTCCTTGTAGAGGGAGCATATTAAGGATGAGAAGGAATATTTTACCAAACGGGCTGGGGTGGAAGAGAGACGGGAAGGCTACCCCCACCATGAGTGGCCTCTACCTGATGCCTGGGACAGCTGGGGCTCCTGACTTGGGTCTGCTGGGTGGGGAAGGAGAGGGATTGAGCTGAGTTTTTCTGCATAACAGAGCAGAGAGGCCTTGGGGTTTGCTCAGACAGAGCGGTGGTCCTCCAGGACAGAGGAGGAGGGCAGAGAGAAGAGAAAAGGAGGCCCCCCAACACCCCCCACCCAATGAGTCAGAGGAAGAGGCTCAGCGGGGAAGAGAAATGCCCAATGGGGAAGCTCTCAGCTGTGTGCAGTGTGTGTGTGTGTGTGTGTGTGTGTACCTCTTCCTCCTTGTCTCTAAGGAGTAATACATCATTCCTGAAGACGTTAGTGTGGATGATTTTTGCTCTTCTCATTGAACTTGAATTGCAGCTCATTTCTGAATCTCAGTTGGTGTGGAGGGAGAGGGAGGCAGACCTCAGGGCTGGAGGCTGGAGGGCATTTTGGCTTCCACCAGCTTTGGGGAAAGACAGCCGAGAATATGATTCATGGAATTTGAAAACTGAGACTCTGTGGAGGACTCAGGGCAGTGTGGCTTTAACGACCCCATCTACTTGAGTGCAAAGCAGAATGCAGCCTGCCTGCTTTGAGTGCTGAGACTTGAGAGCAAAGGGGAGTAAGGAGGCTGCTAGGGGAACCCGTGGAAGTACAGCGGCCGCAGGAAGTCAGAAGGAAGGGGCCAGGGGAGAGAAGGAGGCCCATGCCTAGGCCAAAACTGTGTCACTCCAATGCAAAAAATCATGTAGGCAACACAAACACTAAAAAGTGAATAGTCAACTGTTATAGTTCTTTGTTCTACATGTTGCTAAACAAGTGTTTTGGATGATTGTGTCTTCACTAAATTTCTGACTTTCAACAATTGGTTCTGTGGGGTTCTTGGGGAAGCGTGCATGGACATTGATGTGACCGCCAGGACCAAGCAGGAAAGTGTCCAGGAAGCTACTCTAGGAGCTGCAAGCTGAGGAGCTGGAGGGTTTTTTGGTTTTGTTTTTGTTTTCTACTTTGAAACTTTTTATTGCATGTTCGTATCTCCGATCCTGGCCTGGCCCTGGGAACCCCCAAACATGCCACTTCCCATGTGCCTTGAGCAAGTCACTTAGCCTGTCTGGCCTTGGTTTGCTTGCCTGTGAAGTGAGGATGATATCGGGCATCCTAAGGTGGATGTGAGGATGTAATCTGAGAGCGTTAAAGCACCCAATAGTGCCCAACTAAATGGTAGTTGTCTTTCTTTATTGTTATCCTCTCTGTGTTTTGCCCATGGGTTGGAAATGCTCTTTAACTTACCTTGGGAAACCCAGTTGGGCACAGGCAACATTTGCGTAGTGACCCTTCCAGTCATCGGAGCACATGGTCTTCCACGAAGCAGCTGTGAACACCTGGAGCACGGCATTCTGACCACCCACCCGGACTGGCCGATGTGCAGAAAGAAAGGCTTATTAGTGGCCAGTGGAACCCTGAGACCATAGGCAGGGGTTTCTCCACAGCCAGCTCAAACCCCTCCTCTGCCAAATCTGACCCACTTCTTGTCCACGGCAGCCTCCCCATCACAGAGCAGTGACTCTGGATCCCTGAGACTTCTCGCTGGTCTCATCTTATTGCTTATGTGGTCTCCCCAAGAGAGCCAGAGCTCCATGGAAGGCCCTCCCTGACCCCCCAGCCCAACATGTCTTTGGGCAAACGCCAGTTCAATCCCAGCTGAAGACATGACCTAAAAATGGCAATGACTTGGACCCATTTTACAGATGGGAAGGGTCAGGGTTGGCTTCTGCTGCTTCCTTCTGTTTCCCCAGGGGAAGAGCCATGACCTTACCACAGCGGTACTCGTCCTCCCCGTCTTTGCAATCCGAGACTCCGTCACATCGAGCTATCAGCTCGATACACTTAAAGGATGAGCGACATCTGTACTTCCCTGAGCAGTCGAAGTGGACTGGGAAAAGGGAGGAAGGCAGGAATTAACCAACAGCTCTTTCAGAGTGCAACACTAACAACTGTCCCCCTGCCACACAGTGCGGAGCTGGCCCGTGAATAATGAAACCTGTATTGAAATTGCGTCCCTGTCAGCAGCCTGTTTCCTGCAGCCCAGTTTCTGTTTTGAATTCCAAGGGGTGGGGCTGCTGTGCCCCACTTTATCTCGCTATGTGGCCTGGCCCAGGAACCACAGTGCAAGGTGAATTTAGACTCTGGAGGTCTCAAGGTCAAGAGAGAAACTGCATGGCGGGGGGCCGACCTGCTGAGCCAGCCGAGCAAGGAGTCCTGACTGAGAACTGCTCGGCCTTCCTGGTTTCTCTTACCGAAGGCAGAAAGTGAACGAAGTGTGGACCACACAGTGGGGCAGGTGGCGAATTGAACTGACCTGTGATTCAGGTATTTGAAAGAAAAATTGTTCCCTATTAGAGACCCTCCATCCAAATGACCCACTTTCTCAAAAGCCACATGCACCTTATTGTAAAAACAGCTGGTGCGCCTGCATTGCATGAATAGGTCTCTTTGTCTTCTCCCCGCTGCCCCGGTCAGTGCCTCCCTCCCACCTGCAGGATTCTATTTCATCAGCTGCCTTTGGCCACTCCTAACCGGGCAGGTTCCTTGGTGACAAAGCCATGAGCATGGCCAGCAGCCCTTGCGGCACCCCAGACTGACTTTACATTCATGTGGGCAAATAAAACTTCAAGTCAGCAAACCAAAAGGATGTTTGCCTCCAGTAATTAAGGCTGGGCAGCAGCAAAATGCTGGGATGAGAGGGGGCGCTCATGAAAGTTTAACTACTTGGCTAGGTATTTGAGATCCTACTAAATAATGAATTGTACTCACTGCCCAGACCAATGGCCAGTGCTAATATCAATGCAATGATCCCAATGACGATGATTGGAAAAAACTTCAATGGCAGCAGTGACAGGATCTGTGCAGCAACAGCATCTGCATCTGAAAACCAGAAAAAGGAAGAGCAGAAAGCCACAGAACCTGACTTGGAGTGCCATGAAACTTACAAATTTAACTATCCTTTCCCCCTCCCCTCTTTGCAGAGAAGTCTCAGCCCAAAGAAAGGTGCCTTAATTAGGGAAAGGGCCACCCACCAAGGGGCACATTCTCTAGTTCAGTCCTACCTGCTCCACCTCTGACCCGGTTATTCCATGGGGGATGAGGGGATGTGCTATGGGTTGAATAGTATCCCCCAGAAAGACACGTTGAGGTCTTAACTCTTAGTACCTCAGAATGGCATCTTATTTGGAGATGGCCTGGAGAGTCTTTACAGAGTCATCTAGTTAAAATGAGTCATTAGGGTGGGCCCTAATCCAACGTGGCTGTTGCCCTTATAAAAAGGGGGAAAACAGCCGGGTGCAGTGGCTCACTCCTGTAATCCCAACATTTTGGGAAGCCAAAGCGGGTGGATCACCTGAAGTCAGGAGTTCAAGACAAGCCTGGCCAACATGGTGAAACCCCATCTCTATTAAAAATACAAAAATTAGCTGGGCATGATGGCAGGCACCTGTAATCCCAACTACTCAGGAGGCTGAGGCATGAGAATCGCTTGAACCTGGGAGGCAGAGGTGGCAGTGAGCTGAGATCGCACTGCTACACTCCAGCCTGGGCAACAAGAGCAAAACTCCGTCTCCAAAACACAAAAACAAAAAGGAGAAATCAGGACACAGGGACAAACATGCATGAAGGGAAGAGGATGGGAGGAGACACAGGCAGAAGCCAGCCTCATGAAGATGAAGGCAGAGATGGGAACAATGCATCTACACACCAAGAAATGCCAAAGATTATTGGCAAACCACCAGGAGCTAGGAAGAGGCAGGGCACGGTGCCCTATGGGTTTAAGAGGGAGTATGGCCTTGATGACACCTTGGAATTCAGACTTCTGGCCTCCAGAACTGAGACAATAAATTCCTGTTGTTTTAAGTCACCCAGTTTTGGGGACTTTGTTTCAGCAGCCCTATGACACTAAGATGGAGGGGAAGTAGCATCCCAACTTCCAAGGCTGTTTCCCTGCAGAGGAGGGGGTGAAACCCACACGGGGGGCTTGCAGGCAGAGGTAGTGCTGAGATCTCCCAGAGGAGATGCAAGGACAAGATGTTGATTTTTGTTTGTTTGTTTAAATTTTTTCTTATAGAGATGGGGATCTCACTATGTTGCTCAGGCTGATGTCAAACTCCTGGGCTCAAGTGATTCTCCCCACTTGGCTCTCCAAAGTACTGGGATTACAAGCGTGAGCCACCATGTCCAGCCGAGGACAGGATGTTGATACACCATTCTCCACAATTGCTGTGCACAGACACTGACAGCTTTCATTCCAGATCATCTCTTCAAGAATGTGTGTAGAGCAAACAGCCTTGGAAGATACAGATAGCGTCTCCCTCCAGAGCAAGAGGCAGGTTTGTTTACTGTCCAGTTTAACAAATATAATGCCTTCCTCCAGAGCAAAGTTTGCACAGGTCTGCTTGCAGACCACTGTAAAGATGAGGGTTCCCTTAACTCTGGGATATGCAGCAGCAATGCAAACTGCCTGCACGTGCGGCATACACAGGCTGCTCCACATGCCTCTGTGGGACTGAGAAGGCAAAGGCAGCCAGCACAAACAGGATATTTGTGCCCCTTGCTGCACTGTGAGGAATAGAGTCCTTTGTCTCTGACCCAGGACTCTCGTGTCTTCCAAAGCACCCATGAAACTGTGGCAGGCTAAATTTTGGCTTGCAAGTAGGGTGACATCTCAGGCCCTTTACAGTTCTTGCCCCTAGAACCAGGCAAATCTGGTGGAAACAATATGTAAGGAGTGTCCAGATGCCTGGCCAGAAGTATAAGCCTCTCTGGGCAGCAGGAGAATTCCCACTAGCACTCTTCCCTCCTGGGGAGAGCAGGCCATTTCACCTAAATTACCTCATCAATCCTAAAAATACATGAATGCCCAAGTTGTCTTTGTTAAAAATAAGGAAGATTGGAATCCAGAAAGGGGAGAGAAGCCTGCCCAGGGTCACACAATTGCCCAGGATGAGACTGGCACCTGCCTCTCTTCTCCTAGTCTTGGACATGTTGAGCCGAGAGCTCTGTCATGGAAGAGCTAAAAAGATCTTTCCCTGCCTGACCGTGGAGACTCACAACTTCTACCCTCTGGCAATAAGGAGTGTGATAATGAAATGATCAATATCAGTTGAGGCTGCCTAAGAAAGAAGAGAATTTGAAGACAAAAATGATGAAAAGACATGGAATGCGAGGAGAAAAGAGTGTGCAGAGGAGAGGGTGAGCAGGAGATGGAGGAAGAGCAGGGAAATAGAAGCTGCACTTCGCAGATGTGGAGGCTGTGAGGAACGCAGAGTGAGGGAGGATGAGAGACCGTGGCAAGTTCTGTGTTTTAGGCCTGGACAAGCTCAGTGGTTTGTTGAAGCTGCATTATCCATACCTAGAACAGCAGGGGACACACAGTAGTCCTTGATAAAAATGTGCTAGATGAATGAATGACATCATGATAATGAAGGCCGTTTTAACTCAGGGTCTGAGACCAAGTCCTTCCAGGACAGCCCATCTGCGGTGGTGAGCTGGCAGAAAGGATCCTCTCTCCACCCTCACACCTCGATCCCCCGCACACTAACAATTCTCCTCTATAAGGATGCCCACCCTTCGTCTTATACTTAGAAATCTGCAGGAACCCCAGGAATGACATCTTCACATTCCAGCTGCTCTGTATTTAAGTTGGATTTAGAAAATGACCCCAAATTGTCAAATCAAAGATTGACATTTAATCGAAAGGCTGTGTCAGTTCCCGTTTGCCCTGCTTCTCTGTCAGGCTGCCCTGAGGGCACTGCAGGGGCCCCACGCCTCCTCTGTGCTTGGTCCTTGAGGACATTGCCTGGAATAAACAATGAAATGTACAGCATTTCTCCAAAGAAGGAATGCAAATGGCGCACAAGTATGAAAAAGCTTTCAACTTCTTGACCAGCCTGCCCAACACGGTGAAACCCGCCTCTACTAAAAATACAAAAATTAGCTGGGTGTGGGGGCATGTGCCTGTAATTCCAGCAACTCAGGAGGCCGAGGCAAGAGAATCGCTTGAACCCGGGCGGTTGGAGGTTGCAGTGAGCCGAGATCACGCCATTGCACTCCAGCCTGGGCGACAGAGCGAGACCTCGTCTCAAGAAAAAGAAAAAAAAAAAGCTTTCAACTTCTTGAGAAATGAAAACAATGCAAATGAGACATAACTACATGCCAACTTCACAATGATTCACATGAAGTGAAAGGAAATGGTCCCCCACCTACAGTCACAGGGGTAGAAACTGTGTAAACTTCCCAGCTGTGTAAACTTAGACACCGGAAAGCTCAAAAACAGATGAAAGTTTTGACCTAGCAGTTCCACTTCTAGGAATTTATCCTAAAATGTCACCATAGATATACGCAAATATCGACCCCCAAGGACACTTAGAAGAATGGCACTTATAATATTGATGCACAGGAAACGGACCAAATTACCCACAAAAAAGAACGGGTGAAATAACAAATGAGGTACACATATAATGGAATACCTATAGGAGGACAAGATGATATAGAAAACGGTTGGAGAGATTTTCTGTAAAGGACCAGACAGTAAATACAGCACTTAAACTTTATGGGCCATGCGGTCTGTCCTAACGACCCCACTCTGCTGTTATGGCGTGAAAGCAGCCACAGACAGTATGTGAACAAATGAGCATGTCTGTGTTCCAATAAAACTTTATTTACAAAAGAAGGGGGTGGGCCAGATTTGACCCATCAGCCATAGTTTGTCAACATCTAGAAAATATTTAATTATTTAATGCCATAGAAAGGTGAAGGTGATATTGTTAAAATTTTTTAAAAGCTTCAAAATAATACAAATAGTACATGTTACTTCCAAAGGAAATATAGATATATAGATAGAAAAAGGCAAGAAATTCAATAATAAATTGCTAATAGGATTATCTCTGAGTAATGATGCCGTCGTGGGTAATTTTTAAAAATCTTTTCAATGAACTGTATTTTCTAAATTGTTCTTCTAATGAACAATACATTACTCTATTTACAAGGAAAAGTTTTTGTTCCTCCCCACTACTTAGTCATAGCAAAATAATCAAAAAATAAGAGAAAGGAATATTATAGTGCTATTAATATTCATATTATTTATATTATAAAATATTAGGAACAACTATAGGTCAAACTATGATCAAATGGCTGTGTAAATTGCATATCTACTTGATGGAATACTGTGATTCCATAAGAAAAAATTTATAAAAACCTTTTATGGAAAAAACCCACCTGCCTATATCTGTACTGTGCATGAAACCACACATACGGGCAAAAGCAGGAAGAGACTTTGCAGACATAAAAACCAGGTAAGTTTTGGGAGTCAGGTGATTGCAAGATTTTTTTTTCTTTCATTGACACTTAGCTAATTTTGAGCCATATTTTTAAATGTGTGTCTTTTCAGTTACTTGAAACCTCTTCTCCCACCTCCCATCCTTTCCAAACCTCCTCCAAGCCAATTTTCCAGTTGGTTTAAAAGAAATCATTAGGGTGACCCCCACTCCCACTTTCTGGAACCTCAGGCAGAGCTCCTGTGGTTCCTCCCTAGCACCAATGTGTCAGGAATCTGCCTGCGTCCAAGCCCTGACTTCCAGAACCGGCAACCCCACAGCTCCCTTTGACCAGTCCTGACTATCTCTGGTCAAAAAGATCCTAGCCGTATAGGTTGCTAGAGAGTCCACTGTTTTATCAGGCATTTGTGACTTATTTACGAAACCAACTTTTTTCCTTCAGTTGTTAGGAGCCACTCCGTCATCTGCTGCTGGATTTTAATCTAGGCCTCTAATATCTTTGGCGACATCCAGTTTATCCTGAGTTTTCGGAGGGACTGGTGGCCACTGCTTCTCAGGACTTCCTGGAGGACTCAGAGATTTCCTGGCCAGGATCTGACCTCCTTCAGGATTGACAGGACAATTGTGGAGCCCCAGTCTCTGAAAACCTCCAACAAGAGAAGAAAACACCGGTCTCCAGGGAGAGAGCAAAGGGCTTAACGAAACGATCCCCTCTCCAATGCCCCTTCTCCCTGAGATTCTGCAGATCTAGGGAAGTGCAGGTGTCCAGCCTGTGGGTGTCAGAATGGCTGGGGAGATATTTCCCCCACAGGGACAGTCAGTCACATTGGTCACCTACATGAGGGTATGGGCAGAAATCACAGAGTCCTCACCTGGGTCCACTTACCTGGTGCAACAGGACTTATTTTCAAATCATCAAGGCCAAAAAGCGATCGGAATGAGAAGGGGGCTTCAACAGCAGGCGGATCATTTTCCCCCATGGTGACTATTTCAGGACCTCTGACATCCGGCTCCGCCTCCACCTCTACCTCCTTAGCCGAGGAAGAACAGAAAGCATTTGTTCCCCTATTTATACTTGTAGCATCAGGTGCATCTTGGTCATACGGTAAATCTTTGAAATTCGACAGTCCACACAAAGCGCATTCAGTATCGATTAACCAAAAACAGTCATCTGGTGAGAATGCATTTTCGTCTGAGCTACAGCAGATAACAGAAAAGCTTCTAGAATTAGCAAAAAAAAAAAAAAAAAAAAAGTATGAACTTAATTCTGCTAAGACAATGACTTTCCCATTGTTTGTCCAACCAATCTTCAAATCGATTGCTTTAGAGGGACTCCCTCTCACCATTTAGAAGTTGCCATATTGCTATTGTTCAGAAGATAAATTACTCTCAAAGCCCTTTCCATTGCTTTTTTGCGATTGTTTTCACCTGTCCCACATAAACGCAATTCTTTCCCTGTGCGTGTGGTACACCTACCATAAGCATAAGTAGTTTCGGTACTCACATAATTCCCGAGTCCCAAAAATGTAGATGGCACCACGGAAGAGATAGTAGGCCACAGTGTTACTGGCTTCCCATAAACACAGCCCTTTCCTGGCTCACACGGGCATGACCTAATTAAGAACGAAAGTACCCGAGCCGTCCGGTGCCCGGTCCTTCCCCCACATAGCAAAGTGGGGAGTGGCTTTGGACCAACGGCTTGCATCAAAATAACCCCGGGGCTGTGTTTCCTACGAAAGAATTCCACCTATCACAATGCCAAGGAGACCAGAGACCTTTCTAAGTCATTCCCTGTAACTCTGAGAGGGCGGAGGAAGCAGGGAAATAGCAGAAGATTCCCAATTAAATTCTAGTTCCCTCTCCCAGATATCAGGCATGGCTGCTCTGGGAACCTGCTTCCTCCAAGGGCTAAAATCCACAGGGGCTCCAGCAGGCACATCAGCACAGACACTCAGATCATCCGCTTTCATTCCCTTTGTGACTACCTGTTGTAACGTTTGAAATTCCAAAGGGATCTAGTAAGCCATTTGAAGCAACCCGTGTTTCCCAAGATCATAGTAAAATCTAAACAAGAGTTCTGTGCCAAAAATGTTCATTTCATTTCTATCGCAAGAAGAGCTTGAAAGAGTAACTTAGAAAAGCAAGAAGTTCATGTTGGGCCATTTTCTGGCTTTCATTCTTGCTGATACCTCTGTTTATTATCAGCATGTAGCAAATTACATCGTTTATCCATATAAAAAGAATAAGTGGGCAAATGGCTTCTGAAAGATGGAACCTGGGTGAGAACATCCCCTCCCAAACAGGCTGTGGTTGGCAAGCTGTACAACACTGAGAAGTGTTGAGAAGCATCTTCTCTCCTCACACCCATTTTACTCACCATTTCTGGAGCTGCCATCATTAAAAGCAGAAATAATTTCCTTTTTCATTATAAAAACAAGTGTGATGGTAAGCAGGCCGCCAACAGGTTAGTCCAATCGGGGAATATTTTCCCCAAGTCACTCAGCCTTGTCGACTCAATCATCGCAGCAAATGGCATTATCGCGGGCATCTGTGTAACCCAAGCTGCCGTGGGCCTATCAAATAGCCCTTGGTGGTATGGCTGCAGAGACCAGGGAGGGAAAAATGTGGCTTCCCTTTAATTAGTCAGTAAGGTGAGCAAACCTTTTCAGAAGCTTTGCATCAGGGAGTGATCGGAACACAGCCGCTCCTTTTACTTGAAAGAAGGGGTAGGCTCTGCCCAGTGCTGAGCATGTGACCGTCAAGAGGGCAGACATACTCTCTGGTGGGGGTTTCTGTCCCTCCCTGTAACTGAGCCCCCAAGTTCAATTCTGCAGCTACTCCTGCAGACAAAAGATGGGGAGCCTGAAGATGCTCATCACAGCCTGCGCTCCACAAAAGACACGTCATGTTTCCTTCCTCGGAGGCCTCTGCATCCCAAGAGGCTTCTGCACACAGCACTGCTTAAAGGGGTTTAACCGCTGCTGTGGGGACCAGAGCGCTGAGCATCTTTGAAGGGCTGAATTTACCATTGTGGATGGCAACTCGCAAATCCATGCATTTATTCAGCAAATATTTAGCAAGCATCTGCCATGGGCCAGACTCTAGACACAGTGCAGCCAGCAAGAAAAACAAAGTGCTCCCATGGGGCCCCAGATGTTAAGCGCTAGGAAGAGATTAGGCCGGGGAGGGTCTGAGAGAGATGAGGGCAGAGTGGTACAGGACGGCCTCTAGGGAGAGTGTTGTTTCAGCAGGGACCTTGATGATGTTTTAGTAGAGACCTTGGTGACCAGTGAAGTGAGTCTTGTGAAATTCCTCCAAGGAGGGCGACCACCAGCTCCAAAGCCTGGAATAGGGGCCACGCTGGAGTGTTTGAGGAACCCCAAGAGGGGCCGTGAGCCTAGAAAGCAGGGAACAGGGAATAGCCGATGGCAGATCCCAAGGCCCAGGGGCATGGGAAGGGCTCTGGTTTGCCTTTGATGTGTGGAAAGCCTTGGGCGATCTCAATGGGGCAAATTTGGGTTGACAGGCAGGGCATAGAGTGGGGTAAGGATGGGGGGACACAAGGACAGCCACAAGGAGGCTGCACCTCATGGGCCACAAGGGCCATGACTCGGCACGAGTGGTGATGACGGTGAGGACTGGCTGCCTGAGGTTGATTTTGAAGGCAGAATTGGCAGGATGTGCTGACGGCAAACGCCTGAGAGATGCGTCCAGGCAGTCCTTGATTAAGACAGTCTTACTTTCTCCGTCCCAGTAGGTACCTGCCCACACACCTGTCAGTGCCTTTGGGTGTGATCTATGGTCTCCTTCAAGCTCACACATCTCTCCTTCACCTATTTCCTGACTACTCTTTCTGGTCCCTCAACGAATGTTTGCCCTCAAAGGCAATGACAGGAAATTTAACATGTCATTCTTTCTTTGCTTTTACCTGTGTGTTATAGGAGATGCTCCCCGCTGGAGTACAGCTCTGGCGGGACAGAGTCTGGAATGCACTTTCACTCCTAAGACCCCGCCGTGCCCAGCACAGCCATGTGTGTGTGACAGGGGCTCTGTCTGCATAGAAGAGCTGATCATAAACCCTGGGGGGACAAATAACACCAAATCGACATACAATAACCAACTACGAGGGCATGTTAACACGTGTGTCAGATGTAGGTCAAAGGTCAAGCCAGCTCCCCACGGGGTAGCAGGGAGAGGCCCTACAAGGGTGGCTGGTCTTCCTTGCTGTAAAATATCCTCTCAGAAAGTTTACCGACAAATCAATTCCACTGAGCTCAAACTAAAATTTTGAGGAACCAAACAAATAAGCTTATCTGGGGCCCAGCGCGTGATAGTTACGCAGCCAGTGCCATGAGCAGACTTGGTTTCAGGGCATGAGCGCCTTATCCTATCCTGATGTCTCCTGGGAGCCCCATGAAGCTTTAGTAACGATTTGCAAACAGCTTGAGTTACAGGCACATTCTCTTCAGTAAGTGAGGGAGGAAACTGGTAGACTCTTCCCTGATGGGCTTGGAAGATAACTTTTCAAGTTAGGAAGGCAGGATGAAGCTAGATGTAGGCATCTTCTGGCCTACACAAATAAGATTTTTTTAAGAGAAATGCATAGAAGCATTTTTCATTTTAATATGTTATAAACATAACACAATTGCTCAAAACAGGGTTTATTATTTAGAAGAGAAAAATATACTTGAGTAGAGACTATATTTCATACCCAAATCTACTTTTTCCCTCTGGGTCACAAGCTTTCTCTATTTGCAGACTTTCAAATTCAAGATAAATCATTTGATTGTGGAATTATTTCATCTTTTGAATTCCTCAAAGAAAAAGGATAATGAAGTGTGTGGACATTATGCTAAATGAAATAAGCCAGACGGAGAAAGACAAATACTGCAGGATCGCACTTATATGTGGAATCTTAAAAAAAAAAAAAAAAAAAAAAAAAAAAAAAAAAAAAAAAAAAAAAAGTTGAATACATAGAGAATAAAGTGGGGTTCTCAGGGGAGGGTGTAGGGGCAGGAAATGGAGAGGTGTGGATCAAAGGGTGCAAAGCTGCAGATGTGTAGGATGAAGAAGTCCAGAGACGGAAGATACAGCTGACAGCCAGAGGTATAATATCTTATTGAATACTGAAAATTTGCCCACAGCAGATTTTAGTTTCGGTTACCATGAAAAAAAAGTAAAAAAAGTAACAATGCAAGATGATAGATATGTTAATTTGCTTGATGACAGCGCTCATTTCACTATTATGAATATAGCAAAACATCCCATTGTACACCTTAAATACGTACAGTAAAAAGAATATTATTATTATATTTATTTATTATTATTATTATTATTTTGAGACTGTCTCACTCTGTCACCCCGGCTGGAGTGCAGTGGCGTGATCTCAGCTCACTGCAAGCTCTGTCTCCCAGGTTCACGCCATTCTCCTGCCTCAGCCTCCCAAGTAGCTGGGACTACAGGCTACCACCCTGCCCGGCTAATATTTTTGTATTTTTAATAGAGACAGGGTTTCACTGTGTTAGCCAGGATGGTCTCGATCTCCTGACCTTATGATCCGCCCACCTCAGCCTCCCAAATTGCTGGGATTACAGGCATGAGCCACCGCGCCCGGCCCCAAAAGAATATTATTTAAAAATCAGGCAGGGCACAGTGGCTCACACCTGTAATCCCAGCACTTTGGGAAGCTGAGGCAGGTGGATCACCTGAGGTCTGGAGTTCCAGCCGGGCCAACATAGTGAAACCCCATCTCTACTAAATATATAAAAATTAGCCAGGCATGGTGGTGTACGCCTGTAGTCCCAGCCACTCGGGAGGCTGAGGCAGGAGAATCACTTGAACCCAGGAGGCAGAGGTTGCAGTGAGCCTAGATCATGCCACCGCACTCCAGCCTGGGTGACGGAGTGAGATTCTGCCTCAAAAAAGTGAAAATAAAACTATACAAATAAATATCACAATATGCTCACATTTAATGGTGAAATATTGAGACCTTGTCCTCTGAAATGGAGAGTTATACAAGAAGGTGCACTAGTACCACATCTGTTCAACATTTGACTTGGGTTCCAAGTCAGTGCAATAAAGGCAAAAAAAATAGAAGGAACTATTATGCGTAGAGCTGCCATGAACATTCATAGACCAATCTTTGTGTGGACACACGTTTTCATGTATATTTACCTTTATAAGAAACCCTCCAAATGTTCCCCAAAGTGGTTGGACAGTTACGCATTCCCACCAGCACAGTGTGAGAGCTCCTGTTACTCCCCAGCCTTGTGTAAACCTGGTATTTTCCATTTTAGCTCTTCTGGTGGGTGTGCTGTGGAATCACATTGCGGTTTTAATTTGCATTTCCCTGATGACTAATGATGTTGAGCATCTTTTCATGTCTATGTATATATCTTCTTTTTAAAAGTATCTTTTTTGATACTTTGCCCATTCTTAAAATAGATGCTTGTTTTCTTATTATTTGTTATAAGTATATATAAAATATTCTGTATATTCTAGAAACAAGTCCTTTGTCAGCTATATGTATAGTGATACTTTCTCCCAGTCTGTGGTTCACCTTATTATACTCTTTAAGATGTCTTTCAAAGAGCAGAAGTTTTCAACTTTGGTGAAGTACAGTTCATCAACTTTTTCTTTTGTTGGTTTATTCGCTTTATGTCCTAAGAAAGTTTTGCAAACTCCAACATAGCAAACATTTTTTTTCTAGGTTTTCTTAAGGAGTTTTATAGTTTTAGCATTTACATTTTGAGTTAATTTTTGTATATAATGTGAGGTAAGGGTTGAGGTTCGTTTTTCCTCCTACCAATATGCAGTTTTCCTAGCACTAATTTTTTTTTTTTTTTTTTTCAGACAGGGTCTCATTCTGTCACCCAGGCTGGAATGCAGTGATGCAATCACAGCTCATTGCAGCCTCGATTTCTTGGGCTTAAGCCATCATCCCACTTCAGCCTCCTGAGTAGCTGGAACTAATGCCACCATGTCTTTTTTTTTTTTTTTTTTAAGAGACGGAGTCTCACTCTGCTGCCCTGGCTGATCTCAAACTCCTGGGCCCAAGTGATCCTCCCACTTTGGCCTCCCAAACTGCTGAGATTATGGGCTGAGCCTCTAGCACCATTTATCAAAAGCATTATCCTTCCCCCATTGAATTTCATTGGCATCCTTGTTGAAAATCAATTGATTGTAGGTGTGAATCTTTTTGCACTACCCAATGACACACTATGACACACCATGGCAACCTGATTTGTAAATGTTTATGAAAAAGCAAAGGACAAAACCAGAGGGTTTAGCACTATAGTGATTAAAACAGTGTAGAATGGGCACAAAGAGGGACAAATCAAACAAGAGAGCACACAAGTTAGAAAAAACTAATCCATATACAGTCACTTGATTTACAATAAGCCTCCTACTGCAATTCACTGGGCAAAGGATAGCCCTTTCAATGCGGAAGTAGATGAAAGTTTACCCCTACCTCACACCATACACAGAATGAATTCAAATGGATCATAGAGCTAAATATGAAGAGCAAAAGTAGCAAAACTTCTAGAACAAAACATAGATGATCTTCATCGATGTTGGATTAACAACAATCTCTTGAACAGGATGCAGAAAACTCTAACCAGAGTTCCCACAAATTGATAAGAAAAGCAAACACCCTAGTGAAAAAAAAAAAAGAGCAGAATATCTGAACAGGAACTTCCCCAGAGAGGATATTCAAATGGGCAATAAGCCTGTGAAATGGTGCCCAATATCATTATCCCTCAGGGAAATACAAATGGGAACCACAGGGAGATACAACTACACACCACCCCCACCACAGAGTGGCTAAAATTAGGGACTGATAATATTAAGTGTGCATGAGGATATAGAGCTTTGTACAACTGCTTGGCAGTTCCTAATGGAGTTTCACGTGCTCTGTGATCCAACAACCCCACTCCTAGATGCACACCTAACAGAAATGCATGCACAAGGCACTCAAAGACACATACAAGAACGTCCTCAGCAACATTAGTTACAATAGCAAAACAACCGAAAACTTCCTGAATGCATATCAACAGAGAAATGGATAAATGAATTATGTTATATTTATTTTATTTATTTATTTTTGAGCTGGAGTCTCACTCTGTCCCAGGCTGGAGTGCAGTGATGCAATCTTTGCTCACTGTAACCTCCACCTCCTGGGTTCAAATGATTCTCCTGCTTCACCCTCCTGAGTAGCTGGGATTACAGGCATGCACCACCATGCCCAACTAATTTTTGTATTTTTTAGTAGAGACAGGGTTTCAACATGTTGGCCAGGCTGGTCTCGAACTCCTGACCTCAGGTGATCCACCCCCCCCTTGGCCTCCCAAAGTCCCAAAGTGCTGGGATTACAGGCGTGAGCCACCACGCCTGGCTGGTATATTTATTAATCAAATACTACACAGCAATAACAGTGAACTAACTGTGGCTACAAGCAATAATGTGGATAAATTTTACAGGCATAATTTGAGGAAAAAGAAATGAGATATGATAGAGAATATGCTATATGGTTCTATTTACATAAGGCTCAACCACAGGCACAATTCATATACAAGTGATACAGCAGTTTACTTTCTGGGGGAGGGAGGAGATAACTGGAGGAGGCTGAGCTGGGGGCAGAGGTGCATCTGAGGTTCTGAGAATGTTCCAGAGCAGGCTATCTCCACCTTGGCACTAGTGAAATTTTGTTGGGGAGACTGTCCTGGGCACTGTGACATTCCCGGCCTCTACCCACTAGTGCCGGTACCACGATGTCCACCCCACCCACCACCACCCCCGCCTCATTTTGGAAACAAAAATGTCTCCAGACATTTCCAAATGTCCCCTTGGGTGGAGGAGGTACAAAATTCCCCTGGTTGCCCTGTTTGATTTTGGGTCGTGGGGGAATTAGGGGTGTGGGCTCATTTATGGAAATTCCTTGAGCTATACACATATGATTCATCAACTTTTCTGTACACATATAAAGCTTTTAAAGTTTTTAAAATAAAAAAACAAGTCAATGAATGACTGAAAGAACCAGTAAGTTTTCCAGCAATCCGAGACAATAGATAGAGTGGGGTTTAATGTCTTGTTCACAGACAAGGAGACTGGGATCCAGGGTGGGTCAGGGCAGGGGGCCAGCAGGATCCAGGAGGGAACTCATTCCCTGACTTCTCCTCCGCTTCCTTCCCCCATGCTCTCACGCATTCTTGCTCCCGAATACTAGCCAAGTCCCTACAGAGGCTGATCCCGTGCAGGGGCTCGGTTGGACCTTTAGCCTCAAACTCCCGTGGTGGAAACAGTTAGGATTGGTGGACGCTGCACCCAGCATCCTGCAAACAGAATTCTGAAAACTGATATCTCATGCAAACAGGATATCAACTTTTGTCAGAAAGATCAAAAAGAGCTTGAGGTTTTTCTTCACAGCCTCAGCCTTGCCTCTCCCCCTCTTGCTTTATCTCCTCATTTCTGTGTGCAGGCGAGCTTCTTGGCCTAAGGGCAGGAAGAGATGGCAGCGGGGGAGACGCAGCTCTACGCCAAGGTCTCCAACAAGCTCAAGAGCCGCAGCAGCCCCTCGCTCCTGGAGCCCCTCCTGGCCATGGGCTTCCCGGTGCACACCGCGTGAGTACTGCCCAGAGACCCCGGGGCCCAGCCAGTAAGGCTGGTGCCAGACCCTGCTGCGGCCCCCGGCATGGAGCTGCAGGGGTGTAGGGTACGGCTTCCTGCCAAAGCAGTGCACCTTGCAGGGTAAGACACTGCCTCTTCACAGGGCCCTCTTCTGCTTCTCGTAAATGAGGTGATCTTGACCAAGCTTGTCCAACCCACATGAGGCCCAGGACAGCTTTGGGCTTAAGCCATCATCCCACCTCAGCCTCCTAAGGCTGCCCTGTTCAATTTGTGTTGGCTGCCCAACACAAATTGGTAAACTTTCTTAAAATATTATGAGATTTTTTTTTTAGCTCATTAGCTATTATTAGTGTTAGCGTATTTTATGTGTGGCCCAGGGAGGCACAAGAATACCCCTGATATTCTTGACCTTTTAAAGACCAGCTCGGCTGGCTGACTGGGGGACCCTGAAATTTGTGAAAATCAGAAGCCATGTATTACTCTGGGTGCCCCATTTTGGGGGTTTGGAGGAGATTGGGGCCTGGTTGTAATCTCTTTGTGTGCAGCTCAGTGACTCTGAAAGTGGCGTTTCAAGATATTCAAACTCTAACGTGAAAGGCCCCAAAGCCCGCTGAGTCTCTAACACTGGGACCAACTGTCAGCAGGGCTGTGCTTCCACGCTGCCCGGGGAAAGTCACTTGTCCTCAGAGACAATCCCTTGAGTGTCTGATAACGAAACAAATGGGTAGGAAACTTCAGACACAGTGTGAGCGCGACCCTGCTTACCCAAGGGAAAGGCCTGCATGTGGAAGAGCTTAGCCTTCAGAGTTACCACTCTCGGAGAGGGAGGCCACGACACCAACATTGGGTTACAGCTTTCATGGCAAACCAGTGCCTTAAATCTGACCCATTCATTTTTTCACATGGAAAAATGTATCAGAAACACACTTTAAATCTGACCCATTCATTTTTTCACATGGAAAAATGTATCAGAAACACACTTTAGGTAACTTTGGGTTGGGGAAGGAGCTAAACTTTCCTTCCACACTATAACAAAAGCTTGGCCAAATTGGGTGAAGTAACTCTGAAGCTAGACAAACCCATTTCTTCTCCCCAAATCAGGGCTTTGTCGTCACTGTTATGTTCAAGCTAAGCCAGGGGCCTTTGAATGGGGAGTGGGGTCAGGCATGTGCAGGGCGGCCACCGGGCACCGTCCAGGCATTACAGACAAGGCAGCTTTTGTCCACTGCTCACCACCCAGTGCAGGCAGGACACTGGGCCCAGAGAGTGCATTAGTGGCGGAGGTGGAACCCGAACCAGCTTTCCATGCCTTTGAAGGAGTCCACGCTGGATTTTACTACTAAACGTATAGCATGGACTTCTACTCAAAATTCCTTCCAGTTTAAACATTAAGCACATGTTGGAGGAAGAGAAATGTGTGTTAATTTCCCCACACCAGAGCACCTCATAGTAAGTGCCCTGCACCAAGGCTGCCTTGTTCAAACCTCTCCAGGTGGCCACAGCCCCATCGGTGCCCACCCAAATAGCAGCATTCGGCATCATGTGGTGGGTTCCTCATGGACGCCCGCTGTTTCCAGTCTGCATTCCTGATAAATTACCTTTGCTATATTCCATTCTGTTTCATTTGGTCCAGTTCTGCCCAATTCAATGCAATGTACTTACGTCCCGGGTTACCGTGATGAATAAGACTCAGTCCTGTGTTCAGGGAGTTCTTGGTCTAGCAGGGGAGAGCCGTGGGTGCAAGGGGACTGTGTAAGCCGTAACAAGTGCCTGCCTGGGTGCTTTGGAAAGGGCTGTTTCCCAGCAGAGAGGTGTGGGAGGCGAGCCTGGGGATCAGGGTCGCTGATGCTGGGGTGAGGAAAGCGTGTGTCCGAGCCAGGGGCACGTTCCGCAGGGTGGGTCCATTTGATCTAGGCAGTGGGGGGGGGGGGGGCAGGCCAGGGAGAGGGATTGCAGGAGCGGGCGGAGGTCAGGTCCTCAGCCCTGAGACCCCGTGCCAAGGGCTGAAGCGGGTAGCCAGGGAAGGACAGTGAGGGGGAGGTGTGAGCTGGTCAGCATTGTCCAAAACCACGATGGCAGCACTCAGGGGACAGGCGCTAGAACTTCCAGCTGGAAGTTCAGCATCAGGCCCTCTTCAGAGCACCCCCCAAAGATCCTGGGTGTGCAAGGCCACACCCTGCCTCTCTGACCCTTTTCCCAAGAATGGGCGACGTGACTTTGTGTCTGTGTCTGCTCTTCTGCAGGCTGAAAGCGTTGGCAGCCACGGGGAGGAAGACGGCGGAGGAGGCCTTGGCCTGGTGAGTGCAGCTGCTTCTGTAGACCCAGGGGCGTTTGGGCTGAATTCCCTGTGCCTAAGGACTCCCTCCCACCAGGGCTGATACCAGGAAGAGCCGGGCGCCTCTGGGTGGGATGGGGCCACTGCGGAAGTGAAACAAAATAACCTCCCTGCCTACCCATAGTGCACTGAGGGAGGGGCACAGGGCTTTGGTTAACCATGGAAAGAGAAAGAGAGAACTCTGAACAAGGCTTTCTTCACTTACAAACCTGATTCAATCCAATTTGACTGCCAAGAAGAACAGGTTCATGTGCTTTGTTGAGTAAATGGGGAAGACATGATTGTTGTGTTGTGATAAGCACGTAAATGAGGGTAATTGTTAGAATAAAGTAATTAGGTTAAAAATGGTAACATTTGGGTTTATATTAGTACTGCTAATATTCAGCCTATTTCAGTAATTGAAGAGCAGGCTGGGATTTTGCATACTTGTGTTTGATTATGTCCTCCTCAACTGCCTACTACGATGGATAAGATTGAGATAGATAGGAGGATGTTTGTGTTTATTGATGGAAAGATTTGAGACATAATTGACATCTTTGCTGATAGAGACTAGCGGCCACCATGCTCTCGGGCTGCCTCTGAGGGGAAGGGAGTTTACTGGTGGTCATGAAGCCAGGTGTGTGGGTCTAAGGGTGCCAGGTGTGTGGGTCGGGTGAGGGCTCTGATTTGAGGTGACCTCACCAGGTACCAGCTGCGTGAGTGATTCTTCAAGCCACCCACTGCCATGGGCCTGTTCTCTGCTCTGGGGATGGAGAGGAGGGCCACCGTTTCTCTAAAACCCTCTCCTACCCGGATGTGCTGTGGGGAGTCCTTCATCCTCTGCCCTGAGATAGCCACGGGGAAAATCAAACAATAAAAACCAGGTCCTGGGAGGCTGGAGTGTCCTCTCCAAAGCAGGAGGGCAGATACTGATCCTGGGTCTCTGAACGTGCAGTGTTCCCAATGGGATGCCCCCTCCTCCTCCAGAAAGTGTAGGCCACGGGCAAAATGGGCAACCCCTTCACAGAGTCCACTAAAGCCAGTTGCCAATTTTGGATCAGAAACAAGCCCACTGCTGTGAAGGGCATGGCCAGCACCTGCCCACTGCAACCCAGTCAATAAGACTAGGAACCCCACCAAAAAATAGGGAGGCAATGGGGTCCCCTAGACTGTCAAGAGCACCCCAACCTCTCACTAGTAACCAGGGAGGTGGTGCAAATTAAGATATCATTAGAGCAAACAAGGTAACTCCAAGTGTTGATGAGGGTGAGGGAAGCAGGGCCTCACACGTCACTGGTGTCACTGAGGAAGGCAGTGCTGGGTATCTGCCAACCTTGGCAATATGCACAGCCCACCAGCCTCCGTCGTGCGTCTAAGCAGATTCCCTGGAGAAATGCAAGGAGCCTAAAGAGACATGTACAAAGATCTTGATTGCAGGGTTATGAAATGGTTTTAAAATAAAATAATTTAGATGTTCATCAATGCGGGAATGAACAAGTGCAACATTGTATATGTATACATGAACTATTACACAGCCTTTAACAAATTCGCGCTGACAAACTTCACTAGACACGTGTGTATCAACAGGGATTAATTGAAAAGACATGGTAGAGGAAAAATGCCAGTTGTAGAATAATTTGAATAACAGCTTATGATTTATGTAAAACAAGTGCTATCTATAAGTCCGTTACTTAAATTTCTGGGAGAAGGCAAAGCAGCTTCACCCTCTGGGTGAACCCTGGAAAGGGGGAGGGTGGGAACCACGATGGAGAGGAGTGGCAACTTCTTCTGTGATTTTTATTGAAGAGAATATGGTCTTGCGTAAGTTCTGTTTCCTCTAGTGATTGAATACTACTTTCTAAATTGAAAATTATATCACAGGCACTTTGCTGAGTAATTAGAAATTCTTCCAAACCATGATTTCTAATGAATGCACGGTAAATAGATTTGCTATCAGTTATGGAGTTTTTCTTCTTTCTTCTAAATAACCCTAAATAACCTTCTAACTTTCTTCTAAATAGCCCTAAATAGATGGTTCATGTGCAAAGTTTTGCCTATACAGTACTTTGTGCTCTTTCCTCGGGAGAAATTTCTGGAAGTAGAATTATTAATGCAAAGAGTGTGGGCATTTTAAGACTCTCAATACCTATTGGCAAATTGCTTCACATAAAAGTTGAAAGGTCTGTCCTTAAGTCCTGCTGCATCTTTTACACATTGAGCAGAACTTTTATCCTTTTTATTGAAAAAATCTTTGTGAACTTGACAGATGAGAAAAATGCCGTCTCGGAGCTATTTTATTTCCATTTTTATTGTTAGTGACAATGAACTCCTATGTTGGGTCATCCGTCGTTTTTCCTTTAATTTAAAATAACTGTCTGCCTGAAATCCCAGCCAGTCAGGAGGCTGAGGCAGGAAAATTGCTTGAACCGGAGAGGTGGAGGTTGCAGTGAGCTGAGATTGTGCCACTGCACTCCAGCCTGGGTGACAGAGAAAGACTCCATCTCAAAAATAAAATAAAATAAAATAAAATAAAATAAAATAAAATAAAATAAAATAAAATAAAATAAAATAAAAACTGTCTGAATCTAAAGAAACGCAGCAGCTACCTAAATTTTGTCTAGGTTTTTGGTTTTGGTTTTTATATGTAATTTGAAGTTTGAGGTAAAATACAAATGTGAGGTTTTTCCACAAAATTTTCCCACACCATCAAGGAGATGCTGGGCCCACGGATCATTGGAAGACCAGGTTTTAGGTCTTGCTGTCAACTTTCTTTCATTTTTTCTACCTTTGACTTTGGAATCAGACTAAGGTGGGTCTGAGAGCAGGACTTACACTGACCAGGTCTGTGCCACACACAGCTGTGCCGCAGTGCCTCCCACCAGTAGGATGGCTGTGAGATTAATTTATGTCATGAGCATATATGATGTCTTCAGTGTGCCCTATAATTCTGCATTGCTGTCATTGTCATTCTGTTGTGTATCCTCAAAGGGGAAAACTCTTTTTGTTGTGACAGTGGGTGATGCCGGCTTGCTCTCTGTTGCAGGCTGCATGATCATTGCAATGACCCTTCCCTAGACGACCCCATCCCCCAGGAGTATGCCCTTTTCCTCTGTCCAACGGGGCCCCTGCTGGAAAAACTTCAAGAGTTCTGGAGAGAGAGCAAGCGCCAGTGTGCAAAGAACAGAGCTCATGAGGTCTTCCCACACGTGACACTCTGTGACTTCTTCACGGTGAGTCAACCCAGTGTGCCTTCAATGCTCACGGCAGCTGGAGGCATTTTTCTGTGCTAACTAGGCCATGATGGGACAAAGTTGACTTATTTAAATGGGATAGTCCAGAACTGCATCATTAGCTGGCACCTTCATATGAGCTGTCCTTTATTTTCCTCTTTGCCTTCATCTGGTCAACTCCTATTAATCCTTCAGAACCCAACTCATTTATCCTCTCCCCTTTTTGAGTCTTCTCCAGCTCCCCAGGCAAAAGGAGTTGCTGCCCATTTTCTCGTTCATGTGTCTAGTGGCACTTTTGTATCATACGGGCCATGTGTCTGGTGCAGCACCGCATCCCTCACCAGACCGAGTCCCTCAAGGGAAGGCAGATACCTCACTCATCTTTGCACCCCCAGAAACTAGCACAGCCCCTAAAACAGAGTTTGTGCTTCCAAAATGTGTGGTAAGTCAACTCAAGGATGGGTGATTGTTGGCTACCCACAAATGCAGAACTTTTCCCTGTCTCAGGGACCAGCCGTCTGATTCAGAAAAAAAATGGCCCAGTGGGTAGCTCCACAGCAAAACACAATGGCCCAGCAGGCAGCTCTACAGGGGCACCGGGAAGACAAGAAGAATGTGGGAGCTGCTCAGGAGAAAAGAAGGAGAAGGGAGAGACAGACAGCCACTGCTCTACTCAGCTCCGCCAGAGGGGCTTAAGGAAGGGCACACCCACTTCTGCTACCGCGGCCTGGCCCCAACTCTGCTGTTGGCAAACTGATTTGTTCCACCCATTTCAAGGAATTCCATCAGGGCCCAAGGAACCCTCCATTCCAACACCAGGCCCCTCGGTGCTGGATGGAAAGGAGGAATGCAAACCTCTGAAGGGAAAAGATTTCTGGAAGATGTCCCAGGAGAAGCAGTACCTTCCAAAGCCTCCAACCACCACCCCGGATTGCCCGAGACTTGCAGGGATCCCCAGAGCACAAGACTAAACCTGGAAAAGCCCCAGAAAAATCGAGAGAGTTTTCCCCCTACATCGACATCAATGGTACTTGTGACAAGCTGACTCCCTTCTGGTTCACCCTCTGGAGCCAACGGGGAAAGGCAAGGCAGCCCAAGCCATGTGACACAGCTCAGAAATCAGAGCAGGCCTTGGCCCCCCACTCCTTCCCCAGCCCACTGAGGTGCAAGCACACACACACACACACAGATAGACACAGAGACACACACATAGCTCACACACATAGACACACACAGATTGACACAGAGACTTACACATGCACACAGATACACACACATACATGCATACAGACATACATAGATATAGACACACAGACACACACAGATAGACACAGAGACGTACACACGGCACACACAGATACACACACATACATGCATACAGACATACATAGATATAGACACACAGACACACACAGACATGGAGACGTACACACGGCACACACAGATACACACACATACATGCATACAGACACACACAGAGACACAGATACACACAGACACACACAGATAGACACAGAGACGTACACAGCACACACAGATACACACACATACCTGCATACAGACATACATAGATATAGACACACAGACACACACATATATACATGCATACATGGATACAGACATACACAGACACACACAGATAGACACACATACACACTACATGTACATAGGTACACATGCAAACAGATACACACAGATATACACACACAGGAATACACAGATACATGCACATAGACACACACAGACACACACAGAGACACACATTAGATAGACACACATGCACAAACACAGACATGCACATACATGCACATACATAGACAAATGCACACATACAGACACACACATAAGCACCACATGCACACATATGCACACAGATACACACATGCATACACACAGACACACATATAGACATACGCAGACACACAGACACACATAGACATACGCATATGCAGACACACACACAGACACACACACATATAGACATATGCAGACACAAACACACTCACACACCTCCCTCTGTCGTTAGCTCCTCCCAGTCCCCCACCCCAGTTCTGGCCTGGCCGTGGTTAGTGGAGCTCCCCTCACAGGCAGAAGAGTGTAACGGAGACTCACTGTGTACCTTGATGCTGTAAAATGAAAACACTAATCTTCCGAAGTGTGATATTGATCACAGCTACACTTATAACATGACTATTCTTGAAAATTACATATCTGAGGCCAAGAAACACAATGTGAGACGGATTCAGGAATGGACATGTGTTCACTGGGTGGTTTTGTGTTGAGTGCCGTTGAGGGTTGCAGAGAAAACAGACAGGGAGGAATGTCAGGCCGGCCTGTCCATGGGGAGACGGAAGCTGCATTAAACACTGTGATCTGGCCTCATACTTGGGCTTGTAAGAAGCACTGTGGGAAATTCCGAGGGCAGCCCGGTGCTGGGAAGAGAAGGGATCAGGCCAACTCCCGCCAGGAGGGTGTGGTGTCTGGGTTTCCCCTGTGGTCCGATGTGGCCAATGGCACTGGGAAGGTTTTCAAGCCCAGGAAGCAGCCTCCCCAGGGCGGTAGGCAACACCGAGCCCAGATGTCAGGAGAGGCTGCGTCTGGCTGGAGGATGGGGGTGGGAGCCCCGTGGGCAAGGCTGTCGGGCCAGCACCTGTCGGGCTCCGTGGGCCTGAGGGATTCTCCAGGTGACAGAGAGCCTGCGGCCTCAGGGGTGGGAGCTGCATCAGAAAGAGGGTCCTGCAGCCACTCAGGGGGCATCAGGGAGGCCGGGCCAGGGGCTGTGCAGGCTCAGGTCCTCCAGGGAGCAGACCCCAAGGCAGAATTCCCAGTGCAGGAGACGCACAGGGGAGAGACTGCTGGTGAAGGCAAAAGAGGAGGAGAGGGTTGGAGGCAGGCAGAGCCTCAGTGCCTTAGAGGAGTCCCTGTGGAACCCGACTCAGTGCTCAGCCGTGGAAGAGAGGGTGGCCCCGCAGCTGGAAGTGCAGCTGAGTCCCGCTCACTACAGGCTCTGAGCAGTGCCTGGGCAGCCTTGGAGTCTGCTAGAAACCTCCAGAAGCCAAATCATGCAAACCTGAGCAAAGCAGTGTGCCATGGGACTGAGGAAAGGGCCTGGCAGGTGATGAGCACGTGCCATGGAGGGAGGGGATGCAGTTCAACGACCAGGGGATTTCCAACCTGGGCACCTAAAGGAGACTCCAACCTGCAAAGAAACTTACCTGAAATATTTGAAAAAACCGAGGTCCAGGTATAGAACAAATCCATAACCCCAGACACAAAGGGACGCAATAAATTATGTTACAGCGCTTTGAACAGAAAAGAATCTCACTTTAATTGCTGCCTGATTGTTATTAATTAAATTAATAGATGACTTCTGATGAGAGGTGTGGAAACACAGGCTCTGTCTCTGTCCCCTTAGTGTGAAGACCAGAAGGTGGAATGCCTGTACGAGGCGCTGAAGAGAGCTGGAGACAGGCTCCTGGGCTCCTTCCCCACGGCCGTGCCTCTGGCTCTCCACTCCTCCATCAGCTACCTCGGCTTCTTCGTCAGTGGCAGCCCCGCAGACGTCATCCGGGAATTCGCCATGACCTTCGCCACGGAAGCATCTCTCTTAGCAGGTGGGCAGCCCTGGCCAGTTGCAAACACAGGGCTGGATTCACAGTGAGTGAGCCCTCTGTGGCAGGGACTAGCCCCCGGCACATGGATGCAGTGGGTGGGTTCCAGGGGAGCAGAGCCCAGCAGCAATGGTGGGATGGCTGGGTGGGCTTTCTTCCGGGCTCAGTGGCTGCACCTGTCCTCACCCAGGCACTTCCGTTTCCCGCTTCTGGATTTTCAGCCAGGTGCCTGGACATGGCCCTAACCTGAGGCTGAGCAATTTAACTAGAGCCTCCTTCGTGAGCCACTACATCCTTCAAAAATGTAAGCCATTAGAAAGCTTCCGGACCAGCTTTGGTCTTCTCTTTAGGCGGGAATAGCCTTGTTCTCATTATGTGGTTTTTAAAATGCTTAGCTATATGCCAACAGCCTGGGAAAGTGCCCCAGAAGGGTGTGCCAAGCATCAAGCCTGAGTGGGTGACTGTGACGGGGTTGGAGGCTGGTGCACACAGGGAGTCAGGGCCTCCCCACCCCAGCCTTGAGTGGGAGACACACAAGTCCTACGTGACTTATTTCTGTATTTTCAGTATGAGCTTAGTGCTCTCTCCTTGGCCTCTCCAGGGAAAGATTATTTAGACTCATATTCAGAATCATCAAAATTCCCTTCTCTCCAAACACCAGCCCTGGCCTGGAGACCAAGGCTACCATTGGGGTTTAGTGGAAAGGATTGTGGACTTGACGTCAGAAGATGTGATTTTTTTCTGTGTCCCTGATGAGTGGCATGACCTTAATCAAGTCATGTCCACTCTCTCTGTCTCTTTTTCTTTCTCTACAAAACAATGAGGGCTCTCACTCTTCAAGAACAATGTTGCCTGAGTCTGTGGCCCATCCTGCCATAGTTCCCGGGACACAGAAGGCACTCAGTATTGCTGAGATTTGCCGACTCTAAAATCTGACGAGGCCGCAGTGCCTTGGTGGGAGGGCTCCCCACTTTCTCTCTCTGGGAGCGTGTCTGTCTGTGCTCAGACATGTATGAAGCACAGATCCTGGCCTGTAAATCCATCCCTGAATCCTGGGCTTCCACTTGGATGGCAGCTTGTGAGTCTGGAGATCGAATCTGCTGAATAATTAGAAAGTCGCCCCCGGTCTTTGTGGATTAGTATCCTTTATCAAATGATGGCTCTTTCACACCCAGGCCCTCCCCCAGTGAACCTCATTGGCAGCATCTTAAAAACAGGAAGACTGAGGCTGCAAAGGGTGAAGGGCCTGCCCAAGGTCCTGTGGTGTGTAGAGCGGTGTCCCCTAAAAATGTTTGTCCACCAGGAACTTGGGAATGTGACCTCACTTGGGAATAGGGCCTGTGCAGATGCGATTGGTTGGGAGGAGGTCACACTGCATTAGGGTGGGTTCCCGTAAGGGTAGAGGCCGCACAGAGACACAGAGAAGCCATGTGCCGACTGAGGCAGAGACTGGAGTGATGTAGCCACAAGCCAAGGGACGCCTGGGGCCACCGGAAACTGGAAGAAGCCAGGAAGGACCCTTCCCAGGAGCTTTCGGGGAGAGCACAGCCCTGCCAACACCTTGATTTTGAACCTCTAGTCTCCAGAAATGGGAGGCAATACATTTCTGTTGTTTGAAACCAATCTAGTCCCCTAACCAGGCTGGCGGAGCAGGGACCTGAACCCACCTCTGTCCTGCTCCATGCTGCCTGGGTTCATGCTGGGCAGCCCCACTTCCTGTGGGAGCCAGCGTTGACCTCACATCTACGCCCCGACCCTAAGCAGGCTGTGTCCTGCCCTTCCATGGCCCATGCTCTCAGCCTGACACCGAGGGGGTGGAGGGGACTCTCTCAGTGATGAGTGACCAGTCACTGCTCTGAAGTGGCCGAGGTCCCTCTTGGGGCAAATGCATGAGGCCCCCTTGCCCGCGTTGGTCCTCCCCAGTGAAACGTGCCCATAGGCACAGGTCCGCAGAGAGAAGGAAACGCAAGGACCCGTTCAGAAGTCGGTGTGACTCACTCTGACGTCAGCAACCTGCAGTGGGTCTTTCCCAGGCCACACTCACTCGCATGGCAAGGCGGTCCTCCCCGACTGCTAAAAACAAAAGTCAGGAAAGGAATTTCCCCACCACCTACACACTCATGCTGCTCCCCACCACCTACACACTCATGCTGCTCTGGGCTGTGCAGCCTCAGTGCCCCAGCTTTCCTAGAGACCGTGGGAGCTTCCCATTTGCCTCTAAAGGCTCACCTCTCACGTGGGAGACAGCAGTGAGCCCCAACTTCGGGGCTCCAGGGAAAGGCTTGCATCAACCTTGACCTTTTTTAGGGGGTGAGCAGATCCTGTTTGTAAGTGCCCTGCCGTGGAGTGGGGGCAGGGTACGTCTGTGCACCGACACGGCGTCTCTAGCAGGAAACTTTAGGTTAGGAGGCTGATTTCCCACTGCAGCCTTGGCGAGCAGGCGCTGCCGTCCTCCAGCAGATGCTGCTGAAGCAGAAATTGGGCAGGCCCAGAGGCTCAGTCAAGGTCACCCTGCAAAAGGGGGCAAAGTGCAGCCTAAAACTAGGTCTATCTGACACCAAAGTTTGTGTTGTTCCCGTCAAGACACAGACCGCCTCCCTAGGACATAAAATACTTTGTGGCTCAACTGAAATCAGATCCTGGCTGCTTTGGTGATGCCAGCTGCTCTGCTCAGACTGACCTGAGAGCCCCTGGCAGGACCAGGGAGGGCTAGGGCCACAGGGGCAGAGGACACCCAAAAAGACCTGAGGCTCAACCACTCCCAGGACTTCCTGCTTCACCAAAACAAGGTGAACCTTAAAGACACTGTGTGTTTTATAGTTTTGTTGCCTAAAGAGTTTTCTTCTTGAAACTCTACGATTAAACAAAAAGCCGTTGAACTGGAGCTCGGGCCTGCAAGTCCAGGCCACTGGGTAACGTGCACACCCCGGGGAATGGAGGAGCCGTTTACTCTGTGCATCTGAATCGTGCATTCGGGCAGCTAGCCTGCAAACCGATAGGCCCCCGAGACCCTGAACCCACATCTCCATATCGTCCTCTTTCCTACTTCCTGGAAAAATCTACAGGGATCCAGCCATCTCCTTTATGATGTGAGTTCTGAGCGGGCCAAATGAGCTCTGAGTTCTGAGAGCCCTTGCCTTGTGGAGGAAGCATGGAGGTCGGAGGAAGGAGACATTTAGGTAACGGTGTCCTGGCACCCTCTGTGTTTCCCTGATTTCACAGACTGCTCCGTGAAGCCTTGCACCAAACAGCTGCATCTGACCTTGGCCCACAAGTTCTACCCCCACCACCAGAGGACGCTGGAGCAGCTGGCCAGAGCCATCCCCCTGGGCCACAGCTGCCAGTGGACCGCAGCACTCTACTCCCGAGACATGCGCTTTGTGCACTACCAGGTGAGAGAGCTGAGCAGGGGCTCATAAGAAGCAGATGAATGGGCTGGGCTCGGTGGCTCACGCCTGTAATCCCAGCACTTTGGGAGGCCGAGGCGGCGGATCATGAGGTCAGGAGATGGAGACCATCCTGGCTAACATGGTGAAACCTCGTCTCTACTAAAAATACAAAAAATTAGCCAGGCACGGCGGCGGGCACCTGTAGTCCCAGCTACTCAGGAGGCTGAGGCAGGAGAATGGAGTGAACCCGGGAGGCGGAGCTTGCAGCGAGTGGAGGTAGCATCACTGCACTCCAGCCTGGGCTACAGAGCGAGACGTCTCAAAAAAAGAAGCAGATGAGTGAACGGCCACTCACCTGACAGCATGTACCCCCTGGAGCCCTCCAAGGGAGATATGTTAGTAGCAAGGAAAATTTCTATTGCTTCTCTAAAGCCATTCTCTTTCTTGTGCAATTTACAACCAGCATTCTTTTATATGTGAGTTAGAGATGCACAGACAACAAAATAGAAGCATTTCCAATATTAGAAAAGGAAGCTGGGTGTGGTGGCTCACACCTATAATCCCAGCACTTTGGGAGGCTGAGGCAGGTGGATCACTTCAGGTCAGGTGTTCGAGACCAGCCTGGGCAACAGGGCAAAACGCTGTCTCTACTAAAAATACAGAAAATTAGCCGGGCGTGATGGCACGAACCTGTAATCCCAGCTACTCGGGAGGCTGAGGCAGAAGAATCACTTGAACCTGGGAGGTGGAGGTTGCAGTGAGCAGAGATCGTACCGTTGCACTCCAGCCTGGGCAACAGAGCGAGACTGGCAAAAAAAAAAAAAAAAAAAAAAAAGACAGAAAGGAAAGGACTATTGTAAAGATCTATGAATACATGTTTTGCTTATTAATTCTTTTTTATTTATTTATTTTTTAAATGTAGGGGCCATGCTAATCTTCTCTGCAGCATTCCAATTTTAGTTATATGTGCTGCCAAAGTGAGCACAATTCACTTTAAAGAATGATTTGAGTGAAACCTCATTCTGGGACTTCCTGCCCATGAATCGATGGGTTTAGAAACGAAGTGTGTGATGCTCCTTTCAGACCCAGAGAGCACGTGTGAATGAATCCACCATGTTCTGTATCGTATGAGGTGTCAATAACCTCACACCGAGGAAGGCGGATGTGAAAGTCTGCTTATGCCTTCAGATCTTTTGTAGACAAAAAAGTACCTAGATGGATGGATGATGGATAGATCCCAAAATGTATCTCTTTTTTTTTTCTTTTTTTCTTTTTTTTTTTTTTTTTTTTTTGAGAGGGAGTCTCACCCTGTCACCCAGGGTAGAATGCAGTGGAGTGATCTGCGCCCACTTCAACCTTCGCCTCCCAGGTTCAAGTGATTCTCCTGCCTCAAGCTTCCCAAGTAGCTGGGACTACAGGCACCCGCCACCATGTCCAGCTAATTTTTGTATTTTCAGTAGAGACGGGGTTTCACCATATTGGCCAGGCTGGTCTCAAACTCCTGACCTTGTGATCCACCCACCTCGGCCTTCCAAAGTGCTGGGATTACAGGCGTGAGCCACCGCGCCTGGCCCCAAAATGTATTTCTAAATCTATCCAAAGAATTCTATGCTGCGTTTCATTACATTCTGTGCTATATATTGCCAGACAAAGCTTTGGATGGAGTCTTGGAGACACAGAACACATTGGAGGGGCAGAAAGCAGGAGGTGGCAGGTGATAGGCCTCCTATTGCTGCCATTTTCCAATGTAAATCTTTGCTCGAGACGTGAAACCCCTTTGCCTCTTTTCTAGACCCTGAGAGCCCTATTCCAGTACAAACCCCAGAACGTGGATGAGCTGACGCTAAGTCCTGGTGACTACATCTTTGTGGACCCCACGCAGCAGGACGAAGCCAGCGAGGGCTGGGTGATTGGGATCTCACAGCGGACGGGCTGCCGGGGCTTCCTGCCGGAAAACTACACGGATCGAGCCAGTGAGTCTGACACGTGGGTGAAGCACAGGTGAGTGCTGCCTCTGGCTGCAGCCCCGTCATCTCTCTCTGAGTTACTGTGTGAGAGTGCCCACCTGCCAACAGTGTGCTTCTAGACCATTCCATTATTGGTAAAATTGCATTCTGTATGCTGACAAAATTATTCCTGCAGGTATATAGTAAACATCTTGGTTCGTCCCTGGTTTTCTGATGATAACATTCAAAAAAGAATGAATTACTCTGCATTAGAGTAATTTGAGATGGTAATCCCCAAATTACTGCAAAATACTACTTCTTTATCACACACATAATAAATTATACTCAGAGGTCCTGAGCTTGGGTTTATTTATTCTTCTGCTCCGTGTATGAAATGTAAAGTCCTAGGTCGTATTATTAGTTTTCTATGACTGTATAATAAATTACCACTAAAACAAAGTGCAATTATTATCTTATGGTATTTATGGGTTGAGAGTCAGAGTCCAGCTTCACTGGGTCCTCAGCTCGGGGTCTCAAGGCTGTAATCAAGGTGCCTGCCAGGGCTGGGCTCCCCACTGAGGCTTCACACCCTCGCCTGAGCATACACAGTTGTTGGTGGGAGTGATTTCCTTGAAGCTGTAGGGCTCCTGGTGAGTTGCTTCTTCATCAGCTGAAGAATCTCTTAATTTTAGCACCTTTTAGCATCATCTGGTGAGGCTAAGGATTTTCAGAATCATCAGATACTGGTTCTTTTTTGTTCGATGTTCTTCCCTCAATTTATCTCTTTCCTCTCCCGCTTCACTATAAATAACATGAAGAAACCAGGTGATACACTTAACACTTTGTTTGGAAATAGCCTTAGCTATGTGACCAACATCATCGCTTACAAGTCCTGCTCTCCATGGACAATTTCATTAAACTCTCTGGCACACATGGGAAGGATCCTCCTTGCTCCGATTTCCTGGAACACCTGTCACATTCCTTTCTGAGTTCTCCCCGGAGGATTCACCTTTAGCATCCCTATTTCCTCTAGCAGTCTGTTCATGGTGATTTGGGCTTTCTCTGCTGTGCTACTCAAAAGTCTCTTAGCCTCTACTCGCTGCCAAGTCCCAAAGTTGTTTCCACATTTTAAGTTCAGAAGGTTTCCAACTTACAATGGTTTGGCTTAGGATTTCATAATGTTACGAAAGTGATATGGGTTCAATAGAAACTGTACTTCAAGTGCCCATACAATCATTCTGTGCTACATTTTCAGTACAACATTCAACGAATTACATGAGATACTCAACACTTGATTATAAAATCGGCTTTGTGTTAGATTATTCCGCCCTATCATAGGCTACTGTAAGTGTTCTGAGCGTGTTTAAGGTAAGCTAGGCCAAGCTGTGATGTTCAGTAGGTTAGGTGCATTAAATGCATTTTCAATTTATGATGGGTTTGTTGGAACATAACCCCATCTGAAGTTGAAGAACATCCACTGTTTGTTAGAGTAGCACCCCATTCCTGATACCAAATTTAGTAAAAGTTTAACCAGAGATGCAGAACCAGTCACTTTCATACAATATATAATACATATAAGTATATGTACAGTTGTCCCTTGCTATCTGCAAGGGATTGGTTCCCGGACCCCCACAGATACCCAAATCCTCATGTTCTCGAGTCCCCGATATAAAATGCTGTAGTATTTACATGCAACTTATGCACATCACCCTGTATCCTTTAAATCATCTCTAGATTACTTGTGATATGTAATACAGTATAAATACTATGCAAATAGTTGTTATACGGTATTGTTTTTTATTTGTATTTTTTAAATTGTATTGCTATTTTTTAATTGATTAATCTTTTGAATATTTTTGGCCTGCAGTTGGTTGAATCCACAAATGCAGAACCTCCAGATACAAAGGGCTGACTATACATACATAGTATTTTATATTATATACACATGTATCACACACATATATATATGGAAAGGTATATATGTATACACACATCTATATTGATTTACTACAATGAATTGCCTTATGGAATTACTGGGGCTAGCTAAGCAAGGGCAGACAGGCAGGAAGGGAGGAGCCTACTTAGGCTGAAAACCCATGGGCAAGCTGAAGCTTGTTGTCCACATGTGGCAGTTGGAAGGACCACCCGGGTGATGGGAGAGCAGTCACAGACACAGCTGCTATTGAAGTCTCTGAGTGTGAGGAAAGCCTAAGTTTTTAAAAAAAAATGCCTTCCAACTGCATAAGTCAGACCTGCTCAGAATAACCTTGCTTTTGATTAATTTAAGCTCAACTGATTAGGGGTTCTAGTCACATTTGTAAAATCTCCTTCCAGCAGCACCTAGACTAGCATTTGATGGGATAGCTAGGAAGGCTGTGTGTGATGCTTAGGATGGCTACTGCCTCCCTTCCATCCTCCAGCTCTCATGAGAATGCCTCTTGTAGCCCACCCTGATCAGACATGTGCTAAAAAGGAAGTCTAGGAACTGTCGTTCAGTCTGGCCAAGTTGCCACACCATAAAGCCATTGCAAAGTGTTAAGGTGGCTCTTGTGAGCTTTTTCACTCTCTTCTCCCAGGTTCCAGTTAGGAGAGTGGAGAGAGCAGGCAGAGGTCAGAGTACACATGGTGAAAAAAGAGAAAAGCTGCTCAGCCTCATGGGTGTGCCTGTTGGGGTGGAGCTCTTGCAGGTGTCAAGACTGATGGTTGGAACAACTGAATGATGAGAGTGGGAGGAGAAGGGCAGAAATACACAGAAAAACCCTATGTTGTGGTTCTGGGCTTCCTGGCACCTTCAGAGCTGTGTGGCTGGGGAAGAGAGCCTGGAAAAACACCATCGTGGCCATCCCTCTGTCTCCAGGCAGGAGGTCTTAAAACCATTTTATATTTCACTCATTTGTTTAATTCTCTCCTAAAATGCTCCACAGCTTCTCTAGGGTTCCCCTCACCACCCTGACAAATAAATAAATCATTAAGTTGAACACAGATGTATCAGCATCTACTCAATCTATAGATTTTCAGATCTGTGCTGGACATTTGCTGTGGACTTCTATTTCCAGCATCTATACATCCAGGGAATTATTTTCTGTACCCTTCCTAATGAGATTCATGCACATGGCAAAACTATGAAAATTGTGACGTTTTATTTGAGTAGTCATTAAAAGCTGCTTAAAAATTGTCAGAGGCTATATGGATAAGCCTCTGTGTGGATAAGACTAGCATTTTAAGTAAATTAAGAAAGAACGTATTTTGAAGAGCTGAAATAAATGATTGCATATTGGTCATTTTTATCCAAACCCCCAAAAAAGAAAAGAAAAGATGGTTTAATAGTACCTGATAGAAGCTCTTGGTGAAATGATTAGAATTTGCAAGAAATAGTAGTAAAAATAATGGAAGTATTGTCTGAAATATTTATAAAAGGAGATTTGGTGACTATGGCTGATTTCTTTAAGTATTATATTTCTTTTTGCTAATTATTCATACACTGAGATTTGTATAACAAGCCAGGGACAGTACCTATGTCCCTGGGCTCCCCCACTAAACATAATAGCCACTTGACATTCAAGGAGAGCAGATTCCAGCCAAAGCCCCACAGCTGTGCATACATGACATTCCATATCATCTTCTCTTGAGGCCATTTAACTTCTTACCCTAATGAATAAGAACTTAGGACCACAAAATGCAAATGTGGGATGAAAAATGCAGCCGTAGTCACACGTCTTTATTTATTGATGTGTTGACTCCTAATCCACTTAAATCTATTTTAAGGCAGCTTAAGAGATGTCCAATAGCTTTGCACACTAACATCACCCCCTGTGCCTGGCTCTGTGCCATGCATTTCCCTTACTAACTGATTTACTTCTCCAATACCCCCTGGATAGGCACTTTTATTGATCCATTTTATAGTTGATGAAACTGAGACACAAAGAGATCAACTCACTTGCCTGTGTTCACACAGCAAGTGAGCAGAGGAAGCCGGATTCCAGTCTTATACCTAATCCCACGCTTGGGCTTTCAACTATGACCTCAACTGCCTATAGAAGAGATCATTAAAATTTAAAAATAAGTCCATAAATTAAATTATGACACATCCATACAATAAAATATTTGCAGCTTTAAAATAATTAAAAGGGAGAATTTTATATATTGATTTGAAAAAATATGCAAGATTTATTGATAAATGAAAAAAATAAGTTGCAGAACGATGTGTATGGCATGATATACTTGTGGGGGAAGGGGAGAGAAACACATAACTGTCTGTAAATACATGTGCACAATATGTATTTCTATACATGTGTATGCCTAAAGGTTCCCTGGAAGGGAGAGTGTCTAGAAACTTCTAACCATGGTTACCGGTGGGTGTTGGGAGTGGGAGCCAGGAGAATGGAACAGAAATGGGAGGGAGTCTTTTCAAACACGACCATTTCATAATGTTTAAATGTATGAAGCATATAAATGCATTACTTACTCAAAACATAAATTAATCCATTTTAAATTTCAAGAAGAGAATGTAAGAAAGCTGGGTCAAAGGGAGAGTAAAGGTGGAAAAGCTAGACAAAGCCAGGGCTGAGGTTTGTCCATACCATGGCGTGCGCTGTGAGCTCCCAGCTCCGAGCTTTCCCACATCCAGTGAGAAAACAGACACACATTCAACCAACAGTCATGGCCATCCCAGATGCGTGCAGACCAGCGGTTCAGGAGAAACACAATTTGCTGACATAGACATGTCCGTGGGTCCAGGGGCCACATCAAAATCACAGGATGTGGGTGCCACAAGGGATTGTAGAGATAACCGAAGGCAGCTCCCCTGCTTGAGAGGTGAGAAGACTCGGGCCCAGGAGGCCAGGTGACGTTGTACAATCAAGGAAGCTCTTGCTTTCTTGCAAGCTCAGTTCACCACCTGATCCAATCAACAGTTTAAGGAATAGAGAGGAGATGCTGGCTATGCCCTAACTAACCATCTCAATTTCAGGAGGGTTGGGGCTCCCCTGTGGCCCCGCATCATTTAGCATGTCCTTCGCTCTCTGCCCGGGATGGGAGAGTTTCACAGTCACAGAGGAACCACAAAGACTCTGCAGAAGATGAGTCAGCGGCTATGATACTTTTCACTTCACAATTAATACATCAGACACCTGCCATCAACATAACCATTCCAGCTTTTATGCCTGACATTTCTGGGACTATTCTTTCCAGAGGAACTTTCTCTTGAGAATTAATCAGTATTAACAAAAATTGCAATGAAAGGAAAGAGAAATAAGCACTGGGCTAGGTGCTGTGGGTTGTCTGATTGGTCCTGCTTTGGAAGCACCCTCATTGTGGCTGGGGGAGCATCAAGACACCCTGACAAGCTGTGATCTGTGCTTATGGGCCAGTGAGGCAGATGACGGGAGCTGTTGGACTCCACTGTGCTGGCTAAATCTTTTCAAACTGCTGAAAATCCTTATTAAACATCTAAAGCTTTCAAAATCGGAAAATGATCCTTGAATGTCTCCACACATCACTGACATATTCATTAGTGGAAAATGGGGTCAGACAGCAATGTCCAGAGGCCAGCTGACCCACGGACTGACAGATAGCTGTGCAGATGTTGAATAATTACTTCCTACGAGCCCTGGTCAGGACTCACACTTGCACGATCCAAGCAGCAGAACCACTGGCATTAGAGTGCCTGGAAACAGACCTGCAGGCGCACCAGGAGGAATCCCCCTGCCCGCCACAGAGGGCACCTTTCCAGGTAAGAGTCTGCAGCTCTGATGAATAGTACTTGTCAATTAACACACCAGTCACCCATCACCACTATAATGACCCCAGCCTCAGCCTCCGTGCCAGACGGTGCAGGGATTCTTTGGACTTATCTACCGCAAAATCACACTGTAATGTTTGTCCATTGCTTTGAAGATCAGAGATGGCCTGGAGAGACTGGTGATGGAGGACCGTATTCACAAACCACAGCAGCTTCCAATCCTCTGTCCAGGAGAGCAGAGGGGAGCACCCCTGTGGGACAAACAACAGGGGGGCTTGAGTGTGAGGGCTCGGGAGAATAAGTGCCATCCCCCAGTCAAGATGAGGACTTTCCCAACACTGAAGACAGACACAGCAGATTACTTCAAAAACCTCAGAGCAAGTTTACAGCAAATATCTCAGACATAAGAAAGGTACAATTAAGGGCTAAATTGCATTCTGCCAACATTCATATGTGGAGGTCCTGACCCCTAACACCTCAGAATGTGAACTTATTTGGAGACAGGGTCTTTAAAGAGGTGACTAAGTTCAAATGAGGGCATTAGAGTGGGCCCTGATCCAATATGTCTGGTGTCCTTATAAGAAGAAATGAGGACACAGACACACACAGAGGGACAGCCTGTGAGGAAACGAGGAGAAGTACCTGTCTACAAGCCAAGGAGAGAGGCCTCAAGAGAGACCAGCCTCAATGGTGGCTTGACCTCAGACTCGCAGCCTCCAGGACTATGAGGGCATCTGTGGCTGTCGTTGAAGCCGCTCAGCTGTGGGACTTTGTTATGGCCGCCCCAGGAAATGAACACAGGGACGTAGTGATGCAACCCCCAGATGGCAGCTATGTCCTTTTAAGAACCAGGGAGAATTCAAACACATCTGTTTCATGGTGTAAGTTACTGTCAAGAGGCTCTCTTAAGTCAAAGAGAAAAATGGAAATGTGAAAATGCTAAGCTCTTTTCTTTCTCCTTCCGTCACCCATGTTCACAGCATAATCTTGATTGTATTTCATTTGAAAGACTAGCAAAATGCACTCCGTTTCTCTCTGTAAACCTCACAGATGTCATCAGTTGATAGCAAAGCCCTACTGTCTGCAGAGCGAGCCGCAGGGAGGCTGTGGGTGCCCTCGCCTTGCCCTCAGGAAGGGGAAACCAACCAATATTTCCTGTGCTAATGTGGGGCTATGAATTGTGCCTCACTGCTCTGAGCATGTTAATTTGAAGAGGAAACTGTCGATTGTTCCAATGAGACTATCTATATTCTTGGTCTACTTAGGATCAACTCAAGTGTGCATTTCCTATCTAATGGCATCTGACAGCTTGAGAAGATGCAAAGTAAATTGGCCTGGACCTGCCATAGTTTATAGATGGAGACAGGGCAGGTAATAGTGTGAGAAGATCATGTGTAACGCAGATGCTGAGATGCAGAAGAAAAGATGCCCTTCCTGGCTCTGGACGGGTCTCGGTGGAGGAGTGGGAGCTACTGCTGGTTTTATGAGAATGTGGGGACTTGAGACCTCTATGGGAGAAATGCAAACATTTGCAAATGGGCTGGATAAATAGAAACATGCCCTGTGCATGGCTGAGAACAGTAAACTGTGGTGGTGTGTCAGTTCCTCCCAGAGTGGATCAAAGGGGATGGTGTATTAGTCAGGGTTCCCCACAGACAGAGACAGAGACAAAGACAGAGAGACAGAGAGTGACCGAGAGAGAAAGAGAGAGAGAGATCTAGTTGAAGGAATTGGTTCAAGACTGTGAGCCTGGCAAGTGCACAATTTGCAGGGCAGGCTGGCAGATGGGAGACCCTGGGAAGAGTTGAGGTTACAGCTCAAGTCCAAAGGTGGTCTGGAGGCAGGATTTCCCCTTCCTCATGGGACCCCAGTTCGTTTCCTCTTAAGGCCTTCAACTGGTTGGATGAGACCCACTCACAGTGATGTGTCGAGACATTCAAGGACCATTTTCTGATTTAAAAAGCTTTAAATGTTTTTAATAAGGACTTTCAGCTATTTAAAAAGATTGAGCCAGCACCATGGAGTCCAACAGCCCCATCATCTGAAGGGTGGTCTCTGCTTTACTCAGCCTAGTGACTTAAATGTTAATCTCATTCTAAAAAAATACCTTCACAGTGACATCTAAAATAACATTTGACCCAATACCTGGGTACTGTGGCCTAGCCACGTTGACATGTAAAATTACCCATCATAGACGGTGATCATTGTAATAAAACAAACACATCATCCACACTTCCTGAGTCCTGAGCACTTTGCACACGCTACTTCATTTTGTGCTCATGGGAACCTTTCTGCTGAGGTTGTCCCGGACATTCTCAAGTACATACATGACCAGATGCTGGGTCTCCATGGCAACAACATGGTCTCACTTCTGTTCAAGCCGTGCTTTCCTTCCCCTGCAGGATGTACACCTTCAGTCTAGCCACAGACCTGAACTCCAGAAAGGATGGTGAAGCCAGCAGCAGATGCAGCGGGGAATTTCTTCCACAAACGGCAAGGAGTCTTAGCAGCTTACAGGCCTTGCAGGTAATAGAACATTCCCTTTTTTCTTTTAAGTAAACTAAGCAAAACTACACTTTGTATTAACTTCACGGTGGACACAGCTTCGTAGGTGTAGCTTTTGTTCCATAGACACATCCTCCCTGCCCTAGAGCGTGGTCAGCAAGGGGGCCTCCCAGGTCTGAGGGTGCCGGGGGTCCTGCCCTGGTCTGTCTGCTCTGGGCAGACAGGGAGCCACCCCTTCATGGCAGAGTGCCCCACCTTGAGCTCCTCAAGGCAGCTGAATCCCGAGTTCTCATCCCATTCCCTCATTCATGAGCCAAGAGGTCCCCAAGACGTCACCTGCCCCGGTGCCTTGGCCCCTCATCTTTTGAGGCAAAACTCTCCATAACCTGGGGGTCAGCAGACTCAGGCCAGGGTCCAGGGCACAGCAGGGCACCCCGAGCTGGCCACCCTCATGGGGCACATCCAGGAGTGCAGGCTGCCAGGCAGGGACACCAAGGAGCAGGCAGCCCCTCCCTGAACGCAAACAAGTGACATCACATCCCTGATCCCTGTCCTGTGATCTGAAGCTTCACACTCCTTACAGAGGAGCCCTCAGGAAGGGGCTGTACCTGCTGCTGGCCTTTGTCTGGTTGCCACAGTAGTGAAAATGCCTCTCTGTCCTTGTTCTTCCCAAATTCGTCCGCCTGTGCCCTGCCATGTGCCGCACACGTTACTTTAGGATCTCTCATCCTTGCTATCCCCAATCGACACAGGAGGCGCTATTCCTGCCCCCTACCCATTTTACAGATCTGAAAACTGGGGCTCATGGAGGCTAGGAAGCTTGTCGGAGAGCACACAGACTCCTAACCACCCTCCCATCAGATTGTTGGAAGGATTATGTGAGATGGGCCATCCAGTGCCCACCACGGCCAGGCCCCTGGTGCGGAGAAACTATTGTGCCCAGAGGGTGGGGTCACAGTAGCCAGGCTTATTCCCTAGTCCCCAGGGCCCATCCTGGTGCCTGGTCCATAAATCTCCAGAACAACCAAAGGAAGGCTCTGCCGGGACTTGTCAGTGGCTCACCCTAAGGTCAACGCTCACCCTCTGTTACGGATTGAATTGTGTGCCTCCAAAATTCCTATCTCGAAGTCCTAACCCCCAGTCTCACTGAATGTGATTGTATTTGTAGACAAGGCCTTTAAAGAGGTATTTAAGGTTAAATGAGGCAACACAGGTGATGCAATCTGATCCAATCTGACTGCTGCCCTTATAAGAAGAGGGGATGAGGAAACAGACACACAAGAGGGATGGCCCTGTGAGGACACAGGGAGGGGACACCACCGGCAAGCCCCAGAGAGAGGCCTCAAAAGGAACCAGCCCTGGCAACACCATCATCTCTGACCTCCAGCCTCCAGGACTGTGGGAGAGTAAACTTCTGCTGTGGAAGCTAAACAGTCAACCCACACGCAGCGTCCCTGTCGCCATTTGCACCTCCTGGCAGCTGGTGCAAATCAGCCCAAAGCTAAGTGGCCTTGGCAGGTCTTTGCAGCCTTGGTGGCTAGGTGAGGAGGCCTTTTCTTGAGAAATCAAGAATGTGTCTCTGAAGCTGGGTCCATGAGAAATGGCGATCAGCGTTCACCATGTGAGAAAGGCCCAGACTTGGGAGAGCCGAGACTCCCCAGGGCTGTGGCCTGGGGATTATTTAAAAAGCTTTAAATGTTTTTAATAAGGACTTTCAGCTATTTAAAAAGATTGAGCTAGTACCATGGATTCCAACAACCCTATCATCTGGAGTAAAACAGAGACCATTCTGTTTTACTCAGCCTAGTGACTTAAATGTTAATCTCATTTTTAAAAAATACCTTCACAGTGACATCTAAAATAACATTTGACCCAATACCTGGGTACTGTGGAGAAGTACCCAGGTATTGGGTAGGGGGAGAGCCTGGAATGGAAGTCTCTGCTCGTAGCTCAGCCTGTGTCTAAACCGTGCTTTCAATGGCTGAAAACAGAACATGCATCTGCCTGTGAACTGGCCCCCCTCACACGGTCTTCTCTATAGGGATTTCACCCCTTCCCTACAGTAAGAAAAGACAACTGGCCACAGGTCTGGTAGAATCATGGCCCCAGAGATGATGCCCTAATCCCGGGAACTTGTGCATGTGACCTTATTAGGAAAGAGAGTTTCTGCAGATGGGATTGAGTGGAGGGTCTTGAAATGAGGAAATGATCCTGGGTCATCCAGGAGGGCCCTAAACCCCATCACAAGTGTGCTGATGAGAGAAAAGCAGAGGGGATCTGATACAGCAGCAGAGGAGGCCATGCAGCCAGAGAGGCAGAGACTGGAGCAATGTGGCCACAAGCCAAGGAACACCTGGGGCCACCAGGAGCTGGAAGAAGCAAAGAATAAATTCTCCCCTAGAATGTCAGAGGGAGCATGGCCCTGCCAACACCTTGACTTTGGACTTCCAGCCTCCAGAGCTGTGAGAGAATAAATGTCTCTTGCTTGGCACCGCCCAGCCTGTTATGGCAGCCCCAGGACACCAATGCAGCACCTTCTGTCTAGAGAATTGGTGCAGCCCTGCCTCATTCCATAGATCCCAGGGGTCAGTCCATTCCACTCCCCACAGGGCTTTCTTTTGCTTTATCATCATATTCCTGTGGCAAAGCTCCACAGAAGAACATTTAAAATGCTCTGAGCTCTTCCAGGAAGAAAATACCCCAAATCCAAAACTTCAGCCCGCAAGTTGAAAACTTCAGGGACTTTGTTACTAGGCAGAATGAGTTTCCAAGAGCATGCATGCTTTGCAATCTACTTGCAGATCAGCTCTCTACAGCTCTCTAGGATGTTTTAATATTCATTCTGGGATAGGGGCGGTGGGTGCTGCCTCTTGGTGTCAGTGTAGGCAACCTCTGCATAACCACACTTCACATGCAAGAGAGCAAGACAGCAAGACAAACCTTCCCCTGAAGCTGTTCCCCAGGAGATGCATGTTTCTATCCTGAAACAAACAACTGAAGTTTTCCAATAAGGGAAAGCAATACTATTCACTTGGCCTTACCGTATATCCGTTTTGAAGACTCAGCCCAGTGACCCTAAGAAAGTGTTTGCATGGTGACTGCAAACGTTCTCACTGGCTCACCAATCCCATAGTTTATGCACCTACCAAATGTAGCCAGGGCCACCGAGAACTGTCTGGTCCTGATAAATTTCAGCAGCTGGAAATTCTGCATCGTCCGGGCCAGCGTGGACTTCACAAGGGATCCACAGGATCTGGCAGGAGCTGCCCGTGGTGCTGACCCCGAGAATGCTTTCAAGGCAGGTGAAATTGGCCCCCACCCTACTTTCTGGTGTCCCTTCCTTCCCAGTAGTTTCCAATCACTTCCCTAGGTACAGGGACACCACGGGGGACCACTCTTGCCAGAGCGAGTGGCCAGTTAGTGCAGACCCTTGAGACTGGATCACTGTTCACAGAAGAAAGTCCAGACAGGAATGATCAGCTGCACTGGCCAGGTGGAAAATGAGTCCCTTCCTCCCTGAGGGTGTTTGGATGTTAAAGCCATTTGCATTTTCCTCTCTAGGATTTGGAGGGAATCAGGGCGATGCTGGGGCTGGTGTATGAGGGTTTATGCAGACAAGGCTTACCTCTCCTCACCTCTCTTCCTTACCCTGCTCAGTAGGAAAACACACACAAGAGCTGCCCTCTCATTTTAGCCCAGAGAGAGCTGTGTGGCCAAGAGGGAGCAGGGCAGGGATAGTGCCTGTCTGAGCTGCCTCCTGCCCAGGGGTCCTCCCTACCCCGTCCATCCCTGGTCGCCTGGGCTCCAGGCAGGATTTGGTCCCCAGAAGGCCCCACAGCCCACCTCCCGTGGCAGGCCGTGTTCGCTCTGCCCCCACCATCTCTGTTAATGACTCATCTTTCCATGTTCATCCCTTGGCCCAGGGAGACCTGCAGCTCCCTAAAGCAGGGATGCTGTGGACTGCAGCTTCATGGACCAGCATGTGACATGCTCCCCCCTGCGGTGCCATGTCACAGGGAGGTTGAGGCATGAGTCCTGGGTGCCAGAGGGCAGCACCACTGGGCCTGTGTTGCTGCAGGGTTCCCCACCTCTTGCTCTGAAATGGACCCCCCTGGATAGCCTGGGCCTGGCTCTGGGGCTGGGAATGTAGGTGAAGGGCCGATGTCAGCTGGCACATTAGTGCCCTCCAGGGAAGCAGCCGAGCCTGGTGTCTCCCTCCAGGGTCCTGGTGCAGGGCTTATGCTCCACGCAGCTGTCCTGGTGGCCTCTAGCTGGCTCGGCCCCTAGCACTCTGCTCTCTGGTCCCAGGGGGGGCATCCTCAGCTCTCATTCACTCTCTTCATCTCATTTGCTGTGGGTTCCTCTCAAGGCCAGTCCCTCAACTTGATCAGCCCTGCACAGCATGGGGAGAAGGGTGGCCTAGCCCCTGAGGACAGAGCCCCCCACAACACCATCCCACACAGTGGAGGCCCCTCCCAAAGGGTAGCCAGCCTCGCTGCCCCAAGCATGACCTTTGGGCTACTTCCCCAAAGCACAGGCTCCCCAGAAAGAGGGCGGGCGTGAGCCCTGTAACTGCAAGGCTCCAAGGCCATCCTGCGGCTGCCTGAGGCTGGGGAGGAAGGTGCCAGAGAGCTGCTGTCCCTGGCTCGAAGCTGCTGGCCACCGCCAAGGCCAGTCTCATGCCGAGAAGAAGTAAATAAACTATAAAGTACTGTTTTCCTTTAGCATTCAGCCAAACAGAGAATGACCAGCTATGGGAAAACAGCAAGGGGATGGATGAGGGCTTCTCCCCTTGGTGCTCAGAAGCAGAATTCATACCTGGGAGCCATAAAAGGACGGCCCCTCAACAGGTCAACACCAGGGCAGTCCTGGAGGGTTTCTCAGAAGAAGTGTGCCAGCAAGAGAGGAGACTAGATATATAGATAGGTAATCTATACTATAACAATACATATTATAATATAGATAGGGATAATGTCCTAAGACGTCTCTATGGGAATGATAAGGACTTAGAAAAGACAGAAAAGTAGAAAAACGGATGTGTCATGATAGGGGCCAATCCTGTCTCTTTTCATTTTCTTGATGTTAGAATGCCCAGAAAATAAAACATTGGAAGAAATTGAAGAGATTGTCAATTTCATGTCCTCTTTCATTCTAATGATTTGGGCAAAATGGGCTGAGCTATTGACTAACGAAGGAAAAGATTCCCTCGCAGTTGCTGGGTGACTGGGAGAGCTGCCATTGGTGCAAGTCCAGTGAGTTGGATGTTAAACTGCATGTGCCTTGCTTCCTGCCCCACCCCCCAGGCTACCGTTGCAAGGAAGAGCGTGCTGGTGGTTCGCCACGGGGAGAGAGTGGATCAGATCTTCGGGAAGGCATGGCTGCAGCAATGCTCCACTCCTGATGGTAGGTCACACTCAGGCGGGTCTACGGACAGAAACACTGTAGATCTAACCAATGAGATCTCCTTCTTAATGACCTTACATGGCACCAGATCCCCTGAGGCACCATTCTGTAGAATGACCATGTGTAGACTGTATGTGTGGAAAACGTGCCTGCTACATCTTCCTCCAGGGGTGTTCCATGTATGCATTTGAGTGTCTGTGTTGGAACCTCTCCAACCTAATCTTAACTGATGTAATTTTTGGCTATGCTGCTTAACAGATGGACGTATTCTTGAACATGCCTCTTGCACACCCCAGCTTTTCTCCTCTGAATGCCAGGAAGTAAGAATAGTGCTTATAAATACACATACCCACAAGCCAACCTCTGTATTGATGATCAATGTCCACATCAATGCTAATCTCCTAATAGGAAGCCTGTAGTGTCACAATTTCTAAGCCATGACCCATTACATAAATTAAGGCATTGAATGTAGTGACAAAATCAATTCACAGTTGCTAGGTTAGCCGAACCCTTTTGGGATCCCCCTCCAGAAGCCCAGCAGACCCAAGAAAGTGGTAAATGAGTAGGGAAAACCATTGGCAGATGACAATCACACACCAGAAAAGATTCTGAGCAGATAACATCATGATCAAGCATATTTCCAAGAACTCACAGAGCTAATAATATGGTCACCTCTATAAAACAAGATCAAGTAAAGATACAAGAGCTTAAAGCAACAATAAGACAATAGGTGGCTATCAGGATGCATTAACAAACATATAAGAAACTTTTTTTCAATAAAACAGTTTTTTTAGCTATTGAATTACTGAAGCTATAGATTGAACTGACACACCTTGTCCATGGTGGGGAGAACCAATACAAAACAATCAACACCAAAAATAGTTATTGAACTTCATAGAAAAAGAAAAAATATTTGGTCATCTGGACAAAAGATCAAGTCACTTATAAGGGAAAATATTTTAAAGGCACTGGAAATCCCCATCTGAAAGGAAACTCCTGGTGGATCTTTTCCCAAGGTAGAGAGGCCCTTGATAAAGTGAAGAATTACATCTAGTTTGTCTGAATTTTGTATATTGCAGGGTTTAATAAATCACAAGGAGGTATAGCCACGTCCTCCCCCAAGGTGACCAACCTCAGGGAACACAAGGGAGATTTGGGGGGCTCTACTGGCCTCTCCCCAGCTCAGCTCACTTTTGGCCCAGGCACCCACATCCTCACAGGGCCCCTCACCTCACCCCATATTCCACACAGACTCTGCTCCCATCAGGACCTGACCTTGCCCCACATCCTTGTCCTCTCCTGAGCTCTGCCCTCTGCCCCCAGAGTGATCACAGCTGAAGTGTCAATGACAGCAAAATACCTAAATGGAGTGTCTTGACATTTTAGAGGGGGATCACAGATGCCTTTGAGAACACAATGAAATTGATGGACTTTCTCTCTGATTTTAAAACTGCCTTTCCCAAGAGCTAATGTTGGCATTGAATAAACACCTCTAAAATGCAGTGTTCAAACAAGAGTCTCTGCCCATGGAAATCCCAGGGAGGGAGTCTTCAGAAAACTCCTATATGGAAACTAAAATGCAGGCATGAAAAATTGCCCCCCGCTGACCCCTGCTGCCCCCCACTGCCCCCTGACTCTGGGTTTGTGCAAGGCTGTGGGCCAGGATGAAGGGGCCTGGCATATTCTGGGGTGCAAAGGGCAGGGCCTGCTATGTATGGCAGAGCAGGTCTCAGGAAGGTCAGTGTGGCTGCTGGAACCTCCTAATAACCAGGAGGCTTGGGGTCCCTTTGGAGAATGTGAAGGCAAACCAGAGTGCACTGGAGGGAGCAGTGTGTCGTGGTGTCCTGTGTGAGGATAATCAGTCATCCTGACGTGGTGACATGAGACCAGTGCCCCGACTCGTTGACCACTCCCTCTTGAGTCAGACTCTGGGCTATGGGTGTTACCTCACTGACACCTCGCAATCGCTACTCTTTCCCTGTTTTTTACTGATAAGAGAGATGAAGTCATTTATTTCTGGCTGCACAGTGAGGAGATGGTGATGCCAGGATTTGCTACCAGACTGTCAGATCTTAGAACTCAAGGTCAAACTCCACGTGAACCCTGGCACCGGGCAGCCTCTGGTGGGAGACAGTCCCAGTGAGCCCACTTCCAGCCTGGCTTCAAGCAATTGACTAAAGAATGCACAACACAGGCATCTCCAGCTCAAGCACTCTGTCCCCTGAGCAAGAAGGATACGTTTAAAGCTAGGGGGATGGATCATTGATGCCAACTTCAGATTCTTACCGAGTTACACTAAACTAGTCATAGAGACACTTTATCAGGTTCTTCATCAGGAAAATGTAAGAGTGAATCTTCATGGGGCATTTTGGGAGGACAAAGAGGGTTGCATAGTTCCTGGGGCTGAAACCTAAGTTGTCTGCATTTGAGAAAATGTTGTGTGCACAGCTGAGCAGCACTTTCTTCTCAAATTGAAGCCACGTTGCAGAGAATGTTCAGAAACAACACAGTTGACAATAATTTCAATAATAACATTGCTGTTAGAGTGGGTCTTGGTCTTGGGAGTTTTGTGGAACAAATCTGTACTAACTTGATGAAACTGAACGTCTGATGCTTATTTATACTTCAGGGAAATACTACAGGCCAGACCTGAATTTCCCCTGCAGTCTGCCAAGACGGAGTCGTGGGATCAAAGACTTTGAAAACGATCCCCCATTATCATCGTGTGGCATTTTCCAGTCCAGAATTGCAGGTATGTTTGAGGACTGTCTAGTAGGAAAGGTAACAATAACAGCAACACTGATTATGGCTAGCAGGCATCCAGCCTGAGCCCTAGCTACACACCCTTTGATACAGTGTTAGCTTTGTCTCCAGTCTGCTGAGGAGGCTGGGGCACAGAGAGGTTAAGCAACTTGCCCAAGGTCACACAGCAAGAAAGTGGCAATGTAGAGGTTTGATCTAGGAATGGATGATTCAGGAAGTTGGCAGGAATGAAAGAAAGGCATGGAAAGAACAAGAGAGGGGAGGAAAAATCAACAACCAAGGAGCTCCAAGGAGCTCACTTTTCAAATGGAAAACCACATCCTCTCATTCGTTGGTTTTATTTCAAAATCTGTCACTTTGGGCTTTTGTTTCATGTCTGGCGGTTCTGCTTCTACGTGACTGAGTTTATGTAAACAGAAGAGACCATTGAGTTCATCGAGTCTTCATTTCCTAAATTCAGAAAATGGAATCCAGAGAAGCAAGTTACACCAATGGTTAACTGCAGAGACCCCCACGGCCCACTCGCCCAGGGCCCCACTCAGAGGTGTGCTCAGAAATGTTTACCCACCTGCTCCAGGCAGGGTGGGAAGTCCGAGTTATAGAGTTATAGAGTTAGTTATAGAGTTATAGAGTCATGGAGTTATAGAGTTAGTTATAGAGTTAGAATCATAGAGTTATAGAGTCATAGAGTTATAGAGTTAGAGTTATGGAGTTATAGAGTTATAGAGTTGTTATAGAGTTATAGAATTATAGAGTTAGTTATAGAGTTATAGAGTCATAGATTTATAGAGTTATAGAGTTAGTTATAGAGTTATAGAGTCATAGATTTATAGAGTTATAGAGTTAGTTATAGAGTTATAGAGTCATAGATTTATAGAGTTATAGAGTTAGTTATAGAGTTATAGAGTCATAGAGTTGTAGAGTTATAGAGTTATAGAGTTATGGAGCCATAGAGTTATAGAGTCATAGAGTTATAGAGTTAGTTATAGAGTTATAGAGTCATAGAATTATAGAGTTAGTTATAGAGTTATAGAGTCATAGAGTTATAGAGTTATAGAGTCATAAAATTATAGAGTTAGAGTTACAGAGTCATAGATTTATAGAGTTAATTATAGAGTTAGAGTCATAGAGTTATAGAGTTATAGAGTCATAGTGTTACAGAGTTATAGAGTTAATTATAGAGTTATAGAGCTATAGAGTCATAGAGTTATAGAGTTAGTTATAGAGTTATAGAGCTATAGAGTCATAGAGTTATAGAATTAGAGTTATAGAGTTATAAAGTCATAGAGTCATAGAGTTATAGAGTTAGTTATAGAGCTATAGAGTTAGAGTCATAGAGTTATAGCACTTGCTGAGTGCAGTGGTGAGAATACTGCACTCCCCGACAACTGATTCCAGACTCCCAGTGTGAGCTCCCAGGACACTGAGTCGGGAGGAGATGGTGGTCCCAGGCCTCTGTCCCTGGCTTGCAGGTGACATTTTCTGTCTTCCTCTTCTCTTCTCTGCATGTCTCTGTGCACAGATTTCCCCTTTTAGAAGGGCACTGTCACACTGGATTAGAGCCCACCCTAATTTAATTGATTGAGGTGCATACCCTTATTTTAACTTATCACTCTGTAAAAATCCTGTTTCCAAATGAGTCACATTCTAAGGCACCAAGGGTGAGGACTCTAACATGTTTTTCAAGGGAGGGGATACAGTTCAACCCAGAAGAGCCTCCACTGAAACCTCGCTCATCAGCTTTCAGGCTGTGCAATTTTTGTGCTGTAGGGACTCCCATATTTCCCTGAGAGCAGGGCTTCCAGTATCACAGGGGGAAAGGCAGAGTACAGGCTTTTCCTTCCACGAGCTTCAGTGGGTCTTGAGTTTTCTCAAACGACCACAAATGTGAAGCCCCGCCCATTTCTGAGCTCACAGTGGTGCAGATCCAAAGCCCAGGCCCACGAGGCTGCTTCTCTGCTGAAGGTCTTAAAGCCTGAAGTCAAGGTCTCTGCTGGGCTGAGTTTTCATTGGGAGCTCAAGTCTCCTTCCAGACTCATTCTGCTGTTGGCCAAATTCAGATCCTTGCAGTGGGAGGACTGAGGTCTGTTCCTTGCTGGCTGTTAGCTGGGGGCTGCTCCCAGCCCTAGTAGAGGCTGCCCACATTCCTTGCCATGTGGTCCCCTCCATCTTTGCAGCCAGCAATGGAGAATGTTTTGCTGAATCCTTCTCACTTCACACTTCTCTGACTTTTTTCCATGACTGGCTGGAGATAATCACTGCTTTTAATGGGCTCACCAACTTGTCAGCCCCACCTTGGATCCCTTCCCTTCTGCCATAGGATGTAATTGTCCCAGGAGCAACAGATCATTCTGGTCATGGGTTCCACCCATACTTGGAGGCTGTGCAGGGTGTGTCACACCAGGGGGTGGAAACCCGGGGCCCTTTGAGGACCCTGCCTACCACAGGGAGCACATGGCTCATCTGCCATCAGAGGCTAGAATTATGAAGGGGCATTTTCTGCCTTTTTCACTATTTTCCAGGGGACGCGCTACTGGACAGTGGTATCAGAATCAGCTCTGTGTTTGCCTCCCCAGCCCTCCGCTGTGTGCAGACGGCCAAACTCATCCTGGAAGGTCAGTGAGAACCTCGGTGAGCCTCTCCTACTGCCTTGACCTTGGGGCTATTCTCCAAGGGGAGTGGGAAGGGAGTGGAGGTGGAATTGGATGACTGGCAATGAATGCCCACACCAAAGTCATCAGGCAAGTACGAGCCAGCCCTCCAAGGATGCTGGCAGGCATGCTGGGTCCGTGAGCGTGTCTGGAATACCAGGACCGTCAGACCAGTAGGGGCTGGTGTAGCTAAATGCCAGGGCCTGTCCTCATACCGTTTCTCTTTGGCCTCCGTCAGCTAGGCATTTTTAAAATACACCTGGAAAGCGGCATTCGAAAACCTTGAGAGCTGGGAACTGCTACGGTTCCTTGTAAGTCTGAATTGCATGACCCTTCCCAGGGCAATGCACTGGGCCAGTGGAGCTGTCCAGCGTCCTCAAGGGCTGATGTGTGTCAGGAAGTCCTGGGCAGACCCTTCTGCAGCTCCCATCTACGGGAAGAAGAAAGTTCCTGCCCATAGGAGAGCAGCTTGTTCCAGAGGCCTGGGCTCTGCCTTCAGCCTGAACCCTGTCCTGCTCCTCTTTGTCTGGGAAGAGGGATAAGATCTCGGTCCCCAGGCAGGGACTGGCCGTGGCCAGGAGCATGGGTGACATGCGAGAGAGCATGTCGCCTCCATGGTGACAAGGGAGAGGGCAGAGCACACAGACACAGATGCAGCAGGAGGGCAAATGTGGGGGACAGGGCTTGCCTCGACTTTCTCAGAGACCTAGGAAGTAAGGCCACCAGCGGAAAGTGGGGGCAGGGACTGTGGGAAGTTTGGGGTGCGCCGAAGGAATGAATGGCTGTCAGGCAGAGGGGCCCAGGACATGGGCTGGGAGATGCAGAGTGACCGCTGGGCAGCACTCAGAGCCCACCCACAGTTCATGAGCATGAGTTTAAATGGAGATGCATCAGCCGGGCTAGGGGGTCTCTTCCAGCTTAGACCGGGAGTAGGTGGAGAGTGGGATGCAGGTAAGGGCAGGGTTGAGCTGTGAGTACGGTGGAGCCAGAGGGGACAGGAAGACTTGAGGGCATAGTGAGGGGGTGACCGTGCCCATGGACTTTCAGCTGGGTCAGCGAGGAGGCCGAGCACGGGGGAGGTGAGTGCAGGAGAAAGGAGGTGATCTGAGTGAGGCTCAAGGTCCACGAGGGGGCTGCTTGGAGACAGCAGAGTTTGGCACTGCACCATGGCGGGGCTGCAGTGGCTAGAATGACAAGTCCCAGGTGGAAGGAATGGATGCTCAAGGCAGGGAGGAAGCCACGTCCTGCAGGAGGTGGGCAGGAATGGAGGGGCCATGGAGGAGCCATCCCGCAGATGGTGGTCTTGCTGGGACTTGCACATGGGGCCACATCAGAGCCGGGGCCACGAGGGGCCGGGACCTTCACAGGAGGAGCCGTTGGGACAGCAGTGGATTCAATGCACACATGTGCATTGCCGGTTCCCATGTCCTCAGATCCCCTTCGCCCCGTCAGAGACGCTCCCTCAGAGCACCTTCAAATCCAGGTGCCCAGGAAGCCCCAGCCAGGAGCGGACCTGGTTCCACCCCGGAGCCTCTCAGGCTCATCATTCCTGTCCTGTGCTCTCATGAACTTTCCATCCCATAGTCCAGTCCTAGTTTCACGAGGCACAGAAATCCATTGTATCAGCATGGAGCATCCACGATCCACCTTCCACACACTTAAAAATGTCAAGACACTTTCTGCCCACCTCAGTCTTGCAGCTTCATCCTTTCATTTCCCACCCAACTGTGGCACAGGACCCCACCCCTCTGCACGGCATCTCGGGTCACAAGACAGAAATGCAGACTTACTTCACTTTGCCTTGGAGGTTCCCATGTTGATTGCATCACGGCACCTCTGGGCTCTCAATGAGCCAGATGAAGATCAAAGAACAATATCAGCTTCTTTGACCAAACCACGAAAGGACTCGCGAATCCCCAAAGGCCTGACGGCAGTGTAGCCGGAGGCCAGAGGCAGCTCCACCCGAGGGCAAGCAAGGCTTCCACAATCCTTGTCTCTCCTCACAACGCTGGCATGCACATACACAGCACACACATCCACACACACCACACACACACCACACGCCACACACACACTACACACACCCACACACACACCATGCACACCCACACACCACACACACCCACACACACCACACACACCCACACACACTACACATACACACCACACACCACACACACACCACACACCACACACACCACCTACACCCACACACACCCACACACAACACACAACACACACACCACACACATAACATACAACACGCTGAACACACATACCACACACACACCACACACCTCACACACACCACACACATACACACACCACACACACGACACACACCACACATCCACACACACACCACACCCCACACACACCCACACACCACACACACAACACACACCCACACACACACCACACACACCACATACACCCCTTGGGGTTTCACTTGGGGGCTGAGTCACAGACCGCAGAGGAGGAGGCTGTGATCTTTGAGAGCCATGACCCCAGCCCAGGTGACAGGGTCCCGCGATGTCCGCCTCTCCCTGTTCCCATGCTCACAGCAGCAGGTCCAGCCTTCGTGTTTTCAGGAAGGCCTGAGAAACAGGACGTGGCCTTTCCAGCTCTGCGCTTTGGGAGGGACGAGGGTGGCAAGATCAGAAATGTGAAGGGGCAGGGTCTCCGAGTATCTGGGGACCCTTCAGTGTGAGGGTGGCTCTTAATAACTATGATGGAATAAAGCAAAATTGATATATAGCAATTTCATCCCTGGTTGTTTAGGATCAATGTATTTATAATTAACCAAACACCTATAATCATAAGATGTGAACCAAGCAAGAAATGCACACAAATATATGACAAGAGGGGAACAGGCCTGTGCCTCAGTTTCCCCTCTTCTCCCCTGTCGCTGGTCTTTGCACCCCACCACTCAATGAGCGCATTTTGTTGGAAACCACCTAAGATGCTGCTGTTCTTCCACTAAGTTTCAGAATCACTTTGGTTTCTGCCACTGGCTGGCCGCCCACTAGCAGGCCGTGCGAGAGTCCCCAGGTCGCCTGTGCCTGCCAGGCCAGCAACAACAGTCTCCTCTCACTGGGGCTTTTACTGCCTCAGCCTGCAAGTTTCCCTTCTAGTGAAAACCTTCGTCTTTCTTTCCCTACCCAACCTCTCTCACCACGATAACAACAACGAATAAAAAAGGAATCTCTTGGCCAGCCTTTGTAATAAAAGAATACGACTGACTGAAAACACTTCATAATTTTATCTTTTTTTTGTCATTGTTCGTGGTTCCTCATTAACACACTTATTCCCATTTTTGGTGGATTTTTTTACTTCTATTATTTGGGTCACTTGCATATAAAAAGCTTTCAAAAATGTCTTTTGCCAGCAATAATGTCAAAATCTTTAATGTGATCTCTCAGTGACCTTTAAGTGCAGATGATGATGATGGTGATGATGATGGTGATGATGCCTGTTTAAAGGGCATGGGTTTATAAATCCTCTGTTAATTCAGAAAAACAAGGACACCCAGTCTTCTTTACAAGGCCTCAGACATGATCAACCTGCTTATCAGATGGTGTCTGAGATGCTAAGGTGCTCAACTTTGTTTAAATTCAATGTCAGAGAATGTCCACATGAACCATTTCACAGCCAAGTCCACAAAACACTGGCCTGCAAGAGGTCTTCAAAGGAAAGAGACCCATGGCCACACCTGTCTGGGAAGCTCTCACACTGTTCCTTCATCTTATTTGTTCACAATGGAAATGAGCTCTTCACAGGCTTGGGGGAGATTTCGGGGGCCTGGTTTATCAGGGAGGACTTGGGGGCCCAGTTGATGGGGGAGGACTCGGGGACCTGGTTGATGGAGGAGGACTTGGGGGCCTGGTTGATGAAGGAGGACTCGGGGGCCTGGTTGATGGGGGAGGACTCAGGGGCCTGGTTGATGGAGGAGGACTCGGGGGCCTGGTTGGATGGGGGAGGACTCGGGAGCCTGGTTGATGGGGGAGGACTCGGGGGCCTGGTTGATGGGGGAGGACTTGGAGGTCTGGTTGATGAAGGAGGACTTGGGGGCCTGGTTGATTGGGGAGAACTTGGGGGCCTGATTAACTTGCTTTAACTCTCTTTTCTAAGCATGCTTGATGAAAGAGCTCCTTCCATGGACCTAAAACACATTTGAGGAACTGATTTTATGTCCAGCATTTGAGTTCAATGACATCTTCTCCATTCCCAGTGAAAACATTCAGGTCTTTTTTTCCACTCAAAAAGAGATGGCCTTACTTTATGGCTCTTCCTTTAATCAAAATATAAAATGCCTGGGAAATGTGAGTTGCAGGGAGTCAGAATATTCCAGAAGATGGCTCCTTCCATTCTTCACCTCTTGCCCCGTCTGTGTAAGTGTTTATCAGGAAAGTGCCTCATGAGGCCAACATTCTTCATGATGGGTCACATCTTGTCCATTGATCATTGGATCTGCCATGTTGGAGGATGCAGCCGGTGGGCTGGTTTCACGGTGGAGCTGTGCTGGGTGATCAGGTGAGCCCCAGCCTAAGCCTGCTGCCTGGGACACTCACCAGCTCCTGGAAGACTCTGGCCCTTCCTGGCACACAGGGGGCCATCACTCCTCTGATACCTTCCCACTGCTCGTCAGTTTTGACTTCAGAAATAGCACAGCTATGCCTAATCACAGAACGGTATTTGCCAAGAAGAAAATCACACTGTTTAAAAGGCATGATTTAGACGTGTGTGTGACGGTCTGAGATCTAAAAGGAGACTTATTTATGCAAAGTCAGGGTGGATGTTGAGGATGATAAACACTTGTATTCTGTTGAATCCAGAACTCAAACTGGAGAAAAAAATCAAGATACGAGTGGAACCTGGAATCTTTGAATGGACAAAATGGGAAGCTGGCAAAACCACCCCAACCCTCATGAGCCTGGAAGAGCTGAAAGAGGCAAATTTCAACATTGACACTGATTACAGGTATGCTGTTCTAAAGTTCTCTGCCACTGGGGCTTTTCCAGTTATTGTTAAAGAAAAATTTCATGACACTGTTAAAATGGTAAGAAAGACTTTATTCAAGAGGGACCACTGCAGTGGGGTTTTGCAGCAGGGGAGAGAGGTGGGGCTCAACTCCTAATACAAGGAAAAGAGGGGAGTTATAGCCACAGAGCAGGGTGGGGGTCAGTGGATGGAAAATTCCTGAGAAGGTGGGTCATTCTTGCTAAACTGACCTAAATGGAGACTCTTGCTGAAGGCAGGCCAAGGTGATCAGACATCACCTGGGGGGTGGTAGAGGATAAGGAACTTGATCAGATGTCGAAGGTAGGAGGTTCTTGCTAAACTCACTCTGCAAGAACAGACACAGAAGCCCAAGGGTCAAGACCTCATTGAGAAGAAGGTTCAGAGGAGCTGGACTGGAGTTTAGTCAAGGAGAGAGTCTTTGTCATTCTCCACCCATGTCTGACTCTGCCATCACAGAGCCCTCCTGGTGTTGAGTAAGAATGTGTGCTGGAGATTGACTGTCAGTGCTTTGCCAGTTTTCAGCACAAAACTGGAGCCTGCCTGTTGACCATGAGCCTGCCTTGAGGCAGAGCCATCCTGGAAGAACGTTCTCCTTCCCCAGCTAACTGCAGCTGAGCCTTCCTAATCCCTACGAAAGTGCCAGGGCAGCAGCCTCTCCTTCTCATCCTTCCAGGCCCGCGTTTCCCCTGTCCGCCCTCATGCCGGCCGAGAGCTACCAGGAGTACATGGACAGGTGCACGGCGAGCATGGTGCAAATCGTCAACACCTGTCCACAGGACAGTAAGTGCCTCACCATCCTCAGTATGAACAGCCCCTGGGGCTTGGGGAATTATCTCTGAGATGGAAATTGGCCAATTTTCTGAACCTATGAATGCCCCTACTTCTCCTGCCTGCCCCCGCCCCCATTCTCCAGCAACAAAGTTTTCATCACTGCTGCTGCTGCTGCAGTAACCGGGTGCACAGACACACACTCCCCTGCCGCCCAGGCCCTGGGACCCCCCATCCTGGGACTGAGTGCTGATGGGAGGGGAATGATCTCTGAGATGGAAATTGGCCGATTTTCTGAACCTATGAATGCCCCCACTTCCCCTGCCCGCCCCCCACCATTCTCCAGCAACAAAGTTTTCATCACTGCTGCTGCTGGTGCAGTAACCGGGTGCACAGACACACACTCCCCTGCCGCCCAGGCCCTGGAACCCCCCATCCTGGGACTGAATGCTGATGGGACCCAGGCCAGCAGGGTCACACAATCCACCCATGTCCAAGGGATTTGAGTCAGCTTCCTGGGAAACAAAAGAGACAGAGAGAGAAAGAACAACCAACTTCCAGGTGGCGCCCCCTTCCCTGACCCATCACACGGGTCTCCTAACCCTCCCGTGTTGCTTTGTCCTGGATGAAGCATGCACAGAAGCGCTGACTTCCCACGCCTTCCCCTGAGCTGGCAGGGACAAGCGTGTCTCCTGAGGGAGACCCACTCGGCCTGTGGTCTCCAGGTGTTCTTATCTAAAGCAGGAGTCGTAGCAGGCTCGTGTGACAAAATAACCGGCTGACCTTTCTAAAGTGAATCAGGTCTGGCTTGGGCGTCAGCCACCGCTACATCCCAGTCTGTGGCTGACGGGGCCCAGGCAGCCAGCGACCACAGGGGGTGGCTCAGCTCACTTCCTAGGCCTCCCTGAGGCTGGTGGGCAGCTGCTGCGTGCAGAGGAATCCATGAGCGAGGGTGGGACGCAGGCATCACTGAGCGGTTACCAGCCACACTACTTCTAGCCCGGGGGTCTCGCCAGGCTTCGGGGCACTCTGAGATAGCTCTGCCCCCCACCACTTTGGGGACCCCAGTCTAATAAAAGGTGCTCTCTGGGGCTGCTTTGACCTGGAGGTGTTCTTGTTTTCCACAGCGGGTGTCATCCTAATTGTGAGTCACGGCTCCACTCTGGACTCCTGCACGCGGCCACTGCTCGGGCTGCCGCCCCGGGAATGTGGGGATTTTGCCCAACTCGTGAGAAAGGTACGCGCCCACTCTTGGCTCTTTGGGCCACAAAATCAAGCATCCCGAAGACACAGGTTTATCTCATCCACTTCTCGGAATGAAAACAAGTGTCCGGCTGACCCAGGGCCACCAGGATCCACGTGCCCCCGGAGACTGTGCCCACCGGCTCTTATGCGAAGGGTGACTTCGGGCTGGGGCTGGTGGATAGGTCAGTCAACCTCATCATCATTGGCCACTTGCCAACTTTTTACCAGTCAGCTCATGCCATGACCCCTTGCAGCTCTCGTAGAAAAACAGACGGTCCAGGAAGGAGTAAGCAGTTTAGATGAGGAGGGAAGAAACGACTGTGGGACTCGATTCTGGCCTCTTCTGGGGACCTGGGGCAGGGCGGCTGATGGATGAAAAGGAGCCCCTTGATCCTCTTGCCCTTGGAGTCACCCAGCATGGAAGAAGCTTGAGCTGGTTGTAGCTGCCAGAGTGCTCAGGCTCTGGCAAGGGCCTTGTGAATGACAAACAGAGGATAACGCACACGTGACATCTTGGACAACCTTGATTATCACTCAGCAAAGCCAGAGGGTGATGTCCAGTCCATGGGTGAATTGAGGCAGGCAAACTCAGGAGTGCAGATCCCACCCCAGTCCCAGCCCTTCCCTGCAGATCTACTCAAGGCTGGACTCACCACAGTCCTGACCTTTTTATGAAATTCATCAGTCCACTGGTCAGTGCCCAGGCAGCACGTGCAGCATAGACAATGCCTGTCATCGGAGGTGCTTGAGGCCCTGACCTGGTTTCTTCACATAGCACTGCCACAGGACCACACTGGCCACAGCTTGTTTGCCATAAGTTGTGGGCAGCAGTGGGGGTTGCTGAGTCCCCCCAAGAGGTCAGGGGCTTCAGAGGAGCCCAACTCCCGGGCCCAGCCCAGTGACACCAGCCAGGTGCCTGCAGGAGGGCTTAGCTCTCTAGCTACGCCTGCCTCAGCAGCCAGATGAGAGGTTACGCACATGAAGAGCATGCCTGCCGTGGGTCATTGTCACTCAGCAATTAGGCATCAGACACCCGAATCTCCCTTTCTTGCTCCATTTTCCTCTGCACCTGAGTAGAAACATGCTTCCCCTGCAAAATGTCTCCAGGGTGGTGTGTCCCAATTATGATCCAGACATTTCCGAGCGCCCTGGATTCTTGAGCCACCAGGTGAGCATTGTCCAAATAGGGCAGCTCAACCCCCCTGGGCCACACTGGTAGAGGTCTGCATGGATTTTCCTGGGGACTGTCCGGGGCAGCCCCGGCACCACCTGCTCCCAAAATGTTGCTCTTGCTTCTGCAAATGGGTCTCCCACACATGCGCTCTGATGCATTCCTCCTGTCCCTGCCCCGCTTCCCACAGTCCCATATACACATACCAAGCCTCCAGCCCCAGGCGCTCCTGGGGGCCCACGTAACCAAGGGTGGCAGCACTGCACACACCAGCTGCTGACAGTTCCTCAAACCCATGAGCCTTTGTGGCCAAAGCTCCACCCACTCCTTGGACCCTTCACCCCCTTCCATAGATGCCAATCTTGAACTTCCAAACTCCTGGACTTTCTTATGCTGGTCACGTGGCGTTCACCCTGCCCCTACCCCAAAATAAGCTGGACTTGCTCATGCATATCAGAAAATACAAAGGGGGGGCTCTACCAAATGATGGGCCCCCAAATCAGGGCAGCTGGAAAGGGAGCACTCAGGACCCTCCCCGACCAGCCCATCACCGCCCCTCGCCCACAGCCTCTGCAAGCGTGAGGAAAGAATCACCCTAGGGTCAACACCAGCCTCACTCAGACCCCCCTGCCAGTTGGCATTTTTGTAAATTTCATCTGCCTGAGGAATTTCTAGACATTAGAAAGAGGAAGGAAAGAAAGAAAAGAAAAGACAAAAACAAAAAAGGCTTCACCACAAAGCTCTGTTCTCACACATCCATTTCACAGATGAAGGGATGGAGGTCTAAAGGTTCACTTTGTGCTTTTCTTTTGGGTCTGAAAACTCAATGTCTGTGTCTTTTTGTGATGCTGAATATGAGAATATGAGTCACTCCTTAAGTGGTGGATGGCAATCTCCACCTCAGCCTGCAGACCTTTGTGGTGGGGGCTGTTCTACTCATTGTAGGATGTACCACCTTGTAGGACCTCTACCTGCTAGGTGTCGGCAGCACCTCCATCCTCAGTTGTGACAATCAGAAATGTCTCCGGAATTACCCAGTGTCCCCTGGCTAGGGGACATCCCCCACGGGGCACCGCCAGGGCAGATGTTGGTGCCATTCAATGGTGGCAGTGCCAGCCTGGGCAGTCGCAGACCCTCCAAAGTAGAGGTGTGCCTGACAGTTGGCTTTGGAGCTAGTCTGAAATTGATGGACTTGCTATAAGATATTAACAAGTGATTTAAAACTCTGTTCCAGATCCCTTCCCTGGGCATGTGCTTCTGTGAAGAAAATAAAGAGGAAGGAAAATGGGAGTTGGTGAACCCACCGGTGAAGACCCTGACCCACGGGGCGAACGCAGCATTTAACTGGAGGAACTGGATCTCAGGCAACTGAGAGCCACGGTGATGTTGTCATAACCTCAGAGTGGAGAGGCAGAAACCATGTGCAGAGGCTGGGAGATGCTGCTGTTTCCAGAGGCGTCTTAGTCTCACCCAATGTGATTTGTAGAAGCACGAGACGCACTTTTATATCCCGGAATATTTCCCTCCGGCTTTCGCCTTTGTAACTCCCATCTGTGGACCCATCGTCCACCAGCCCAGCTGCGGGGAGCACAGGGCAGGTGGCTGGGTGAGGATGCCGCCCTGCAGCATGTACACCGAGTGTCTGCAGCTGGGGACACAACTGCCCGGGACTCTAACTTCCAGGAATTAAAGACTCACCACACACGAAGGATCTAACCACTTCATTTTCCATGGTCTAATCATTAAATTCCCAATCGTTTTTTCTTTTTCTGGGTCCATCACTCTTTAGCCATATCCACATGGGCTAAAACAGGTGTAATAGTCAATAAAATGGTCCCAGAAAACCATCGACCAGGTCAAAACTGGGTTGCTGCTCCGTGCTGTCAACATTCATGTTACTATGTCTCTGTGGTTGCTGTAACCAATGACCACAAACCTGGGGGTCATGGAAAGAACACAAACTTTACACACACACACACACACACACACACACAGGCACATACACACATGCACATATGCATACAAAGACAGGCACACACGAGCATGCACACACACAAACACGTGCACATACACATGCGCACACACATGCACACGCACATGCACACACACGCAGGTACACAAGCATGCAAACACACATACACATACAAACGCGTGCATGCATACATGCACACATGAGCACACAAACACATGCACACACTTGCACACATGCACACAAAGGCATACACATGCAATGCACACACACAAACACACATGCACACACAGGCACACACACGCTCACATGCACACACACACACGCTGACTCTCCTACGGTTCTGGAGGTTGGCATTTTCTCAGCAGGCTATGTTTCTTCTGGAGCCTCCAGGGGAGGATCCTTGCCTTTTCTCACTTTTAGAGGCCACCTGCATCCTCCCTCCTCAAGTACAGCGGCGTAGCAGCCTCCAAGCTCTCTCAGTCTCTGCCTTCACAGCCACATCGCCTTCTGCTTCTGACTCTCCTGCCTCCCTCCTACAAGGGCCCTTGTGTTGACACTGGGCCCACCCAATAACCCAGGATCAATTCTCATCTCAAGAGCCTTAACCACACATGCAAAGTCCCTTTTGCCACATAAAGTTGCATATTCCCAGGTCCCGGGGATTAGGACATGAACATCTTTGGGGGTTATCCTGTAGCCTGCCATAACATACCCCAATCCTTCCAAGCACAGCGGAGCTGCCCGTACAGGGCCTCGGACATAGGGATTTGAGACACTCCCCTTGCAGGCCTTTTTTGGCTTCTCCTATTCTTGTTTCTGATCACGTAGAGGAGAGAAGAGGACTTTGCCAGTGGGAGAAGTAGGCTCCCCCGATTTAATGGGGCCCCAAAAGAAGGGCCACGAGCAAAGTGGAGTCTGTCCATGATGGTGATGCTGAGGAAGCTGGTCCAGCAGGGGATGGGGTCTCCCCAGTGGGGAGTCTCATGCCCCAGCCCACAGGTCACACCTGCTCCCACAGCCCACACATGTGGTGCCTCATGCTGCAGGCAGAGATCCCAGCACGGTGTAGTGACAGTCCATCGGTCTTTCATCTCTTCTAGCCCCCTGATCCAGTGCAGGTGTTATTTCATGATTGCAGTTTGGGGCTGTGGTGGTGGCTCTGTGAGTGCCTTTTATAGTGTGAATGCAGAGACAGGGCAGGAAGGACCCATGCTGCACCCTCAGCCTCCCCTGTGAGCACCCAGGCAAGTGGAGGGCAGAACACAAAGGGAGCTCTTGTAGAAATAAAGATGGTGAACACCCCGGGCTGTGACAAAAACGGCCCACATTGTGTAGAATGCACAGGAGGCCAGACCCAATAAAAGTTTCCTTGCTGTTTTAGTCAATCAAACACGACCTCCTGAGAAAAAGACGCATCTGTCTGTCCCTTGTTTTATTTCACTAATGATGTAGTTTTTCTGTGTCCAAACATAAAGAAGTTTGAAGTTGACACAGCCACAGAGAGCAGAGCATGCACCCCACTCACAGGCCTGCTTCGAGTCCAGGCCATACCGAAATGACGTCTTCAGGGAGATTGTTCTAGACGCATCCCAGCAGATACCGACTAGAGAAGAGATGGATTCACTGGGATGTAGGTGGCTGGGCAGTACGTCCTGCAACAAATACACCCCACCGCTGGGCACCTGGGTGGTTGTTCTTTCTCCTCGGCAAGTGTGTGGTTGGGTCCAAGTCCCTCCTGGATACCACAGTGCCACGCTCGCTAATCATGATGATGAATTAAAGTGCTGCAAGTCAAGGTATGGCATTGAAATCACAGTCACGTGTTCAGGTGGTCTGTAATGAATCTCTGGATTCACCTTCTCAGGGGTGAAGCTTCCAGGTCCTCCACCCTGGGCAAAGCCAGACACAGGTAATTCCCCTCTCATCCTGCTGGGCTGCTCACAGGTTTTGCAAGGAGAATGAGATGGGTTTGAAACTCAGATCTCCAGATCTCCAGATCTAGTGTGCAAGAAATAGCATTTTCTCGATATTCTATGCTTCTGGTTCTGTCAGACCCTCATTCCACCCCCAAGGCAGAGGACCCCAGTTCAGTGGTTCTGTTCCTCCAGAAGGAACCATTCGCTGTATGGACTGAGCCTTGCGGACAGAGCTGGGCTGGAAAAGGGCAGAGACGGAAATGCCTGGTGGGATTATCATGATTGGGTGTAAACTGTCTACTCTATGAACCAATAGGAAATCCCAAAAAAAGAAAACAAAAGACACTCTTTTTTCCTTCCTCTCCCTGGGTGGGTCGCTTTGGTGTTTGTGAGCCAAGTCTGACCCCTGCTGACACCGTCTGGAAGTGGACGTCCTGTCACCAACGCCATCCCAACCCATGCCCCACCCACATTCTCTTGTTGACTTCCTCACTGTGTGCTTGAAAAAAAAAACAAGCCTGGGCCAGGCATGGTGACTCATGCCTGTAATCCTGGCACTTTGGGAGGCCAAGGCGGGCAGATCACGAGGCCAGGAGATCGACACCACCCTGGCCAACATGGTGAAACCCCGTCTCTACTACAATACAAAAACGTAGCCAGGCGTGGTGGCGCATACCTGTAGTTCCAGCTACTCAGGAGGCTGAGGCAGGGGAATCGCTTGAACCAGGGAGGCGGAGGTTGGAGCAAGCCGAGATCGCGCCACTGCACTCCAGCCTGGCGACAGAGCAAGACTCCGTCTCAAAAAAAAAAAAAAAGAAAAAGAAAAAAACAAGCCTGAAAGGGAATTCTACCAGCGTTCCCTGAGGCTGAGCGGATGACAATGTTGTTTTGCAGCTTAATGTTCCCCTCCGAGACCTGGTTCTTTGGAAAGATGGAAAGTGGTGAGAAGGGGGCGGAGCCGGCCTCAAGCTGGGCAGCCAAGGGGGCCAAAGGCCTAAGCCAGTGCCTGTCTCCAGGCTGCAGCCTGTGGTGCTGAAGAGCTTAAGGACAGGCCTGGGACCACCAAGCCAAGCACTGGCCCTGGCAAACACTGCTGCACTCGTCTAAGAAGAAAGAGCTATCATAACCGTCCACCAAAGTACATCTTATTTTAGAACCAAATTTGAGACTTTTTTAAACGTGATTCATATTGGTGCATATTATGGGCTGAGTTGAATGCTCCCTCCCCCACCCAAATTCAACCAGCCAACAATTCTGCAAGGATCAGAAGTCGGAAGAAAGGAAAATGGCAGCATCGAATGCACAGCCACAAATCCCAAGAAGGCCCCAGGAGCCTGGGAGTGGCTGCGGAGGAATTTAGGGCTGGATGGCCCACAGGACATGGTGAGAACCACTACCATGGGCTGAATTGTGTCCCCCTGAAAAGCTATGTTGGAGACTGATATGGTTTGGTTCTGTGTCCCCACCCAAATCTCATGTTGAATTGTAATCCCCAGTGTTGGGGGAGGGACCCTAACCCTAACCCTATAAACATGGTATTTTTTATATCCTCATATCCTCATACCATATTTAAACCTATGGTAAGCACCTGCTCTTCCACAGGAACAGCAGATAACTGGAAATCTTAGAGGCCTTCCCAGAACTGGGGTTCATCAGAACATGGGTGGCTCCTGACCCATCACTCCCAGACCCAGAGCTTATGCACCATAGGGGAGAGGTGGTTCAGAAGGGATGTGCAGGACAACTAAAGTACAGTAACATCGAGGTCGCTTGACCTGAGGGCAGGACCTATGGTAAGTACCTGCTTTTATGTAGGTATATACAGTAAAGGGAGCAGTCATAGCAGTGGGGGAAGGAAGGTGATTAAATAAATGACACTGGGACAACTGGATCACATTTGGGGAAAAGAAGGTTGGAATCACTCCTCATTCCTCATACCAAAAAAAAACATCAAAGATTTAAATATTTAAAAAAAAAGAAATCATGGGCCGGGCGCAGTGGCTCACGCCTATAATCCCAGCACTTGGGAGGCCAAGGCAGGTGGATCACTTGAGGTCAGGAGTTCGAGACCAGCCTGGCCAATGTGGTGAAACCCTATCTCTACTAAAAATACAAAAATTAGCCAGGCATGGTGGCAGGCACCTGTAATCCCAGCTACTCAGGAGGCTGAGGCAGGAGAATCACTTGAACCTGGGAGGCGGAGGTTGCAGTGGGCCGAGATCACACCACTGCACTCCAGTCTGGGCGGCAGAGTGAGACTCCATCTCAAAATAAATAAATAAATAAAAATAAAAACTATCATAGAGTTAAAAAGTAAAAGGTAAGCTGGGAAAGCTCTGTGCTTCTCATGCCGCCCAGTTCCAGCCCACCCCCTCCAGGAAGCCCTCCTGGCCGCCAGCCCACCTTGCTGCCCCTGAATCCCAGCTCAGGCGTCCTCTGCACAATTCATGTCAGTCGTGTCTGCCTTGTCCTGTTGTTGCGGTCTCTCATCGTCTTGTCTGTCACTCCTTCCCAGGGGTTGCAATAGTGACCGTGTGCCGGGCTTCCAGGCAGCCCCAAGTCCAGTGGGACCAGTGACCCCCCTGCAAAGCTTCTCTGCTCCTATAGGCCAGGATTTCCCAGCCTTGGCACTATTGACATTTGGGGCCAGATACATCTTTGTCAGAGGACGCCCTGTGCATTGTGGGATGTCCAGCAGCATCCCTGGCCCTCCCCTACTGAAGCAGCAGTACGTCCCTCACCCCAGCCCACCAGTTGTGATAAACAAAGATGTCTCCACATGCTGCCAAATGTCCCTGGGGGAGCAGGATCATCCCCAGCTGAGAAGTACCGATGTATTCCCTTCACAGGTCTGCATGGAACCCTGGCCTCAGGGCTCCCACCAGGGCACTCAGGCATAGCGCGAATGGGCACAGGTGTGTTAGGAGTCTGGAGTCGCACATGTGCACTCCTGCTGAGCAGACAGACCTTTATGGAGACGAAGGTTGGAAAGGAATCGGTGCACATCTCGAGCTGAACACTTGTGTGATGCTGCTACGGAGGAAGTCCGAGCAGAACTGGAACTTTGCGGACACTGCCCCTGGACGTAGGTGTGGGCCTGGGCAGGGGGAGCCACGCGGAGGTGCGACCAAGTCCTGCACGGACCTCACTGCCTCCGTGTGATGTGGTGGCTGTGCTGTGAGGGCAGCTGAGCCCTGTGTCCAGCCTCGTAGTCCTCTTGGCTGGCCCCACACTCAAATTCTAGAACATTTAAGTGCAGTGCACCGTGGACACCACGAGGCTCCACACTGTTGGACTCCAGTCCTTTAGCCCAGCTGGGAGCAGCCCTGACACAATAATTCTTCAACAGAGGCTTCTCCTTAACCCTGTCTCATGCTTCTCCTCTCCCCTCATCCCCAAGGCCGACAGATGGTGGCTGCACACACATTCAGGAGATTGCAGGAAATAATTTCCAACAGCAAATGAGACATTAATTATTCAATGCAGATAAACATCAACAACAGCGCTTCATCCAAAGGAATTCCACTGGGATCCAGGGGCTCTGAGTTGGAGCCCAGTTCGGTCCTCTACTCATGGTGACCTCAGACACAGTCTCTGTGTCTCGGGCTCACTGCTGTAAAATCATGCGGCCTGTCGATGGGTCCATGTCACTTGCAGCATCTTAGTCCTCATTCTGGAGGACACGTGCCCTCTTAGCAGTGAGCCCTGGAGGGGCTGACTCGCAGTGTCTGCTGTGTTTTCCAGTTTCCATGATGTAAATGCACCAGGGCTGATTCTGGGCTGCCAGTGTTTTGACAATTGATTTGCAGACTGCGTGAAAATTTAAAACTCAGCTCTCTTGAGCTGATATGAGCCACCCCAGCCCACCCCTGCAGCAGGCACGAACGTTAGTTTGCAGGGAGAGGCCAGCTGAGCTGCTGCACAGACCTGCTGGGATCATCACAGCTGTGCGCTTCAGGCCAGTGCCTCTTCCTGTAAAAGGAAACAACATTCTCTCTACAGAGGATGGAAGGACAGAAGGGCTGAGGCCCATGTGCAGGCGGGGTCAGGAGAGAGAGGAGGCCAAGTCCCTGGGTCTAGGAAAGACGGGTGGGTGGAGCCAGGCCAGGGGCACTAAGTGGAACGCTGTCTGCTCCCTGCGGAGCACTGGACAGACTTTTGGTTCCAGGGATTCATCCCGAGCTGTGTCTCTTCCGGGATCCTTGGCCAGCAGCGACTCTGGCACCTGGAGCACACCTGAAGAGAGCCCCCAAGCTCTCGCCTCTCTCCAGCCCTGCTATCCAACCAGATGTTCCCACTCCTGCTCCTCCCTGCCTCATCGCCTCAGCCGCCCGGGGTGAGCCACCTACTCTCCCAAGGCAAGACACAGCCGGCATGCTTCACACACTCACCTTGAAGTTCAGGGTTGGAAGGTCAGTCCATCCAGCTGAAGTTCACTGCTAGAGATGTAATTGAATCAGCCCTGGCAGGAGCATTTGGACCACAGGAATAGGTAAACACGGCTGCGAGTCAGCCCCTCCAGGGCTCACTGCTAAGAGGGCACATCGTGTCCTCCAGAATGAGGACTAAGATGCTGCAAGTGACGTGGACCCATCGACAGGCCACATGATTTTACAACGGTGGGCCCGAGGCACAGAGACTCTGTCCGAGGTCACCATGAGTAGAGGACGGAACTGAGCTTTAACTCAGATCCCAGTGGAATTCCTTCGGATGAAGCGCTGCTGTTGTTTATCAGCATTGAATAACTAATGTCTCATTTGCTGTTGGAAATTATTTCCTGCAATCTCCTGAATGTGTGTGCAGCCGCTGTCTGCCGGCGCGTGGGGGGTTCTTCATGAAAAGTGAGAGGGGTCCAGCTGTGTGAAAGGCCTTTGCAAATTGCCACAGCAAACTCCCAGAATTATGATGTACTTCTTCCTGTGTGGTTCCAAGTAAATGCCACTTCCGGCTGTCCAGTACCATTTTTTCCTAGGACTTAAGGCCACAAAAATGGATTAAGAAACACACATGTATACATGCAATCTTCCTGGTGAAGTCTTCAAACAAAGTTCTCCAAGAAGTCATTAAAAAATTAATCATCTGGAAATGTCATGTTTCTCCTTCTCTCTCCAAAATGTATTTCTTTCAACCATTAACTCATTCTCTTTCATTGTGTCCCATAGTGAGACAAAACTGTGTTAGGACAATAAACCAAGCAATTTTCCAAAGAAGCTATAGCACGAAAGCAACGTAAATCCCGAAGGAGAAACGCCTGCGAATGAGCTCACCGAAGGCACACTCTCCTCCCAGGAGCCTCCCCGGAGAGGCAGCCCGTTTATTTGAGTTAGTGATTTTGGAAGACACACTGCACTTTCTTTGCCTCCAGCTATCCTTGAGCCATTTTGTTCTCCTTGCGAGGTACTGATAGCACTTATTATCTAGAAAATATAACCAGACTTTGAGGAGAGGCAAGGGGCCCTATAAATTATTTATTTTTTTGCTTCTCAAACTCTGGACCGAGGACCAGGATTACAGGCATTGCCTGGAAGCTTGTTACAAATGCAGGGCCTCAGGCACCCCCGTCTCCGTGTCAGCAGCTGTGTCTTAGCAGGATCCCCAGGGCATTGCCTCACAGTCAGGGTGGTGCAAAAGTCCCGCCTGGCATCCTGGTGAGTGGACCAGGAGGGGGCAGGTGAAGGCGATATTATTGGTCCTTCGACTCCAGACAAGAACTTGCAGCTTAGCCTGAGGAAAGAAATTAGCCCATATGATGAAACACAATCTGATGACGTAAGGATTTTTGTACTTATGCCCACATGTTTAGACATGGCAGCCCGCATCCTCTTAAACCTGAACTTTAACATACCGTGACTTAGAGCCACAAACAACAAAACAGAGGGCAGGAACCAGAGTTCTCCAGAGAAACAGCCAGTGGGAAACAGGACCCACATCCATACGGATACAAACATACAGATACAGGCTGGGAGAGGGAAGGAGAGAGGGGCATTGGCTCACACTCTTACAGAAGCTGAGAAGCCCCACGATCTGCGGGAGCTGTTGGCCTCCCGTCTGGAGGCCAGTAGGCTCGAGACCCAGAGAGAATCGATGTTTTCATTCAAGTCCAATGGCAGGAAAAAGCCAATGCCTCAGTTCAAAGGCCGTCAGACATGAGGAGTTTCCTCTTAGCCTTTTGTTCCATTCAGACCTTCAACTGATTGGATGAGGCCCACCCACCCTGGGGAGGGCCGTTTGCTTGACAGTCTCCTGATTCGAATGTTCGTCTCATTCAGAAACCTCCTCACACACCCCCAGAGTGACACTGGGTCAAAACGTCTTTGCACCCTGCAGTCCAGTCAAATTCACATGTGCAGTTGAGCTTCACATTGGGCATTTCTGCCCTGGTAATGTCCTCCCATTACCAAAAACCTGGTATTTGTCCTTCTTTTCAGTGGGTTTCACAGCCCAGCAGCAGCTGGCCCTCTTGTAGAGCAGCAGTTCCCAGCCTTTTGGCACCAGGGACAAGTGTCGTGGAAGAAAATTTTTCCACAAACCAGGGTGGGGTGGGGGTGGGGAATGGTTTTGAGATGATTCAAGTGCAATTACATTTATTGTGCACACTTTATTTCTATTATCACGTTGTAATATATAATAAAATAATTATACAACTCACCATAATGTAGAATCAGTGGGAGCCCTGAGCTTGTTTTCCTGCAACTAGACAGTCCCATCTGGGGGTGATGGGAGACAGTGACAGATAATCAAGCATTAGATTCTCATAAGGAGCTCACAACCCAGATCCCTCACATGCACAGTTCACAGTAGCGTTCACAGTCCTATGAGACTAATGCCACCACTCATCTGACAGGAAGCGGAGCTCAGGCAGTAATGAGAGCAATGGGGAGTGGCTGTAGATACAGACGAAGCTTCACTTACTCATCCACCCACTGCTCATCTCCTGTTGTGCAGCCTGGTTCCCAACAGGGGTTGGAGGCCTCTGTTACAGAGGACCCTCTCCTGACCGCCAATGAGACCCATGAGCTCACCGTCTTGTCTGCCCTTCCACAGCCCACGCTCCCTCCTCAGCCCACGCCCCCTCCTCAGCCCACACTCCCTCCTCAGGCTCAGCACTGGGAAGAGTTCGTCCTTCCTCACCTCAGCCCTCAAGTGTGGAGTCCGGCGCCTCAGTCATCCACTCAACAGACATTTATGAGGGAATGTTTGGGTGCCATTAACACTGCTGGGAAAGCAGCAGTGGATCAGATACAAGCTCACTCTCAAAGAGCTTATATTTCAGTGGAAGGTGGTGAGCAATGGACTAATAAGCCAGTGAACACGTAACACCTCCTCTGCCAATACGTGAGGTGAAGAGAAGACAGCAGAGAGGGGGACAGAGGCGGAATACAAATGTTATGTTAGCAGTGAACAATCAGTAAGTAAAATAAAAACATCACTTATAGTAGCATAAAGAAACCAGAAGCAAAAGAGGATGTACTGCATGATTCAATTTATATACAACTATTTAGAGACAAATCCAATCTGTGGTGACAGAAAGCAGCACATCAGACGCTTAATGCTGGGAGTAGGGGAATGGATTGCAAATGGGCACGAAGATATTTTCAGGCTGACGGGAATCTGTGTGCTGATTGTAGGGTGGTATATTAGTCTGTTCTCACGCTGCTAATAAAGACATACCTGAGACTGGACAATTTATAAAGGAAAGAGGTTTAATGGACTCACAGTTCCACATGGCTGGGGAGGCCTTATAATTATGGCAGAAGACGAAAGGCACATCATACATGGCAGCAGGCAAGACAGAGAATGAGAGCCAAGCGAAAGCAGAAGCCCCTTATAAAAATCATCAGATCTTGCAAGCCTCATTCACTACCACGAGAACAGTATGGGGAAAACTGCCCCCACAATTCACTTATCTCCCACCAGGTCCCTCCCCAACATGTGGGAATTATGGGAGCTACAATTCAAGATGAGATTTGGGTGGGGACACAGCCAAACCATATTAGGTGGTCACATGGTTGCCTACATTTGTCCAAACTCATTGAACTGTTCACTTAAAATGGATGTTTTACTGTCTACAAAATATACTTCAAGAAAGCTGATATAACATGTTTTTAATTTTTTAATTAGATTGGGATATTAGGCTACTGGTACCAATGCCCAAGGGCTTCCCGTGGGCCCCACGGAGGGCCAGCTCTTGTCACACCCACCGGGTGAGGCACAGAGAGGCCAGTGTTCCCTGAACCCATAGCCAATGGCAACTGATAGAGCACTTTACATATATCTTTATGATGGTTAGGGTATTTGGATGATTCTGTTAATTTCTGAGTTGTCTACATTTTGGGGCGTTGGTTGAAAGCGACACTCTTACCATGTTCGCACAACACAGGAGCCAGATTTCGAAGTGGCACAGGCAGTCTAGGGTTGTAATTACATGAGCTCAGGTTGGTTCCTCCGTCCCTTAGCCACCAACCCCCTTCCAGTCCCTCTTCCACATACCTCTCTTCATTCTGCGCTGTATTATTATTATTATTATTATTATTATTATTATTAAAGATGGAGTCTCACTCTGTTGCCCAGGCTGGAGTGCAGTGGCATGATCTCCGCTTACTGCAAGCTCCGCCTCCCAGGTTCACACCATTCTCCTGCCTCAGCCTCCCGAGTAGCTGGGACTACAGGCACCCACCACCACACCCGGCTAATTTTTTGTATTTTTAGTAGAGACGGGGTTTCACCATGTTAGCCAGGATGGTCTCAATCTCCTGACCTCCTGATCCACCCAACTTGGCCTCCCAAAGTGCTGGGATTACAGGCATGAGCCACCACACCTGGCTGCTGTATTATTATTTACTCACATACATATCTTGCCATGACGTTGCAGGGATGCAACATGAGTTTACTACTCCATGCTCCTTCCACATAGCCACCCCCACTCCTGCCCAAGCCTGACTCCATACGCAGTGTTTGATCATAGTCCCCATTCCATAAACTGTGGTCATATTAAAAGTGAATAAAATAATCCCCAGAGTTTAGTTGTGTATCATTCTATTTCAATAGTTGTTTTTATTGTGGTGGTAAAACTAATATAACCTAGTTATAACACTCTTTATGATATTAATATAGCCTCTAATCTGTCAAAGTTTCTAATTTTGTGGGCACTCCTTTTTATTGTATTTGCAAAAAGCAGTAAAATCCGGGAATGCAGTGTACTCTTGTTCCCGGACCAGGCTGAGTGTCGGGCAGCTATTTCTTGTGGCCCAATAATGAGATGCAGATGAACTGGGGAGGAGGAGAGTTTTTATTTCTGAAACCAGTTACAGGGAGAAGGCCTGGAAATTATCACTAGACCAACTCAAAATTACAAAGTTTTCCAGAGCTTGTATACCTTCTAAGCTCTATGTCTACATGTAAGTGTGCATTCATCTGAAGACTTAAGTGATTAACTTATTTTAATCTGTAACTAATGTCTGAGTCCTGAAGACCTTCCTCTGCAGCCTCAGTAAATTTACTTATCTAAATGAGTCCAGGTGCTGGGGTGATTACCCTTATCTTGACTTCTGCTAAATCTTGGAGGTCTGGGGAGTTCCTTCAGACTTCCAATAAACTTGTTTGTGGAAGCCTGGGGAGTTTTTTAACCCCAGTAAAACTTGTTTAATCCTAAATGGGTCCTGTTAAGAATTCTTTCATTATTTTGTCATGCGTTAAGGCCCAGGAAAGGCCTGGGCAAAACCCTTGGTGGGCTTTTGTTACATTTCAGCCTTTGTATAGGGGCACTGGCTTTTCTTAGCTTTTAATATTTAACTTAACTACTCGGTCAGTACTGAAGCAGTTGTTATGGAGGCCTGCGTTAGTGAAACCTGGCCTTCCACACTCTGTTTTACATACTCTTACAAATCCAAGTTCTAGAAAATTGTTTTCAAATAAATTTATCTTACGCAGCAGCTGTGTTCTGGATTGCAAGTGGATAAAATGAAACTGAGTGGATTTAACCATGCAGCACCAATAACTACCAGGTAGGGGCTTCCCACGTGGAGGTGTCAAACGAAGTTCGTTCCCTGCACTCCCTCATGCAATCCTCAAGGCAACATGTGAGATTTGCAATGAAGAAATTATACAACACGCAGAGATCACAGAGCTAGCTAACTGTGACGCTGATGTAACCTGGAAGTTACCAGTCTTTGAACTGGACGACTGTTACACTGAGCCGTGAAAGCTGATGGTTCTCAAAATGTGGCCCCTGGACTAGCAGCACCTGTCCCCACTGGAAACTTGCTGCAAATGCACATGCTCAGGCGTGGATCCGAAATTTGGGATGGGGCCCAGCCATCTGTGATTGGACAGGTTCTCCAGGTGATTCTGATGCAGCTCAACCTGAGAATCATTTCTCTTGGGGAAGTGGCTTTGTGGAGGAATGCCACTACAGATCCAATACAAAGAATGGCCCTGGGAGGTTGGCAGTCAGGTGTTCAGGTCAGGTTTCCTCAAAGGCAAGACTCCTATATGACAGGAAGATGATCCTGCGACTTCATAACTACAGATGTGTGTGTGTATATGTATCTATGTGTGTGTGTCTATGCCATTTGTATACACGTGTTTTTTTTTTTTCTTCCTACAATGTGATGAAGAATCAAATTGCAGGCTCTTCATCCACAGAAATTCCCCCTTGTGATCTGAGGCTCTGCCGAGCAGTGGCCCCTCCCCAAAGCAGCCCCAGTTCTCCACTTCCCTCCTGGCCCCCACCCTTGATCATGGCTCCTGAGCATTTTGGGTTTTGTCCAGGGGCTCACTAAGAGCTCTGAGTAGGAAGTTCTCGCTACAAAGATTCAGCTGTGGGCGAAAACCGTATCATTTCCCCAGGTGACGTGGGGTGTGAGGGCAGGGCTGGAGTGCCCCGGGTTCACTGGGGAGCTGCAGAGACTATCACTTGCCTTCCAGGAACCCTTACCGTGTGCCAGCTTCCACAGGACTGTGGTGGAAATGTGGTCAAGGTCTTAGGAGCAGGCCACACAGGGATGGTTCATGCACTGAGGGAGGGGTGTGGAGCCTCTGATTCTGATGGGACTCCCAGGGGTGCTCACAATGGCAAATGGGCTGCTGTTACCTCCTAGCACTGGACTCTGGGTCACCCGCAAGTGTAGGTCACTTCCTTGCTGGTCAGTAATGGGGCACAAGTCACCACAGCAGGCGCCGCTCCTGAAACTCTCTTCAGGGATAGCACGGGCGGAAGTGCAGGCAGCAGGCAGAGCGTGGAGGTCCGTGTGGTGCTCAGTCACTATGGCAACTAGAGATCACAGAGCCACAGTCACCATCCCCCTAGGGCACCTGCCCAGGGAAAAGGAGAAATGTAAAACCACAAGCATACAATTAAGAACAGGTGCAGAGACCCAGCGGCTTCCAGGGCAGCTTTGAAGGGATCCCTCATCTCTCTGGTCCCAGGACATCTGTGCCAAGGGCCAAGCATGGGCCTGATTATAAGGAGCAGCACTGAGGTTCCGATTAAATGCTCAACCCTGCCTGATCTCTTACCAGGAAAGGGTGTGATATGTCCCCACCCAAATCTCATGTTCAATTGTAATCCCAAGTATTGGAGGTGGGGCCTGGTGGGAGGTGACTGGATCATGGGGGTGGATTTCCACCTTGCTCTTCTCGTGATAGAATTCTCACGAGATCTGGTTTCAAAGTGTGTGGCACCTCCTCCTTCTCTCTCTTCCTCCTGCCCTGATCTTGTAAGAGGTGCCTGCTTCCCTGTCGCCTTGCGCCATGATTGTAAGTTTCCTGAGGCCTTCCCAGCCATGCTTCCTATACAGCCTGCAGATCCCTGAGTCAATTAAACCTCTTTTCTTTATAAATTACCCAGTCTCAGGTAGTTCTTTACAGCAGTACAAGAACAGACTAATACAAGGTGTCCATGGGGAAAGACACATGGAGAGATTTGGGCAGAGAAGAAAGAGAGGCTGGAAATTTGGAGCTGCCAATTCCCCTGAACCCCTGTTGTCTACAGAGGCAGCTCCCCTTTGCTCTCCCTTCTCTTTCTCCCCTCCTCTCTCCTCCTTTCACCTCCCATCCCCCATGGAACCCAACACTCCTCTATTAAAAAGCCTTGCAATGACTGCACCTGGGGAAGTTGCCTCCTGAGCTGATGCCACTTCCCCAGGACCCACATCACACCTCTCATTGCCTCCAGTCCCAGAAAACAGTTGAGACCATCAGAGGCAGGGTGAGGAGGGCCCAAGACCCCCCTGGGAGGAGATTGCCTCAACATGGAGCTGCAGGTCCACTCTAGCAGGTAGCAGCTAGAGCCTGGGAGCAAGTGTGGGGTGGAGTCTGACAGTGCCTGCCCCACATGGAAGAGAGCGAGCCTGGATTAGGCTGGGTTTCAGGGTTTAATATGTTGGCTCAACCCCTGAGAAAGTGGTTAATAATCCTCCAGGTTGGCTAATTGGACAAAGTTAATGAGATTGAAAAGCTTGAAATCCTGGCACGCTCTAGAGAACAGAGCTCAAAGACTCAAGGAAATAGAAATGTAGAAAGGTGCCTACTATTTGCAACTGACTCAGACCTTCCCTAATATGCTTCTTCCCCAAGGGGCCCGGAGGAAGAGAGGAAATGCATTGGTGAGTCCTTCACCAGCTCTGTGGGCCGTCCTCTGTGGGCTGGAGGCAGCGCCACTCTAAGCACCAGAGTAGGGGCGGCTCTTAACCATCAGAGACAAGGCAGGTCTCAATGCCCCAAGGAGCGAGGGATCGCAGGTAACAGTATTTTGACCCATAATTGTCTATGGCAATGGGTCCTTGGTCACAGGCACCCCAGACATGAGACAGAGACCTACTAAGTGCTGCTTGACATATTTAGGTGGGGAAAGCCCAGGTCTGCTAGGAAGAATCCTGCCTCATGGCTAAATCCCAGGTACCAGACTTAAGGCGGTTTGCCACCTTTATCACAGGGTTCCAACATGAGGGCCCTTGAACTCTCCTATGGCGAGAGGCCATCTGTTTCCTGCTGGGATCCTGACTGAGAGGATGGTGCCTTCACAGACCTCACATTTCAGTGAGGGGGAGGGTCAGCACAAAGGTAATTATGCAAATTAACACAGCAGGAAGTTCTCCTTATCAGGAGATAAACAGTACAAAGTCATGCACAGCATATCCTGTTAAACCAAAATACAAAGTAAATAGTGAGAAGTAGGGTTTGATTTAGAGTCTATCTTGATCAATTAAAAATTATGAACATTGGTCCATTTTACCTTGTATTTTGAAAAGGTAAATTAGGCAAAATTGCAACTATGCCCAAATTCTTAAAATAATAGTAAGTCAACATTAATGGTGGCAGTAGAGTTCTTATACATTTTCTGACTATGTTTTATGATAGCAGAACGCAACATTTTTAACTTCATGTTTGACTTAATACATCATGTGTTCAGCAAAAGAGTCATTTTTACAAAAATATGTATGGCCTTTAATTTTCCCAAGAGCTCTTCATCATCCTTTGAATTAAATTATTTGTTTTGTCAGGGCTGGTTTGTTTCTGTTTGTTTGTTTTTTCTTTTATCCCCCTAAGTAAGGAAACAAAGGACTAGTTGTTGACAGTCTCATACCCTATTGTTACTTAGTCTCATTTTTCCAGAACCTCCTTTGTCAGTAGCTTTGTGTATAATTTGAGTAGTCCCCCACATAATGTTAATCAATTCCATGAAACCTTACAGCGTTTCCAAGATTGAAAATTTCCCTTTGCCATCCATTGGTGTTATATTTGTATTGTGTTGTGGAAAATTTGACAATCAGAAAAACTGATTGCCAAGGGCGTGGACACAATGGTTAGAGGCAGAGAGATGCTCAGGCTAAACAGGGCAGGTGTTCAGTGAGGGTGCAGCCTTTAAATGGTGCGTTTGTGGCAAATATTTTCAAGGCAGTCTGACCACTTTTGCTTCTCTACCAACTTTCTAATACGGGGTCCGAATAACGAATGCTTGGAGGGCATCCCTGGCCTACCCCAGCCCCAGGCACAGTGCCTGGCACACCCTTAGCTTTCCAGAAATAGTTATTGACTGGATGAATTGCTAATTATGGTAAATGGCATTGGTAAAAAAAAAAAAAAAAACTTCAGCCAAATTAAATTTAAAGGAGTTTAATTGAGCAATGAATGATTTGCGATGCGAATCAGGCAGCCTTCTGAGCCAGGGTAGGCTTAGAGACTCCAGCTACGTGATGGAAGCATATTTATGGACAGAAAAAGGAGAGTGAAGTACGGAAAACAGAAGTGAGGTAGGGATGCAGCTGCATTGTTTACAGCTCGGCATTTGCCTATTTGGATACAGTTCGAACAGTTGGCTGCATTTGATTGGCCAAAACTCAGTGATTGGCACAGGTGTAGGCCAATCTGCTTACACCTCCACTTGTTAGTGTTCACGACTTACAGAGAACCCTTTAGGCTGAACTTAAGTATGTACGGAGGCTAAACCTGGTTTAACAGCATAAAGAAAAACAAAAGAGCCAGGAAAGAGGACACCAGAGAGGCCTTAAAGAGTCTAGAGGCAGGGAAGGCCTCTGTGCGGGGTGAAGTGGGAGGAAGTGGCTGAGGAAAAGAGGAGCATGGGGCAGGAAGTACGGGTCAGGTCGGGCGAGGGTACCACGTGTGAGTGTGAGGCAGGAGCGCAGCAAGGTGGAGATGGGGAAGGCGCGATGACGTGGGCCCTGCAATGACGCTTGTCTCTGTAAACCACAGAGCAGCAGCGGTGGACAGGGACAGAGGCAGTAAACACAGGGCATGGTCCCCTCCCCACCCCAGGGCCAGCAGCCCTAAGGAAGAGTGACTTAGGAGAGTAGTGGCTGACCAGCTCCAGCAGGGCCTGGGGTCTGTAATCCTGCTTGAGGGCTTCCAGAATTCCAGTGCTGCATGCTACTTTAGGTTTAGAAATAAAAGTATTCAGCTGGGTTTGGTGGCTCATGGCTGTAATCCCAGCGCTTTGGGAGGCCAAGGCGGGAGGATCGCTTGAGCCCAGGAGTTTAAGACCACCCTGGGCAACATAGCAAGACCCTGTCTTTACAAAAAATAAAAAAAATGAGACTGGCTTGGTGGTATTCACCTATAGTCCCACTACTCAGGAGACTAAGGTAGCAGGATCTCTTGAATTAAGAGGTTGAGGGTATAGTGGGCTGTGATTGCACCACTGCACTCCAGCCTGGGGAACAGAGTGAGACCCCATCTCTTAAAAAAAAAAAAAAAAAAGAAAAGAAAAGAAAGAAAAGCATTCTCATAGTGTGATTCCCTTGTACCTGTAATAGGTCCATTGCCTGATGCACTCTGCAAATCAATATGCTAAGACCCTGGGCTGCAGCAGAGAAAGAGGCTTAATCATGGGGCTACCAGAAGAGGAAATGGCAGGAAACCTCAACTGTATCTCCCCAAGGAGTGTGGGGCTAGGGTTTTTAAGGGTTTTGGCGTAGGCTGCAGTGTGGAGATGGTTGATAGGTTGGAGAGTGGAATGAAGCCGTGGACAGGGAGATGGAAAAATGGTGTTCTCATGCTGACTCGGTTCCTGTTGTGGGGATCTTCAAACCGGTTGGCAACAGCTGTTCTGCTGGAATTCAGGATCTGCTTAAGCAATTCTTAAACAGAAGCCTTACGATTCTAACAGCAGGGAAGTTCCTGTCTAGAGGAACAGTGGGGTGCAGATGGTTGGTATCTCATGCTATGGGACTTTCCCTTACAAGGAAGTGGGTCAAAGTGTAGCCTGATTAATGTTTAATTGTAACGATATTTCTGTCCAGAACTATTCTTAACCCTGAACCATGGCTCCACCATGATTTCAGATAGCAGCAGCAGCAGCTCCCTTCACCCTCCGCCTTTCTTTCTTTCTGCACCCTTTTCTACCTTCTGTCCCTTCCCTGCCTCCCTCTATTAATGGTGCCCTGACCACAGTTCCTCCCCTTTCTCCACTATCTACTTGCCCACTCAAAACCACCACCATAACCACAAAATGCTGTGTGCAGTCCCAACAAGAGTGTCCTCTGAGGCTGCGATCTCAGGGCAGGAGAACAGAGAAGTCATCCAGGGTCAGGGCCAGCCCTCATACCAGCTGGGGGAAGAGCAGGTGGAGTTGAAGGGTTTCTCCAAGGTGGAGGTCCCAAAACCCCCTCTCAGGAAGGCATTGATGCAGGGCGGTGCTAGACATCCCCTAGACAGGCTCCGGTGAAACTGCCTTTGCAGTATATTATGACAGTAAGAGAAGTCTGACATCATTGACTCTATCTTGCTTCTGACTACCACGCCATCCTTGGTCATTCCTGGGCACAGGCCAAGCTAACTTTGGGGAGAATTTATAGTTTAACTTGAAAGCAAGGATGATAACAGTCCCTTCCTAAAACTAACCCCATCCATGCTCAGGAACTGAAAACCACCTTGTAAGACTAATGAAAGGCCACAAGAATAGGATTGTAGGAGGGACCTGAATTCTGCTAAAATGTAGGCATAGTGGCCGGGCGCGGTGGCTCACGCCTGTAATCCCAGCACTTTGGGAGGCCGAGGTGGGTGGATCATGAGGTCAGGAGATCGAGACCATCCTGGCTAACAAGGTGAAACCCCGTCTCTACTAAAAATACAAAAAAGCCGGGCGCGGTGGCGGGCTCCTGTAGTCCCAGCTACTCGGGAGGCTGAGGCAGGAGAATGGCGTGAATCCGGGAAGCGGAGCTTGCAGTGAGCCGAGATTGCGCCACTCCAGTCCGCAGTCCGGCCTAGGCGACAGAGCGAGACTCCGTCTCAAAAAAAAAAAAAAAAAAAAAAAAAATGTAGGCATAGTTTCTATAATCCCTTCTTTCCAGGGGCCATATGGGGATTTGTGATTTTTCCCAATTGCTTCTATAAATAACATCACTATTGTAAAACCTAAGTGTTTTTTTTTTTAATTATTATTATTTTTCCAGACTGACCCTTTGGGGATCTGGGACTCATGACTCAACCGGTCTTGTGGCCCCACCCAGATGCAGACTCAGTACATGTGGACCATTTTCTGCACCCCTGTGATTTCATGCCTAACCAATAAGCAGCACCCATTCCCTAGCCTCCTGCCCACCAAACTGTCCATAAAAACCCTAGTGTCCAAGGCTTTGGGGAGAATGATTTGAGTAGTAACTCCAGTTCTTCTGCGTGGGCCAGCCTCGTGTCAGTGACACCTCTTCTCTACTGCAATGCCGTGGCCTCGGTAAATTGATTTTGTCTGTGCAGTGGACAGGAAGAGCCCATCGGACGATTACACTGGCCGGGGGCCTGCTCTGAGGATGCTGACGCCAAGGAGACTCAAGAGAGCTGGCAAAGGCCGGGAACAGCCCAAGGTGGTAAAGATACCTGAAATAAGAATCACGCACATCTTGAGATCAAGATGAATATCTTAATATTTCAGCTTATGATAAAGACATTTGGTGATCGAAACTTTTCTCTACCCAGAGTCAGTCACATGCTGCAGTCAGTCTCCATATCTGGTCAGCTCCTGCCAGAGCCAACCCTTCTGCAGACAGCAGCTGTCCACGCTGGAGAAATTACAAAAAATAACTGCCTGATGCCAGCGGAGAGTGAATAAGATGAAACCAATTCTGGAAGGGCGTTGACACTTGGAAGAAAGGAGGGCAGCAGGGAGCTTCTGTCATGAAGGCTGTGGTGGTGGCGGTCGTAGCCATGACAAATGACCAAAGGAAAACAGAAAACCGCAGGCTTTCTGGTCTGCAGAGCCAGCAGACTAAGCTCATGGCAGCCGCAGCTGATAAAAAGCAAGTGAGCACCCAGGACAGAAAAGGCCACAAGGAGGAGCCTCAAATCCTGTGGGTAAACTCTGCCCAAATTAGATCATCAGAGCTTCAGCCTTTGGTGACAGAAGCCCTCATCTGCACGTCTTCCCAGCAAAATGGAAAGCGAGCATTCCCCATACAAAAACCAAGTGCACTAGACTTCCAGCCACTGGGCTGAGCTCTTCCCCCAACTCCGACTCTCCACCGCTCCCAGCTGTCCTAATTGAAACTCAGAGTGGAATACCAAGGTCTTTTTAAAACAAACAAACAATATTCAAACTTCTCATCAAGGACGCAGTTGAGAAAACAGCAACAGTTTGTTGTTGAGCCACAAATTAAGCAAAACCTTGCTTCTGACAAAGGACAGAAAATGTAGAGGATTTCTACAATCCAAAGAACAAAACAGCCCAATACAAACTTGAAACATATTTGAACAGGCATTTCCCAAAGGAAGATATACAAATATTCAATAAGTACATGAATGAATGCCCAGTGTCATTAATATTAGCTAAAAAGGACATGATGGGGGCAACTGGTACAATGTGAATATGCACTATGGATTACAAAAATTATATCAATGTGAAATTTCTTAATTTGATAATTATACTCTATATAATATCTTGTTTTTACAAAATAGATACTGAAATAGGCCTATCATACTCAAAAGGTTGTGAAGAAATGGTGTATGTCTACCGTGTATTTATACCTTCTCTACATGCTATTCTCCCTCTGTCTCTCTCTCTCTCTCTCAGCAAGATGATAAAGCAAATGGGGCAAAACGCAAATAATTGCTGAGTCTAGTTAAGGAGTATAGAGGAGTTTCATTCTCTATTCTTGCAAGTTTTCTTTAAGTTTAAAATTATACAAAAATAAATTACAAAACATCAAAAACACTAAAAAGTACTGAAGTTTTCAAGGACCAATGGGGTCTTGTCAACCGGACAAAACAGTGGCATGAAGAAGCTACCACTGGCCAAAGTTGTGTCTGTCTCTGCATCATAAAGAAAAGTGATTGGAGTGGATTGAAATGCATTGACTCAGTGACATCCACAAGCCCATGGTGACTATGCAAAAAAGATCCAGAACAAAGGGACTTGTCACCTTTGAAGCATCTGCTAAACTAACACCTCGCTTATAAAATTGGTCATACAAGGGAAAGAATGAAAGGTTTTATTCTGTTTTTCTAGGAGGAGCTGCATTTCATGGGAACCAAATAAATCCATGATTTACAGCCTAATAAATTCAGAAGGAACAGTGGAGTTGGAAAAACACCATCTCGCAAACCATACTTGTAGTGGGCTGAATCATGACCGCAAAGATATCAGGCCCTAATCGTTATCTGGGGTTAACTAACAGTGGATCAACCAGATAGGCTATGCCTTAGGCTGTAATGAAGGAGGAAGTCTGTAACACCACAAATGTGAATTCCAGCTAAGAACATTACCGTGAATCCACCAAACCTTTAGCTCCAGCTTCTTTGGCAGTAAGAAGTGCCCAGAGCTTAAAGAACAAGAGAGCCCAGACAAGCCCAGAAGATGAGATATTCTGCCAGGCAGCCCGCCCAGTCCCTTCAAAGCCAGCAACATGAAAGGGACTGCACTGAATGAAAAGAATGGGGTGCAGGGATTTCCATGAAGCTGACAGCCTCCAGCTTCAGACTCTGCACAGGCACAGGCCCCTTGCAAGGTCCAGACAGGGTGTCCACCTGGCCCTGTGTTTCATCTATTTTGCATTAGTGAAGGATTTTAACCATAATCGTGCCTCTGCCACTTTCCCCTCTAATTTCAATCAGACATGTGTCCCCTCAGGTGGAAGGGCATTGAAGTGGCCACAGGCACTTTTAGAATCTGTTTCAGGGGCACTAATTGAATTGAATCAAGGGTGGATGTGGTGGTTTGGGTTCCAGAGAGTATTTGTGTATGCCACTGGTTTGCAGTAATTTTCATATGTAGTACAGTTTCTGCCACCTGTCCTGGAGTAGTATCACTTCCAGAAATACTTCTAACACTCATTTTGCTACTTACCTAGAATTGAGACACGTAAGTGCAGGGTCAAACTTCAAATCCCAGTATGAACCTGTCCTCCAGCTCCAGCACCATTGCGTGTGGGAGTGCAGAAGAAATTAGGTTCAAAGTGCACTGAGTCAGAAGCTGGGCTATGGAGATCATTTCAATCATCAGAAGTGGAAAACTGTAAGAGTGCGCTGATGCCTGCTTCTAACCAGAATATCTCCTGTCAGGGGCGTAATGATATATCATATATATTTTTTTCTTTTTTTGAGACTGGGTCTCAACTCTATTGCCCAGGCTGGAGTGCAGTGGTGCGATCACAGCTCACTACAGCCTCAACCTCCTGGGCTCAAGTGATCATCCTGCCTCAGCCTCCTGAGTAGCCAGAATACCAGGCTAATCTTTGTATTTTTTGTAGAGATGGGGTCTTGCTATGTTGCCCAGCTGGTCTTGAACTCCTGGTGCTCAAGTAATCCTCCACTCAGCCTTCCAAAGTGCTAGGATTACAGAAGTAAACCACCATGACCAGCCCATCATATATAATTTTTTTTTTTTTTTGAGATTGAGTCTCGCTCTGTCACCCAGGCTAGAGTGCAGTGGCACGATCTCAGCTCACTGCAACCTCCGCCTCCCAGATTCAAGCGATTCTCCTGCCTCAGCCTCCCGAGTACCTGGGATTATAGGCGCATGCCGCAACTCCTGGCTAATTTTTGTACTTTTAGTAGAGACAGGGTTTCACCATGTTGGCCAGGCTGGTCTGGAACTCCTGACCTCAAGTGATCCATCCACCTCGGCCTCCCAAAGTGGTGGGATTACAGAAGTAAGCCACAGTGCCCTGCCCCTGTCATATCTAATTTTGGATAAGAATCCATGCAATTGGATTCATCAGCACACCTGTTTGTCATTTGCAATCCTGTAGCAGTTTCGTGCACGGTGTTATGTTTGTATGTGAAGATGAATGTTTTATGCCCCTCAATTATCAGTAATGAACAAACCACACTAAAGAAAGAGTGTAATTATCTTGCTAATATCCCTATAGAAAATATTACAAAATAGTTGTAAAAAGAGGCAATCAAAGAGTATGCTGGAAAAAAATGCAGGAAAAGACGTATTACAGAGTTGTATTAAGCAGTGAATTCATAACAATATTCTGATAGTTTTCTAGATTTTGTGCTGCTTATCCACTTTTCATTTGTAATTTTATTATAATTTATTTTCCTATTCTAAATAAACATTTGTTTTAATCTAATTTTATATTCATAATGCTGTATGTGCTTTCTTTTTTAGATTTTTTTTAAATGTATTTCTTTAGGCTGGGCACAGTGGCTCACGCCTATAATCCCAGCACTTTGGGAGGCCGAGGCGGGCAGATCACCTGAGGTCAGGAGTTCGAGACCAGCCTGACCAACATGGAGAAACCCTGCCTCTACTAAAATTATAAAAATTAGCCAGGCGTGGTGGCAGGCGCCTGTAATCCCAGCTACTCGGGAGGCTGAGGCAGGAGAAACATTTGAAACTGGGAGGCGGAGGTTGCAGTGAGCCAAGATCACGCCACTGCACTCCAGCCTGGGCAACAAGAGTAAAACTCCATCTCAAAAAAAAATGTATTTCTTTAGAGATGGGTATCACTATTTTGCCCAGGCTAGACTCAAACTCCTGGGCTCAAATGGTCCTCCGGCTGCAGCCTCTCACGTAGCTGGGACTACAGGCTCGCGCCACTATACTCGGCTTGTGTGCTTTGTCTTAAAGAGGCCCTGCTCCATGAAAGGGCCGTGTATGCAAAGTAGACCCCAAATGCCAAAGGAGCCAAGAAACCAAAGGAGAAGGCAGACAAATCCAGTTTGTGGATATTGGTTGATGTATTGGGGAACTTACACATGGAAGCGTGGCCCTGGGCGGCCACAGGACAGGTGGCTCTCTGCACTGTTACTCCCCAGACCTGGGGCTTATATACTGCAGGGAAAGGGCGTACACGCTCCAGCAAGACAAAGGCAACTCTCCAGGACAGCAAGAATGCCATGTGCACTGTGGCCTCTAATTTGTGCGGCAACGTCAAGGTTGACAGGTTCTTACACTAGAGACAGTAGATAAAGCGGACACCAGGAGGCATTCAAGGGACTGGGGCCGATCAGACGTGAACATGGTGGGTTAGCATCCAAGAAGGAGCCACTTTTGTCTCCAGGGGCCCCCTGTTTAGAGACATAGCCCCCAGATTATGTCTCTAGAGGACATTTTGGGGTGAACTGATAGTGTCTGGGGTGAACTGTTTCGGGGTGAACTGAAGATGTCTGGGATGAACTGAAAATGTCCTTGACATTTGTTAAACTAACTCTAAAGGACATTTTGGGGTGAACTGAAGACACTTGCCCTCTGAGTAACCCAGGGGAGGGGAGGATACATGAAGCAGAGCCATGAGAGCCATGCACGATGGGGAGTCGGGCTCCCCTGGGAGGTCCTCGCTTATCTGCCCAGGAACAAGGGGGTGGCCTGGCATTGGGGAGAGAAAGGAGAGGCAGAGTCTGAGACAGTCCTCAAGAAATAAGAATGAGGTGCAGGTGGCAGCCTCCAGTACACTAAGAAACGGAAGCGTGTGCAAAACAGGCCAAAGCCTGGCCTGTGGGCAGCCCTTCTCCCCAGCCACCTGCAGGGCCCCCACAGTGGGCCTGGGCTCCACATGGAGAAGCGAAGGAGTGGGAGGGAACCCTGCGGGGCAGCGGGCGGTCTCCTACCCAAGCCGGCCGTGTACCCATCACACTGCATTCGAGGAGCATTGCACACAGCAATCCTCATGTTCTAAGTGCTTCCTACCTCCCTTGTGGGAAATCTGAGAGAGGGGTTTGGGTACAGAACTACTCTCCCAGCTCAGCCAGAAGCCAAACTTCCATTCACCGTCTCCCGCAGATTTACAGTTTTCTCTATCCAAGGAGAAGACACCACTGAAAAACCATGGCAAAACCACGTGGTAACCTTCAGTTTACAGAACTTGAAGCAGAGGCTATTTCAGAAAGAAAGGATAATAAAGACGTTTATTTGCATTTGTCAATCAACTTAACATACAGCTGAGAAAGAAAGACTAAAAACCCTCTAATAAAGATTGTTAACTGACAGAAGCATTTTGTTTTTGTTTATTTTTTGAGACAGGGTCTCGCTCTGCCACCCAGGCTGGAGAGCAGTGGCGCGATCTCCACTCACTGCAACTGCCACTTTCTGGACTCAAGCAATCCTCCTGCCTCAGCCTCTCAAGTAGCTGGAACTAGATACACACAGCACTGCACCCGGCTAACGACAGAAGCATTCTTATGATACGATCTCCTCTCGGCTCACTTCATCTTAGTCCTGGAGGTCTGACTGTCTAGTTTCTTCTTCTTCAGAATTAATGTTTCCTGAAAAGAAAAGAGAAACATGAGTATATCTCATATTTACTTTGTTCTATTTTTAAAGCCTTTATTCACTAACAGATCTTTTGCCGAAAAAAATTATTGTAACTATTAAGCATTCATCAGTCAAAAATTGAATGTTAAATTTTATCTCATATGCACTTCAACAGTTTTTTCTTTTGGTACCCGACATAAAATAAGCAAAATACGTACTCAAAGTAAATGCTAAGACAAGACTATCCATGTAACATCAGTAATTCTCTTATGCCTGCACACCTGTCCAAAACAGCCAGCTTTGTGGCTAAAACATGTAATTGCTTGGCTATTAATTTAAAAGAAAAGCAGGCCGGGCGCAGTGGCTCATGCCTGTAATCCCAGCACTTTGGGAGGCCAAGGCAGGCGGATCACTTGAGGTCAGGAGTTCGAGACCAGCCCGGCCAACATGGTGAAACCCCGTCTCAACTAAAAATACAAAAATTAGCTGGGCATGGTGGTACATGCCTGTCAACCCAGTTACTTGGGAGGCTGAGGCAAGAGAATCGCTTGAACCCCGTGGCAGAGGTTTCAGTGAGCCGAGGTCACGCCATTGCACTTCAGCCTGAGCAACAGAGCAAGATTCCATCTTAAAAAAAAAAAAAAAAAAAGCAGAAATTTGCCACATTCTTATAAGACGCTATATTTAAATGTTTTGTGAAAGGTAGAGCTATTTTTTATTATTAATTAAACTCTATAACTTTCACTGTTGGGTATATTAAAGAAGAAATTAGCAGGGTAAATCTCCAATGTAATGTGGGATTCATGATGAATACATGCTGAACTTGCATTATTTTGATAAATGTTCTGCCGACTAAGCCTATTTTGTATTACTCCCTTTTCACTTAGGGCCCTCCTGACACTGTGGCCTGGGTGACCCTTTGCTGGGGGCTGTTCTGTGCCCTGCAGGGTATTCAGCACCGTCCCCGGCCTCCACCCAGGAAGATGCCAGCAGCACCTCCCTCACCAGCCTCCCAAGTCTCCAGACATTGCCAAATGTCCCCTGGAGCCCCAAAACCACTGAGTTAAGGGGGTGTTCCCTCTGTCCAAGGCTGGTGCATGAACCCACAGTCTCAGACGCCCGCTGGTACTGGGCATCGTCCACTCGGCCCCATCTCTCCCAGTCCGGTTTTCAGGATTCCTCCTGCTCCATCCCCTCCGTTATCTCCCCCACCAAGTTTCTGGGGCCTCCTGCCTTGCCTGGCTCCAGGGCACCCATCCTCATTGCCCCAGAGAAGCTCAGAGAGCAAGCCTGATACAGGCAATCCCCACAGCTCCCAGAGGTCCCGCCTACTGGGCTCAGGATCAAGTTCAAAGGCCATCTGGTTCCAAGGGAAAGGGGCCACCTCCCCACCCCCACACTCTTCTGCTGTCAGACTCTGCTCTCTGCCTGGAATTTCCTTCCTGGTTTCACCCATTCCTTGCCACCTCCCTCCCAGCTAACCCGGAGTTTCCTGGTCCTGCCCCAGGTGAGTCATCACCTCTCCTGGGTACATGGTAACACGTCCCTGTCACTGCAGGGAACTCACTGATTCCTTTATTCCAGCTTCCCATTAGGTGCTAGAGGGCGAGAGCCCAGCCCCTCACTCCCACACTGCCTATCAAACCCAGTGTCTCCCCCTCCAGCTGTGCTCCACAGTGACTAAGGACTGACATCTGTGGGCACAGCTAGATGCTGCTGTAACACTGTGCATACTCTAGCCACTCAGTCCTAACAGAATCCTGTGGACTCCCTACCTACCAGGGCTCACTCTATCCACCCTCCCTGTGCAAGTCAGAGAAGCAGAGACGATGCTCACTTGTAAAGCCAGGTTTCCACCTGACCCCACGTCCCACCTCAGCACTGCGTCACTGGGTGCATTGCTACAGCGCTCAGGGGAATTACCGATCACGAAAGTCTATGCCAGCGCTCAGGGGAATTACCGATCACGAAAGTCTATGTGTGCTTCAAGCATCTAAGAGAAAACTGCTTTATGTGATTTCATTATTTCAGGTATTATTTTCAAAGGAATGGGAAGTATATTCTTAATTTACAACAGAGACAAACTAAGTGGAATGGGACTGCAGACCCCGTGCCTGAGGCCGCCGTGCCCAGGCTGTTCCCAGATGGCCCTTTCCCTCACAAGCACGACACCCTCTTTCAGTCAGATGTGAAAAGTGCGTTAAGGGAAGCGAGTCCTCTCTCCAGACTTTCTGCAAGTGCCCACAAGCACTTGGGGAAAGATTTTTAAAGATTCCAGGAGCCTGAGGCTTCAGTCAGTCAGAACTGAGGTCAAATCCCTGCCCTATGAGCTGGCAGAGGCAGAAGTTTCTAGATTAATCTTACATCCAAACCCATTGAAAAAGAGCTAGTTCCCGACACCACTAGTCTGAAACCATACTCCTGTTAGTCAGCCCTGCTAAAAATCATGCAAATCCCAGCACTTTGGGAGGCCGAGGCGGGCCTCCTGTGTGAGGTCAGGAGTTTGAGACCAGTCTGTCCAACACGGTGAAACCCACCTCTACTAAAAATACAAAAAAATTAGCCGGGCATGGTGGCATGCACCTGTAATCCCAGCTACTTGGGATGCTGAGGCAGGGGAATTGCTTGAACCAGTGAGGTGGAGGTTGCAGTGAGCCAAGATCGCACCACTGTACTCCAGCCTGGGTGACATAGCAAGACTCCATCTCAAAAAAAAAAAAAAAATCATGCAACAGAAGAAAGCCAGGCTCTGCATGTCTGACAGGGCTCTCCAGCCTGGGGTCGGTCCTCCTGTGACAACGCGCATGGGCACCGCTGCACACCCAGGCCTCTCCCACTGCAGCCAGGCTTGCAGGAGGGCCTGCCAGGGAGCAACGTTCTGAGATGGCTCCAGTGAGCGCTCACAGGGGGCCCCCTAAGCCTTCCTCGAGTCCCTGGGGCCCAGCTGAAGGCAGGCCTTGGTGAAGGGAAGGGGAATCCCACTGTTCGTGGCCCCTAAGTGCGGGCCCTCGCCCCACTTCCCTGCGCAGGGACCTCACCCTCATCCATGTCATAGCGGAACTCCTCCTGGTCATACTCCCGGCTCTCTTCCCGGAGGACGTCTGCATCTTCATCTCCAGGCCTCATGTCCATCTCACCCTCGAAGCCCTCCAGCAGAGCCTGGGCCTCCTCCCCGGGTTCTCCTGCACCTGAGATAAAACACAAGTCAGAAGCCTGAGTTCCTGGGAAAAATGGAGCCTGCAGACCTGTGCAGGGCAGCTGTCCCCTGGGCTGCCGTGCCCCCACCCTCCCCCTCCCACTGGCAGCACCTCATGTTCCCCATCTCAACATCCACCCAGCCCAGCCTAGGCCTGGCCAGGGGAGCAGCCCAGTCCCCACTGTAGTCAGTGGCTTGGGGATGGGAGCAGGTAGTCTGATAACTTTCATTCCTGAGGGTGTTGATGAGACTCTTGAGAAAGAGAAGTCCCCTGGGGTTCCTGAGAGTGCCAGCCAGGGGAGCCAGCAGAGAGGAGAGCTGGGACAGAGGGCAGAGGCTGCCCGGCCATTCTGGGGGCTGTCCCGGAGCTTCCCAGTCACATGAGCCAAGAAATTCTTAGCAGCATGAGTATTCTTTCACGGAGGCCAATCGGAGTTGGCTTTCCTCCGCTTGCCATGGAAGGGATCTCACCCGGGGTAGCCACCTTCAACTTTCCCCAGCACATTAAGGACTTCCAGAAAGACCACTGGGTTGGACATGGAGGTGCCACACGGACCCTTCTTCAGGGAAGGGCTGTCCCCTCAGCTGCTGTCAGTGCCAGCCCGGGGTCACACCCACATTCACTCACTGACCTAGGTGAGGGGATAAGGGTCCCCGAGACGCCACAGTGCTCCCCATGGAATGAAGCAAGGTTGTGGAGGCCACACCTCCGCCTCTGTCCAATCAACTCTGTTTCTTTCCTCTCCCCTCCGCTCTCCGGGAGTGTCCTCCAATCCCAAAGGCTCTCCCTAATAACATCCCGCACACTCAACTGACCCAGCATCTGATTTTCAGAGAGTCCAACCACACCTGGCCTGAAAACAGGATGTCCACAACTCCCACAGCCCAAAGGCGCCCACACCCTCCATCCCACAGCCTGGGGATGCCCCACACCCTCTGTCCCACAGCCCGGGGGATGCCCCACACCCTCTGTCCCACAGCCCGGGGGTGCCCCACACCCTCTGCCCCCTCCACCCCACAGCCCGGGGATGCCCCACACCCTCTGCCCCCTCCACTCCACAGCCCGGGGATGCCCCACACCCTCTGCCCCCTCCACCCCACAGCCCGGGGATGCCCCACACCCTCTGACCCCTCCACCCCACAGCCCGGGGATGCCCCACACCCTCTGTCCCACAGCCCGGGGGTGCCCCACACCCTCTGCCCCCTCCACCCCACAGCCCGGGGGTGCCCCACACTCTCAGCTCCTGGAGCGTCTTGGCCAGGTCCATCCGTAGAGGTCGGCTTTTTGGGGAGAGTTGGTGTCCACAGGGCCAATTCAGTGATTTGGGTAGCTTTCCATTTTGGAACAACAGTTACTAATTCTTCCTCCTCTTCCTCTTCTCCTCTTTCCTATTTTAAGTGCAAAAATGTACATTTACCAACATTTGTGTCATCTTGGTCTGGAATATTAAAAGTGAGGGAGGAAGGACAAGTTTTGAAAGACAGGTTTTGGCTTGTGTTTCAGCCTTTTTAGGACGTCACTCAGGAATCAGACCAGTTGCTGACTATCCATGGTATAATCTCAGGGTTGAGAATGGATCTTGAAAGAGCCAGGGTGAGGAATAAAGTCTCCAGAGCAATGCTGGGCCAGCGAGCTTTATAATGGGTGCCACAAAAGGCTTTCAGATGAGCATGTCGCAGTCGCCTGCAATAGCTAAGACATGGCCAGGACTAAGTGGCCAGAACTGAGTGACCAGGAGTAAGTGGTCTTTTCAATTGTTCGGCCACATTTTGCAACTCTAATATAAAAAATCGTGTATTATATAATTATATGTCTATTGAGCTTAGTAGAAACATAATTATTTATATTATTCTTTATATAAATAATAAAAGAAACAGCCATTTGTTTTAGGCTTAGGCCTAAGAAGTTCCTAAGATGTCCATATGATATGGATTTGCATAAACGCAAAAGCTCAAGTGTCAAGGATTATGGGGAAAAATAAAATTCAAGGAAAGCAGAATGAGAGTTCATCAAGTCTGAACATGGAACACTTTGTAATAAAAAATGTACAATTCCGACAATGGTGAGCAGCCAACATGTGCCAATTTTGCCAAGCATATTTGCCTACTTCTCAGTTTTGTGACTATCACAAAATTCCAAAGATCTGAGCATCAGCACTATGACTATGGAACACTTCGCTGCCACATAGGTGATAATACCGATGACAGAGAGGGGCAGACACCTGCCTCTTCCACTGAGTCACTGGGAAATCAATTACTCTCTATTTTGGTCTCAGAGTGTTTGAATATGGCCACCCATGAAGGGTGACACCAATGCTGCAGGACAGGGTCCTCAAACTTGACTTAGATCAGAATCACCCAGAAAGCATTAAAAGACAGATTGCTAGCCCCACCCCCAGAGTTTCAGATTCGGCAGGTCTGGGATAGCGTCCAATAAGCTGCATTCCTAACAGATTCCCAGGTGAAGCTGACAGCACTAGTTTGGGAACTGCACGCCACTTTATGTATAAAACCAAGAGGTGGAACCCTTTCACATTGCTGGTGGGAACGTAAAATGCTGCAGCTACTGTAGAAAACATTTGACAGTTCTTCAAAAAGCGAAACAGCATCACCATATGACCCAGCAATTCCACTCCTCGGTATATAACCAAAGGAACTGAAAACAGAGATTCGACCAGATGCTTGCACACCAATGTTCACTGCAGCATTATTCATAATAGCTAAAATGTGGAAGCAACTCAATTGTCCATCAACAGACAAATGGATAAGCAAGAACCTTGAAAACGTCGTGCTAAATGAAAGAAGCCAGACACAAAAGGACAAATACAGAATGAATTCATCTATATGCGACATCTAGAATAGGCAAATTCATAGAGAAAGAAAGTAGATTAAAAGCTATCAGGGGCTGGGGGAGGTCGAATGGGGAGTTGTTGCTTAATAGGTACAGAGTTTCTGTCTGGGATAACGGACAAGCTCCAGAAATGCATCATTCTCACAGCTGCACAACACTGAACGTACTGAATGCCACTGAAAGCATGCTTTAAAATGGCAAATTTCAAACTCTATAAACGTACATATAAAACCATAATTTAAAAAGAAACAGGGAGTGAGCCGTGGGCTGCAGCTTGGCAAGCCCTACTCTAGAAGGGATACATTCCCCTTACTAGGGAGAGAGAACACGGAGGCCCTTCTGTTCCACCACCATCCTAATCCATCCCCACAGCACAGTGGGAGGCCTTCCACAAAGCCCTCAGGTTGTTGCTGCATTATTTCATGGGTGGTTTTTCCTAAACAGCAACAGGACTTGGGGCTTATATCAGTAATTCTCTCTTAGATGTTACTGATGCTCCTTCTACCTTCTTCTCATCATCCTGAAATACTGACTTCTAGGAACTTTTTCCAGTAGAGTCTAAAGCTGCAAAGCACTTAATAAGATGGGCTTTATTTTTATCACTACACAAATGTAAAAACTTGCTCAATCACCAGTAACCCTAAACAGTTATTACCAGTGCTGACAAGATATCAATTTAACCAATAGGTTCCTTCAGGGAACAGATGAGAGGTGTCCAACCCCATGGAAATCCCAGCAAAATACTAAATACCTCCCTGTCACAATCAAATCCTAAAGCCGACTGTCTTTCTTAGGCTTCTGACTATGTGTGTAGGAGGTTACACACACACACACACACACACACACACACACACATAAATGAAGTGGAACCTCGGGGGAGGACAGTATGTCAAATTCCTCTACGTTTTGTTAGATGCAGGTGACTTACAGGAAGCTGCCTTCCACCCAGACTAGAGCACCCTGCGGTCCATGAAGAATTCGTGCTCAGAGGAGGTAGGGCCTCTTACTTAGCAACAAAATCAAGCATTTTGGCCATTTCATTTTCTGGTTTTCTAGGGACCTGCCCCTAGCCAGTGGTTCCTTTTAGCTGGAGCAAAGCAGGAGAAGAGGCAAGGAAGACAGATCACTGTGAGGCCACACAGGATTCTGGTCAGCCAAGAAGGTGGACCATGAGCAACCATGGGCTGTTTGGGGAAACTAAATAACCATGGCCAGAGTGATGTGCAGAAAGTAGAATATCACAGGAGCGGGAATCAGGAAAAGAGGGTGGCTGAGGTCAGGGCCGAGAGCCCCGGGGATGTCCAGACTGTGGCCACTTGGGAAGCAGCAACGGAGCACGGACAGTCACTTGATCATGGGAGGTTAAGGGATAAAGATTCAAAGACTCCCTTTGGTTTTAGAATCTAACAAACTCTAGGAAGAAAAATGAGAAAAGTTAAAAAACTGTCTGGAGGGCTGGGCGCAGTGGCTTACGCCTATAGTCCCACCACTTTGGGAGGCTGAGGCAGTGGATCATCTGAGGTCGAAAGTTTGAGACCAGCCTGACCAATATGGAGAAACCCCGTCTCTACTAAAAATACAAAATTAGCTGGGCGTGGTGGCACATGCCTGTAATCCCAGCTACTCGGGAGGCTGAGACAGGAGAATCGCTTGAACCCGGGAGGTGGAGTTTGCGTTGAGCCGAGATCACGCCATTGCACTCCAGCCTGGGCAACAAGAGCGAAACTCCATCTCAAAAAAAAAAAAAAAAAAAAAAAAAACCTGTCTGGAGAGCATTGAAGAGCATTGAATTGAAAAATTAGTGATGAGTTTAGACTTAGGATTCAAGGCCAGGGCCCTTGGGGTGAAAGGATGGAGCATTAGGTAGAGACAGCAGTGGGCGGCACAGAGCAGGTGCGGGACAGGCCCTCATGCACAGGATCTCCCGCAGCCTTCCAAGCTCCCCACAGTGTGGCTTCTACCTCCTGTGACCAAGGATAGCTTTCCACAGCCTCACACCTGAGCCCAAGGTGACGAGGAGTCGGTTTAAAGCAGGGCCTCTGGGTGATGCCAAGGGCTTGACGAGGGACACAGCAACAAAAAAACAAAACGAGGTGACTTGGCTCAGGTTGTGACATAGTTTGGGTGTTTGTCCCCTTCAAATCGCATGTTGAAATGTGACCCCCGGGGTTGGAGGTGGGGCCTGGTGGGAGGTGTTTGGGTCACGGGGGCAGATCCCTCATGAATGGTTTGGTGCCTTCCCTGTGGTGATGAGTGAGTTCTTGCTCTATTAGTTCACACAAGAACTGGTTGTTAAAAATATATATATATATACCTGGCACCTCCTCCCCTCTTTTCCTCCTCTTTTGAGCTATGGTACCAGCTCCCCTTCACCTTCCATCATGAGTGGAAGCTTCCTGAGACCTCACCAGAGGCCAGGCAGTTGCGGGTGCCATGCTTCTTGTACAGCCTGCAGAACTGTGAACCAAATAAACCTCTCTTCTTTATAATCTACCCAGCTTCAGGAATTCCTTTATAGCAGCACAAAAAGGACTAACCCAGGTTGAAAGGGCATTGATGTGATGGTAGACCCAAACAAGCCGTTCCCCGGCTTTCTTCAGAAAGAAAGTATGCAGACATGGGAGAGTTTGTGTACGATAATATATTCTTAACTCACTAGGAGGGGACACCTCAACAACTTCAGAGACCAAAAAACAAACAAAAGCGTGATTCCACACTCCTCCTTAAAACTCAAAACTTCTTACAGTGAGAATGACCTCATCTAAACAAATAAGTCAAAAGGATCAAAACCAGTACCAGGGTCAGGAAATGTTGCTGAATTGCTAATTATCTAGAGGGATTGATCAGACATTAATAATGAGAGGAATAGGAACACATATATTCCCACCTCAACACACATACGCATCTCGATGCCTTATAACGGCAATATTAGCTGACTAGCTTTACTATTAACCAGGGAATGTCAATGTAGTGTTAATATTAATGTTAGATATTGGAAAGGAAAAAACAAGAGAAAGACTTACCAACGGCACGTTCAGAGGAGCATGCTGCACAACGGACAAGCTAACAGTCACTGGACAAACTGTGGCAACACCAGTTACAGATTCAGTTTTCACTTGCAGGACCTAACACTGTCTAGAACCCTCCCACTCAGGATTAGTTTTTTATTTATTGGTTGTTTGTTTGTTTGTTTTTGAGACAGAGTCTCACTCTGTCGCCCAGGCTGGAGTGCAGTGGCGTGATCTTGGCTCACTGCAAACTCCGCCGCCCAGGTTTAAGCGATTCTCCTGCCTCAGCCTCCTGAGTAGCTGGGATTACAGGCATGCGCCACCATGCCCAGCTAATTTTTGTATTTTTAGCGGAGACAGGGATTCATCACGTTGGCCAGTCTGGTCTCAAACTCCTGACCTAAAGCAATCCACCGCTTCGGCCTCCCAAAGTGCTGGGATTACAGGCGTGAGCCATTGTGCCCTGCCAGGATTAGTTTCTATCAACAAAAACGGTATCTATCAACAAAGTCTAGAGTTCTGCAATAAATGGGAAATGATATTGTTTGCTTCTGGCAATTTAGTTCTGTACTAACACATGCAGATAAGGAAAATGAAAATGTGAAAGTGCCTAAGAGTTGGCATAACTTTTAGGCGAATCACCTCCAACCTTGCAGGATCAATATTTTTGAGCAGCTACTTCCCTGTTAATGTAACAAAACCCTACATGCTCCGCAACTTACCATATCTGTTAAACGATATTCACCATGTTGTTCACACCCAACATCAAATACATACTTTCCAGGGCCAACAGGCTACGAGCAAAGAGAAACCATTCTTAAGTGTCAACACCCAGCAGAAAATACAAAATACAAATGTCACCACCACAATACCCACCTCAAATCACCAAATTGGGTAAAGTGTAACATGGATTAAGGAATGCTTTTGTGAACTCGTGGCTGATGGGATTGGAACTTATATGCCCTGTTTTGTTTACTTTTGGAAACTTTAACCACATTTTACTTTTTTATAAAAGTGATGTATTCATTTTCAGAAAACCTCAGTGAATCAGTATCCATAGGCAAACTAGCTACCGATGGAACTACTACTAATATTTTGATGCATTCTTTGTAACTTTGCTTCTAGTATACATGGTTAAATAAAAATCTGATCATAATTATACATACTAACTCATACTCTATTTTTACTGAGAAATATGGCATGAACTACTTCCCGTATTTACAAATATTCTTTCCTAATAACAGTTGCCACCTGGTACTTTATTTCATCTATGGATTGCAACCTATTTTACTCAGTTACTATTGTTGGTATTTGGGATACTGATTTTTTTTTTTTTTTTACAAAGAACGCTCCAGCAAACGTACTCTGAGTTAAAACTTTATGTACGCTTTTGATACCATCCTTAAATTCTCAGAATTTCTGGACAAAAGCATACATGTGCTTTGATTAGATGAGGCTCTAATCGTTTCATTCCCATAACTGCACTTAAGAGTCCCAGATCCTCAAACTCTTGATTTTAGGAGTGTAAAAATGGTCTATTTTTACATGTTTTTTTATATAAAACAACAGGGTCTCACAATTTTAATTCACTTCATTTCAGTTGTTAGTAAGCCTGCATTTTTTTCAAGATTTTTAGCCATTTAAATCACATTGATTGATAAAACACTTTATATATTAAATGTTGCAAATATTCTCTCCCCATTTAACAGTCATCTCTTAGATTTTCTTTACAGCATTTTCTAATCTATAAGAAGTTATTTTTATAAAGCTAAACCTATTGGTTTTTCCTTTCTATTTCTGTTTAGAAAGTTCTCTTTCCTCATTTCAAGGTTAATATTCATCTACATTTTTTTTCTATATTTCCTAGGGTACATTTAAATCTTTACTTCTTCTAGAAAGTATCTTCATCTGTGTGAAGGCAAAACTATTATTTTCCTCCCAAATAATTGTCAAGTGTTCCTAGCACTATGTCTTGACTCCTCCCATCATCCCTTTGTTAATTTGACACGCTTATTGTGTGTGAAATTATTTTATATACTGGGAACTGTCTCTGGACTTCCTAATTTGCTTCATTGGTGTGTGTGTGTGTGTGTATCCTGGTATCACACTGTTTTAATTATTGAAGTTTTGTGGTATTGATAACTTGTCCACAAGGACATGTACAGGGAATTTTCTGAGGAAGAAACACAAACCAGCAATAAACATGTGACAAGATGTTTGACCTCACTAGTAATCAGGGAAGTACACATTAAAACAATGAGATGACATTTTTTACCCATAAGATTGGAAAAGAACAAAAACAACATTAAAGACTGAGAATATCCAACATCGATGAGAATATATGATAAACAGACTCATATTCTATTGGCAAGAGTATAAACTGACACCACTTTTTAGGAAAATGGGCACTACCGATTGTGATTCTAAATGCCAATCCTCAAAGGTTTCACAATTCCATTATCTAACCTACACAATAGT